>NC_000014.9:19187178-19511713 GCF_000001405.40 Homo sapiens | reverse complement strand
AAGCTTGACGTTTTGCTTGCCATCCAGGAAAACACTGGCTGGTTTCAGATCCCGACGCACTACAGTATGATCACCATCACTTCGTCTGTGGCATTACTTCAGGGCCAGAGTCAACTGAGTTGTCACTCGAAGAACAAACTCTTCATCTAAGTATTGCCTTTCCTTGGTTCCCTTTGTAATTACACTAGCCAGGTCTCCTTCTTCACAATATTCCATTACAATGTACAGTGTTGTGTTGGTCCGGTCAATAATACGATCATAGTAATGAACGATGTTTGGATTTTTCAGTTTACAAAGCAAATTCACTTCAGAAATAAGCATCTGTTTCTCAGCTTCTGTCATGAAGCCATAATCAAGTTCTTTCCAAACTAATATCTTGCTGTCACTCTTCCTCCGGATCTTCTGGCAGCGGCCATAGGAGCCTGTGCCAATGGTGTACAACACTTCATAGTCCTCAGCCCGGGACGGCATGGCCGGCCAGTCACCAGAGTGGCGCTGCCTCATGCAGGTTGTGCCCCCAAGTGCGGAGCTCCAGGGACCGGGAGCTCCAGGGACCTGGATGGAGAAGCCCCCGAGCAGCACTGACCTGCCACCCCTGCCTTTGGCCCCGTTTCTCTCTCAATTCTTAAGCAACTTATATTTCCAAGTCCAGTTCAAAAGTTATATTCTTGGAAGCCTCCACATCTCACCTGTCCATCCAGGCAGAACTAATCCACCTACACTCTAGTATTATGCTCTCATAACTCTTGGCTCTTCACCAATTCATTCAAGGGTATAATGAGCATTTAAAATATGTCAGGCATCAGGCTATGCACTGGAGAAAAAAATCTTAAATGTGTAAAGCTTCCAAAGTTTTCTCACATACATTATCTCATTTCATACTTTAAAAAAGTATCCCATAGGATGATAATTTTTTTTTAACAATTTCTCCAACCAGAATGAATTCCCAGGGGGTAGAAACTAAGTGTGATTCATCCTTGAATCCCTAGAGTCTAGTGCAGTGCCTAGCACACCGAAGACACTCATTAAATGCTTGATAAAGGAGTAACAGACACTTGTTTAATTACTAAAATATCAATCAGGGTTAACACTGAAATAATCTTTCCACAAAGTTTCCATAGGGGAAAGGGGAAAATACATTATATGAACACATCTGTGGAGCGAAAATTCCTCCCTACGACAGAGCATCTCCAACTCAAGTTTAACTGTTTAACAAAGCCATGTAGCAACTGAAGATGGATTTGATTTCACTATTAGAGTAATAAGCTCTAACTGAAGAACAGTGAGTTCTGCATAAAAGCTCCTATGCACATCATTCTGCTTGGTAAAACTGGACGTTATTGCACAAACATTAAAATAAACATTTAAACTTGGCCGGGTATGGGTGGCTCATGCCTATAATCACAGCACTTTGGGAAGCTGAGGCGGGTGGATCACGAGGTCAGGAGATCGAGACCATCCTGGCTAACACGGTGAAACCCTGTCTCTACTAAAAATACAAAGAATTAGCTGGAAGTGGTGGCACGTGCCTGTAGTCCCAGCTACTCGGGAGGCTGAGGCATGAGAATCGCTTGAACCTGGGAGGCAGAGGTTGCAGTGAGCCGAGATCGTGCCACTGCACTCCAGCCTGGTGACAGAACGAGACTCTGTCTCAAAAAAAAAAAAAAAAATTAAAAAAGTTAAATTGACAGACTATATAAATGGGTTTATCATCCTTTTCTCCTTTAGTATTTACTTTTCTTAATCTCACATCATGTTCTGCTTTACATAAAAAAGCCTCACAGTTTACAAAGCCCTTTCCCATATACGGTCTTAGCAATCCTGTAGCTACCATCAAAAGCATCTTGGAGAGGTAGTGCAGTACTGGAGAAGCAACACAATGAGAAGACCTGGGCTTGAATCCTAGCTTTTAATAGCTGTATGACCTTAGGGATATATAGCTAAAACTGCAGAAGAAATAAAAATGAATATGTGTCTAAAATTATAGAAGAAATAAAAAATGAAAACATTTTTAATGTTTTTAAAATGCCTACAACTTTGGATCACACAAATGACCAAGCTGATGAACCTTAAAAATTCAAAATATCGGCTGGGTGTGGTGGCTTTTGCCTGTAATCCCAGGACTTTGGGATTCACCTGGCTAACGTGGTGAAACCCCATTTCTACTAAAAATACAAAAAATTAGCCAGGCGTGGTGGCACATGCCTGTAATCTCACTTGCTTGGGAGGCTGAGGCAGGAGAATCTATTGAACCTGGCAGGTGGAGGTTGCAGTGACCCGAGATTGCGCCACTGCACTCTAGCTTGGGCAACAACATTTTTTCTGGCAGGCGTAATCCCATGCCTCAGCTTCTTGAGTGGCTGAGATTATAGACGTGCGCCCCCACGCCCTACTATTTTGTATTTTTAGTAGAGATGGGGTTTTGCCATGTTCCAGGCTGGTCTCGAACTCCTGACCTCAAGTGATCCACCCGCTTTGGCCTCCCAAAGTGCTGGGAGCCACCATGCCTGGCTAATCCCACTTTCTGACTTTGGCCACTGCACTGAGGGGGATATTCTGGCAGTGTCGTTATCACTGGGGAAACGAAGGCCAGGGAGCATTGCCTTATGGGCTGTGACTGTTTCTTCAGCTGCTTTCACATAAGCTTTGACAGCCTGCCCCCTCAGCAGGAAGGACAGGGATGGCTGTCACCGGCAGGCCCAGGCCCAGCCCCTCAGCCAGGTAGGGTGGCCGGAGGATGCCAGGCAGCACTGGCTCCCCAGCCTGGGGCTCACCGCTCTCGTCCAGGTCCTCCAGGCGCACTGTCTGGTGGGGCACGGGGCCATCCACAACTCGCTCCAGGATGCCTTGGACCAGGGCTGGCTGGTTGCCTGGGCAAACCCTGAGGTGCTCCCCACCGCAGGTAGTTCAGGCCTTGGCTGTCCTCACAGGAGGGTTCCACCAGGATGGTGATGTGGCTTGGGAAGGAAAAAGAAGCCTCAGGTGGGCTGGGCCCTGTGGCTCACGCCTATAATCCAAGCACTTTGGGAGGCTGAGGTGAGCGGATCACCTGAGGTCAGGAGTTCAAGACCAGTCTAAGCAACATGGTGAAACCCTGTCTCTGCTAAAAATTACAAAAAATTAGCTGGGTGTGGTGGTGGCTGTAATCCCAGCTACTCGGCAGGCTGAGGCACATAGTGGACATAGGGACACCAGAAATCAACTGGCTGGCCAGCACCTAACATTAAAGGTCCTGCCAAGCAGAGATATTTTTTAGCTGAATCATATTTTCTTTCTGGAATTTTAGACATGCAAGTACTGAGATAATGAAGGGATTACTATCTGGGGCAAAAGCTGAAAGGATACAGAAAGATGAAAATCATGAGGAAGAGCTGAACACAAAACCAAGAGACAGTCAAAGAGCGTAGCCAGTTCCAGAACCCACAGCCATCTAGTTCTCTCTATATCTGGGTAGGCTCTGCTCTAATTCATGCTTTTCCTAAGATCCTTAAGAAAATACAAATGACTGCTTTGCAATAAAAGCCTAACTGGAACAACTTAAATTGATCGCCCAGGCTCTCACAGGTAAAATCAAGATTTGGTGACTAACAATGAGGAAGATAAAAGAAATAAGAGGTGGGGGGAAGGGGGAGGGATAGCATTAGGAGATATACCTAATGCTAAATGACGAGTTAATGGGTGCAGCACACCAACATGGCACACGTATACATATGTAACAAATCTGCACGTTGTGCACATGTACCCTAAAACTTAAAGTATAATAATAATAATTAAAAAAGAGACTCCCACACCACTTGTGCATCCCAATCAGAAGCCTGATACCCATCCCCACATGGACAGCTGCACAGGCCCTTGGGCTCCACGTGCTTGTGAACACACATGTACTCTCAAGTAAGGACATGGGTTCTTGTGCATCAAGTGGTATGTGGACAGGCCCCTTTGCCCATGACTGGGTATTTCTGGCAGTTTCCTGTTGTTATTCTCTTTGATCTTGTAACGGGATTTGGGACCCCCACTTCTCCAGTCCCAGGGCTCAGAAGCCCACCAGGCTTTCCGATGCTCTCACTAAGTGTTGGCTTCTTGAGCAAGAAGGGCTAGGTCAGGGGGTGGGGTCTGGTTTTACTCATCTCTGAGTCTAGCCTCTAACCCACTGCTTAACGCAGAAAAGGTACCTGGTGAAAATCTATTAAAATCAATGACTGATTTCGCCCAATTTGGAGTGAGACATGCCCGCACAGTCTCAATGTCTGGAGAGCTTTACAAACCCCAGGGGACACCAGGAAAAAAAAAAAAGAAATAAGAGGAAAGAATTTAAAATGATTAGGGTTTCTAGATGGGGAACTAGAAGAGATGATGATGCTACTGAGAAAGAGAAATATGGTGTGAAGAGGAGGTTGATTGGAAGAGATACTGAATTAAGTTTTGGACATTTCAAGTCTGAAACGTCTGCGGACTATCTATGAGGAGATTGGAAAATCCGCAATTCAAAAAGCATCACTTAATACATGGTAGTCTAAGCCGCAGAAACACAGGAGTATCAAAAGACAAGTCAAACCCAAGTGCTCTTTGACAAAGCTGATGGCATATAGACAGACAAGACCTTCATAATGGAGTAAATGGATGCTCTGCCCTGATGTACTGTGTACTCATCTGTCCTGGAGCTAGGCTTCCCACCAGGCAAAAATGAAGGCCAGGAGGAGCTCCAGTAGGTCTAAGTAAGAAGCTAAAAGGACTGAAAATCTGAAACTGACAGTGCCATATCCCCCAGAAAGAGAAAGAAAGAAAAAAAGAAAATCTCCAATTTACTCCTTACACAACTTTATAGGTCACAAAACACTTCATAGGAGAGGTGGACAGTTTTCATAAGCACACACCCCAGCTTTAACATATGAAGCAACAGATTTGGAAAAATAAACTTATCTAAGATTATGCAGCTAAAGCCAGGTGTGGTGGCTCACACCTGTAATCCCAGCACTTTGAGAAGCTGAGGCAGGCAGATCACCTGAGGTCAGGAGTTCGAGACCAGCCTGGCCAACGTGGTGAAACCCCGTCTCTACTAATAATGTAAAATTAGCTGGATGTGGTGGTGCATGCCTGTAATCCCAGCTACTCAGGAGGCTGAGGCAGGAGAATCACTTGAACCCAAGAGGTGGAGGTTGCAGTGAGCCAAGATCGTGCCACTGCACTCCAGCCTGGGCAACAAGAGTGAAACTCCATCTCAAAAAAAAAAAAAAAAAAAAAAAAAGAATATGCAGCTAATAAGCAGCAGAGCTGAGAATCCTTAGCACTCTCAAGCCACAAGACTCAACAGGTTTCACGGAAACCGAACTGATTGAATCTCACTGAAGTATCTACAGCAGGTCCAATCTGCTTTCCTTTAGCTTTTTCTAGATCACCACAGAGAAGGAATACAAATATAACAGTTTCTGATCCTGAAAAAAAAACCAACCCAACTTTGTTTTCCAGAAATCTTTGCTATTTGTAAACTAGTCAGATTTTAGACTGGGCATGGTGGCTCATGCCTGTAATCCCAGCACTTTGGGAGGCTGAGGCAGGTGGATCACGAGGTCAGGAGATAGAGACCATCCTGGCAAACACAGTGGAACCCTGTCTCTATTAAAAATACAAAAAATCAGCCGGGTATGGTGGCCTGCGCCTGTAGTCCCAGCTGCTAGGGAGGCTGAGGCAGGAGAATGGCATGAACCCGGGAGGCGGAGCTTGTAGTTAGCCAAGATCCAGCCACTGCACTCCAGCCTGGGTGATAGAGCGAGACTCTGTCGCAAAAAAAAAAAAAAATTAAAGAGGAGGGGACACACATCTTCTACCTTCCTCACCAATGTTTGCTTTTTACTTACACAAAAAAGGGAAAGTAAAAACATCCTGGTTGTATTAAAGGTTGGGGTTAGAATGCAAATATGGTTCATCTCAAGTACAAAAGAAAATTAAAAAATACAAACTACCATCAGAGAATACTATAAACACCTTTATGCAGATAAACTAGAAAATCTAGAAGAAATGGATAAATTCCTCGACACATACACCCTCCCAAGACTAAACCAGGAAGAATTTGAATCTCTGAATAGACAAATAACAGGCTCTGAAATTGAGGCAATAATCAATAGCTTACCAACCAAAAAAAGCCCAGGACCAGATGGATTCACAGCCGAATTCTACCAGAGGTACAAGGAGGAGCTGGTATCATTCCTTCTGAAACTATTCCAATCAACAGAAAAAGAGGAAATGCTCCCTAACTCATTTTATGAGGCCAGCATCATCCTGATACCAAAGCCTGGCAGAGACACAACAAAAAAAGAGAATTTTAGACCAATATCCCTGATGAACATTGATGCAAAAATCCTCAATAAAATACTGGCAAACCGAATCCAGCAGCACATCAAAAAGCTTATCCACCATGATCAAGTGGGCTTCATCCCTGGGATGCAAGGCTGGTTCAACATATGCAAATCAATAAACGTAATCCAGCATATAAACAGAACCAAAGACAAAAACCACATGATTATCCCAATAGATGCAGAAAAGGCCTTTGACAAAATTCAACAACCCTTCATGCTAAAAACTCTCAATAAATTAGGTATTGATGGGACGTATCTCAAAATAATAAGAGCTATCTATGACAAACCCACAGCCGATATCATAATGAATGGGCAAAAACTGGAAGCATTCCCTTTGAAAACTGGCACAAGACAGGGATGTCCTCTCTCACCACTCCTATTCAACATAGTGTTGGAAGTTCTGGCCAGAGCAATCAGGCAGGAGAAGGAAATAAAGGGTATTCAATTAGGAAAAGAGGAAGTCAAATTGTCCCTGTTTACAGATGACATGATTGTATATCTAGAAAACCCCATCGTCTCAGCCCAAAATCTCCTTAAGCTGATAGGCAACTTCAGCAAAGTCTCAGGATATAAAATCAATGTGCAAAAATCACAAGCATTCTTATACACCAATAACAGACAAACAGAGAGCCAAATCATGAGTGAACTCCCATTCACAGCTGCTTCAAAGAGAATAAAATACCTAGGAATCCAACTTAGAAGGGACGTGAAGGACCTTTTCAAGGAGAACTACAAACCACTGCTCAATGAAATAAAAGAGGATACATACAAATGGAAGAACATTCCATGCTCATGGGTAGGAAGAATCAATATCGTGAAAATGGCCATACTGCCCAAGGTAATTTATAGATTCAGTGCCATCCCCATCAAGCTACCAATGACTTTCTTCCCAGAATTGGAAAAAACTACTTTAAAGTTCATATGGAACCAAAAAAGAGCCCGCATTGCCAAGTCAATCCTGAGCCAAAAGAACAAAGCTGGAGGCATCACATTACCTGACTTCAAACTATACTACAAGGCAACAGTAACCAAAACAGCATGGTACTGGTACCAAAACAGAAATATAGACCAATGGAACAGAACAGAGCCCTCAGAAATAATGCCACATATCTACAACTATCTGATCTATGACAAACCTGACAAAATCAAGCAATGGGGAAAGGATTCCCTATTTAATAAATGGTGCTGGGAAAACTGGCTAGCCATATGTAGAAAGCCGAAACTGGATCCCTTCCTTACACCTAATACAAAAATTAATTCAAGATGGATTAAAGACTTAAATGTTAGACTTATAACTGTAAAAACCCTAGAAGAAAACCTAGGCAATACCATTCAGGACATAGGCATGGGCAAGGACTTCATGTCTAAAACACCAAAAGCAATGGCAACAAAAGCCAAAATTGACAAATGGGATCTAATTAAACTAAAGAGCTTCTGCACAGCAAAAGAAACTACCATCAGAGTGAACAGGCAACCTACAGAATGGGAGAAAATTTTTGCAATCTACTCATTTGACAAAGGGCTAATAGCCAGAATCTACAATGAACTCAAACAAATTTACAAGAAAAAAAACAAACAACCCCATTGACAAGTGGGCGAAGGATATGAACAGACACTTCTCAAAAGAAGACATTTATGCAGCCAGAAGACACATGAAAAAATGCTCATCATCACTGGCCATCAGAGAAATGCAAATCACAACCACAATGAGGTAGCATCTCACACCAGTTAGAATGGCAAGCATTAAAAAGTCATGAAAGAACAGGTGCTGGAGAGGATGTGGAGAAATAGGAACACTTTTACACTGTTAGTGGGACTGTAAACTAGTTCAACCATTGTGGAAGTCAGTGTGGCGATTCCTCAGGGATCTAGAACTAGAAATACCATTTGACCCAGCCATCCCATTACTGGGTATATACCCAAAGGATTATAAAACATGTTGCTATAAAGACACATGCACACGTATATTTATTGTGGCACTATTCACAATAGCAAAGACTTGGAACCAACCCAAATGTCCAACAATGATAGACTGGATTAAGAAAATGTGGCACATATACACCATGGAATACTATGCAGCCATAAAAAATGATGAGTTCATGTCCTTTGTAAGGACATGGATGAATCTGGAAACCATCATTCTCAGCAAACTATCACAAGGACAAAATAACCAAACACTGCATGTTCTCACTCATAGGTGGGAATTGAACAATGAGAACACATGGACACAGGAAGGGGAACATCACACACCGGGGCCTGTTGTGGGGTGGAGGCAGCGGGGAGGGATAGCATTAGGAGATGCACCTAATGCTAAATGACGAGTTAATGGATGCAGCACACCAACATGGCACATGTATACATATGTAACAAACCTGCACATTGTGCACATGTACCCTAAAACTTAAAGTATAATAATAAAAAAAAATTAGAATGCTAAAATCCAAAAAAAAAAGAAAATTAAAATTATCTTAGGCAATTTAGAAATAGCAACCGAGATGAGAGCTGGAGAGAGGCCTTTCATGGGAAGGTGAGAAGGGGTTACTTAGAATTGTTAAAGGGCGGGGGCAGGGGGAGGTTCGACACAATTTTCTTACTTTCTTGATTCCCTAATGCTCCAGTCCTTTGGACTTCTTGGTCTTAAGGCTATATGAATGACCTAATTAGACAAGTTTCCCATCTTCCACTGATTCTTCACCGCCTCTCCACTATTTCTCAACCTCAATTTGTTTCCTACACACTGCCACCTGTGGCCAGCAAATTGACTAACAATGTACGTCTACTAACTTAACGGTCATGGATGTTAAACACTGTTAAATCCAGGAAACTGGTAAAGATTAAGTCTATAGCTAATGATTGGCAGAACTAAGTCTAAACATGATCCTTGAGATTCCAAAATCAGTGGTCTCTATACGTATCATGTTGTCTCTAAGGCTCAATTACCATGAATGTATGTTATGGTAAATGGGACCAAATAATGTCACAGAAGAGTTTTCAAAAGGAAGGTAAAATGAGGCAAGAAAAAAAGACAATGATAGGGAAGGCAATGCAAGCATCATATCTATTATTAAGGAAGAGCTCACAACATTTCCAGAAAGGCTTTCTAGGAACCAGCCTCGACTGAGGGCAGCACGAACAAGCACCATTTTCCAGGCCACCCCTTGCACCATCTTCATGATTTCCCACCACCCCTTTGAATTATTTGCTAAATCACCCTGATGCTGTCTTACATAGCATATTTTTAAAAGTTCTCAGAAACAGGCTCTTACAGTTTTATTTCTTCTTTTAAAAAAAGTTCCCGCTTATCATGTTGTACTATTTAATCAGAATATACTTGAAAACAAAAGATGCTTTGTGGTTTTTTAACTCTTGGTAATTAATCCATTGTAGGCAGTATTTTAAAAAATGATGTAGGACAGGGAAACCAATATGAAATGGGTAGTCTGAAAAGCAGTTACTAGATACTGACCACCATTTTAGGAAAGGCAGGCTATTTAACCCACTGTATGCTCCCAGGTAAACTTGTCTTCAATTCTTGTTAAGTCAAATATGAAAAACCAAACTTGCCATCTCTATAATTGCTATCGTTTAAAAAATTCTGTTGAGAGGAGACACCAAACATAGTATTTCTTACCCCGTGCAGCATAATAAAAAATAGGATTCCCAGCTTTGGAAGCCCCAGCTTGGTAGAAAATACTTAACGTTTTCAAAGCCTTGATCTCTTCTTTTTCAGGTACCTGATGCCTAAAAGAAAAAGAACAGAGTACCTCTGAGGCTTTATGTTGTCTACTGAGTATGTAAAATAGTCTATAATTGGATAAACAATAAAATACTAAAATAAAAAAATATTTTAAAAGCAACAGGCATTCTAAAGGGTAATCTGACAACATGCACCAAAAATTTCAAGGTATTGCTCTTTGAGCCACAAAAGCACTTTTAGGACTATTCTAAGAGAACTATTGGACGAGGATATTAACCATAGGATTGTTTTTACTCATGACATTTTTGTCCCAGACAGAAGTTTATGATTTTTGAATGAATTCATTTTATCAATCTTTTCCTTTCTAGCTTATGGATTTTGAATGGATGAAAAAGGCCTTGCTTTGCCATGCTGTTTTGATTGATGGGAGTTTATCCTCATAAATGGTATGAAGATATTTTTCCAGATCATTACTCAGTTTTATCAATACCATTTATTGAAAGTCCAACCTAATCTCCTGGATTTCAAATACTCAACATGTACAAATTTTTCTTTGTTTTTATTCCTTAAACAATATGGTATAACAACTATTTATATAACATTTATATTGTATTAGATATTATAAGTAATCTAAAAATATTTAAAATATATGGGAGGATGTGCACAGTTTATATGCAAATACTATGACATTTTGTATCAGGGACTTGAGTCTGTGGATTTTAGTGTTCATGGGAGTGAGATGTGGGCAGGAGTTTGGGGGGTGGTTCCTGGAACCAATCCCTGACAGATACTGAGAGACGACCGTATTATAAAGCTAGGCTTTGTCAAAGAAACATATGTAAATGCTTATTATACAGTCCATAGTGTTTAATCACTTTCTGATATGTGTCAATAAGTATTTATCATTAAAGTAGACTTAATTACTTCCTTTTTTGGTCTATCTCTGGTGTTTGAATCAGGAAATCAATTGTTTCTTAGACTCAACACAATGAGTTTCTCAAATAATACCTTTATCTATCTCATCATAACATAAATGCAATCTGAGGCTTTATGTATCTTATTTCCCAATAACTGTAGACTATTCTTCATAAACTGACAACAATAACTTCCCAAACATACCGCTCTCGCATATTTATTTTTCCTGAAAGTCTATCGGTCAAGAAAAAGTAGTAATAAAGATTAGTGTCTTTACATATTTTGAACACAAAAGTTTTACATCTAAAAAGTTTAAATACACATAAAATACAAGTATAAAGCTGTAATGAAGTAGTTATAATTCTCACAGTAAAACCCACTAATATTTGAAAGTCATTTTTTTTACCTTGTAAGACATTTTACATCATCATCTGCTGCTTGGTTTGATGTTCCCATAACCCAGTCTGTCAGGTATTCTACCATCTTATTCCTATAGAATGGTGGAGAAAAGAGAAACAGCAAACAATTTTTCTGAAGTCATACCCCCCCACACACACACCTTCAGTCATGTAAGATTACTTATGGTGCAAATAATTTGGCAGATAACCCAGGTGACATGACGACTTTATAAAAGAGATACTGCTATCATAGATGTAAAAGCCAGAAGGAACAAGCAACGTGGATACTGATCCTCCATCATGGCCTTTAGTTATGCTATCAGATTGGAAACAGGATCAAATTCTTAGCTCAAGTACAGCAGAGTTTTAGAAAAAGGGAGGCTTGCCACAGGCACAAAGCTTAGGGAAATTTGAGGAGAGACACAGAGAAAAACAAACATGTAAACTGCTCTCTTTTTATGTCTTCCTTCCTACCAATAACCAGATATCTACTCCATTTCTGTACTTCATTCAACAAATTAAGATTTACAAGACCCTACATTGCTCTTTTGAGAACTCACCTAAATTTCATCTCTCGGCAAAATGACAGGTCATCTCTCCTTGCCATCGTTACTTCAACCAACTGACACAGTTTCGTTTTTATTTGAATTGCATGGACCATATTCCCAAGCACACAAACGTACCTATACAGACATAGAGACAATAAAAAAATTATCAGATACAGACACAAGATAAGGCATTCAAAATACTTTAACCATCAAATAAAACGAACTAATCGTAAGTTTGAAAACAGTAAGACATTTATTTATAGGAGAGCATACACAATTTCTGGTTACCTTGTTGTCACAGCCTAGTTTGTGTGCAGTAAAGAATGGCAAATTATTTTATCAATTACTATCAATATCAATGTGTAAGAGGTTTTTCTTGTCTCTTAAATCTTAAAGTATGTTTCTGCTACATTTCAGTAGAAGGCTTACCTGACCAGATTTAACATCATTGTTTCAATGCTAGCTTGCTCTAGATGTTCAGAGCTGCCTTCAGTATGATTATCTAGCAAGTTCTTCATTATATCTACAAATTGAGTATTGGTATCAGTCAATAAAACCTATAGAGAGAACAAATATATTAATGATTTGCCATCAATGCCCAGAAGACAGATCCCTAGAGAGATGAAACTGACTGATCTAAACACACAAATAGAGACATGCACCCACAGGCACGCAGCCAAACAGGCACACAGATATACACAGACACTCATACCCATATACAAGGCACGTATACCCTCAGGCACACATACACATCAGAGTTCCTAGAAGCAAGCTGACCATTCATTGAGATGATTCTTCTTTCTACAATTTTTTGACAATTTTTAAAAACTGTGAGTACCTAATTTAAATAATCTGAAAGAAAAAGGCTTCATTATTTCAAACAAGTCACTCTATTCATAGGGAAAGGTGAAAAATAAAAAAGAGCACACTTTGCCTGTCCTTAGGAGTCAAAAAACTTGCTGATGGGTCTTCTTCAATTTGTTAAATAGCATCAGATAAAGAGCAGGACTCAATTCTAGACCCACCAGGTCCTTATCATTGGTCCGTATTTGAAGTCCCACTTTCTCAACGTTACACACCATTAACGACAACAGCTGATCCATATATTTGCTGACAGGTGTATCTGCGTTTCCCTCTGAGGACATCACTGAAATCATGGAACCCTTATGTTCACTGACCGGACCCACGGGTGGGCTATAGGTTGCCAGGCCAGAATTCCTTCTCTGCTGGAGGCACACTCCCCCAAGGGCACAAAGGAAGCCAGTCATGTTGATCCATGCCTGTAGGGAGTCTGTGTCAGACAAATCTATGGGTCCTCCTCCACTCACATGGGACATTCGCCTCTTAACAATGGTCTTGTGAAGCTTTCAACAGCCTAAACACAAAATTTTTGTGCAAAGCATGAATTAAACCTAAATTAGTTGAGACTTGACAAATTACTCTTTATCCAACATTTCTTCCGTGACAAACGTACACAAAAATGTAAAAAAATACATTAAAATCAACCCCCTAAATTACCATATACATTTTTAAAGAGCCACTGATTTATTTTTGTCATATACTAATATAATTGCCCAAGTATCAAATTTCTTTTAAAAAGCTTTGATTTCACACGGATGAACCTTGGGAACATTATGCTAAGTGAAAGAAGCTAATCGTAAAAGCCCACATATTCTAAAACTCCATTTACAGAAAATATCCAGAATAGGCAAATCTACAGAGACAAAGTAGATTCGTGGTTGCCCAGGGTTGGAGAGGCGGGGGGCAGAGAGACAAGAAAGTTGGGGGGTTGTTAGAGGCAGAGATAGCTAAAGGATACAGGGTTTTCTCAATTGATGAAATTGTCCTGAAACTGATCGTGGTGATGGTTGCACAACTCTGTGAACATGCTAACAAGTCACTGAATTGGACACTTTAAATGCGTGAATTGTATGGTATGTAATTACATATTATAGTAACAGTTACCCCCAAAAGCTTTCATTCTAAAGCTACATGTCCCCTCCAAATAAAGGTATGAGGTACACAATTTTGCTTCACAAAACTATAACTTTTTTCTTATTATAATTAAGCATGACAGAAAAATAACATGGGGGAAGAGCCAGTTTTTATAAACCACCTAATAATGAGAGCAATGTGAACATTATAAATCATATACACACAAACACCAACTCATCAATTTCCAAAGTAATGGATAATATAGTCAATAGTAATAGTTGAAGGAACTGTCCATGTTTTAAAATTTCATTTTATCTATGGGTTCCATCTTCTGCCCAAGACATTCTTTAATTAGAATACCTAACAAAATAGCAAAATGAATGGTTTCCATGTTAATTTTTCTCTACCTCTGTTGCTCCTTTTCTGAAAATTCTGTGAAACACCCTGATGAAGGGAGAAAGAGCAAGAAAAGATAAAGAAATGGTCTTTGCAACAAACAGTCTCTAGCAGTGCTGCCCAGTATTTCTGTGATGATGGCAACATTTTCTCTCTGCTGTCCAACAGAGTAAGTACCTGTCATATGTGGCTACTGGGTACCTGCAATGTGGCTACTATATGATTGAGGAACTAAACTGTATTTAATTTTAATTATGTTAAAATTTAAGTTAAATAGTCACACGTAGCTAGTGGCTATCATATTACAAACTACAGGTCTAGATAAACCACAACTAAATATCAGTCTTCAGACAACTATATGCTTACTTTACTGAGTGACTCGTGAAAGATTACCAAAGAGAAGGACATATATTTAGCAGATCAGTTAATAGACAAAAGTCAACTTTACAGACTTACCTGGCCATCTTCCATTTGGGCTTTTGGATAGCTAAGGATTAGTTTTGTTGCTTGTTCCCATTTTGCATGTGTATCTTCCCAAGTCTAAAATGAAGACAGTTATCACTTGAAAGCAACTTTAAGTCTAGAGCTAAACATCAATCAGCAACAGCCAAGCTTCAAACTTGATATATATTAAGTACTCAGATATTATACTTGTAATATGCACATATCTTGGATTTACTTCAAAAGCTATTCCTCATCACACATATGTAACAAGAGGCTTCCAAAACTGAGGGTGGGCGCCTGGGAGGGGTGTTTCTCTTGCTAAGAGCACACCTCAGTGTTTCCTGCAGTGGGATGCTCAGTGCGCCTCAGCAGTGCCATCACTCTTTCTGAAGTGCTGCTGTGCCTAAGCAACTACAACAGCAAATCAAGTTACTGCACTTAGAGCCCTGCCTGCCAATGGAGAACCTGATAAGCCCCACCCAAAAGGCAGAGTAGGAGGAGCAGAGCAAATGCCTCAAATGATAAAGCCAAAAACTTCCGTTCACTAACCTCACAGGAAAGGTACTTATCTTAGACTCTACAATGTCCACAGCATAAAATAGCTATTCCCACCTATAATTTACTCAAAACATATGCCAATGTGTGTAAACTTCACTATCCATAACATACGGAGTTATGGATAACATAAATTACATAGTCATATGTAATTTGACTATGTATATGGATAACATAAATTACATAGTCATACAAACGTAAATTACATAGTCATAACTGATAGTAACACGTACTGCCAGTTAATTTTAAAATCTATAGCATATTAAAAACTCAGTGGGAGACTAACAATTTATTTCAAACGCTTTTTATTTTCATCTTACTTTGTTCAGAAAAGGATTTCAAGTAAGCTACTTGAATTTCTCCTGTAAACTTACAGAAGTGTAATCTTAAATACATTCTCACAATCAGATGCCATGTGCTTTAGGGAGGTTGAGTAAAAAAACCACTATTCATATTTACCTGTTGACATCACATTGCTGACAGGCAAACTCCATGAATGTGTTAGAGTTGGGCAAGAGGTTACGCAATGACACTTCGTCCACCCCACACCGGGTATCTGCTTCCTCACAGAGGTGGCGGAAACAGGACATGGCAACCAGAACAGCTTCAGTGTCAGGGTTCCGCAGAAACATGTACAGGGCCACTTCTAGTTTGGTCTGCGCTTGTCAGCAAGTCAGGGGGGTTCCGCTGCATCCTGCTGCACTATCCTGAGAGTCAAGGGTGGTAGACATAT
Source organism: Homo sapiens (assembly GCF_000001405.40). Taxonomy (NCBI): domain Eukaryota; kingdom Metazoa; phylum Chordata; class Mammalia; order Primates; family Hominidae; genus Homo; species Homo sapiens. The sequence goes on along the minus strand of NC_000014.9, from coordinate 19,495,739 downwards.
ATTTGCAACTTGGGTAATTTTATGTATAAAACCCAACAATGCAATAAACTGCGTGTGTGTGTGTGTGTGTGTGTGTGTGTGTGTGTCCACATATATCTCAGCATACAATAACTCATAAGAGCTTTCTCCTTTAATCATTATATGAATTTTTCAAACCCCAAATTATCTTGTCCAAATGAGAAATGAGATTATCTGGACCAATATAAAGCTACTATCTGTCCAATTTCAAATAAAATAGGTATTATCCTATTCCAGATTCCAGAAATGGAAACCGATTCTAACACGGACAGGTAAAACACCATAACATAAATCTACTGCAGTAACTATATAATGTACTTCCCAGTCAATTACAAATGACAAAAACAGAGGAAGTAACAGGAAATTCTATCTACTTGCTCTAGGGAAGTAATAAAATAAGTACACTGCGGCACTCATTGAAACAAGGGCATAAACAAGAACAAAATATTGCTGTAGAAGATAGACTTGATTCTGAATGACCTATTCCGCAAACATGAAATGGAGAAAATAATTGACAAAATACATTCAAATTCTGCAAGTAAAACAGACAATAATAAATAGCATACTGCTTAGATGTTTTTTTCTTTAACAAGGCTATATTAAAAATTAGGGATGAAAAAAGTTTTGGTTTGGAAAATAAACTCTTCTGTAATGACCCGATATTTTCACTTGAAATATGATTTATATTTAAAGGAAATTATACACGCAAATGCAAATCACAGAAACACTTATCTTTAACATGAAACAAAATATTTTGTTTTTATCCCTGTACATCTGTACCTTTGTTAGCTGGTACAAATTCTATACTTCTATGCTATGAATGGTTTTTCATGAGGTGGAGGTTATCAGATACAGCTTGTATGTGTCAAGTGCTATTTACACATTTTTTTATTTAACCCTCACAACAACTCTGGAGCAGGAATTATTATTGTCCCCATTTTAAAGTTGAGGAATTGAGGAACAAGGATGTTAAGAACTTGCCCAAAGTTCCATAAAGAGCAGTGATAGAACTAGAGTCTAAGCAGTTTTTCACTATTACTCTATATTACCTGGATGAAATTTACCAAAGTTCATTCAGAAAACAAATAGAGCACACGAGATGATACAGGAAAATTACAAAAGAAGCTGACCATAGAGGAGTTCCCTTTTCCCTTCTGGAGAGAGGCTCAGGAGTACGTAGTGACACTTCATGACCCATGGACATTTGATTGGTATTTCCACTAGAAGGAGTATCACATCCTACTCCATAAAAAAGGAGAAAGTGACATGAACTTCTATCTGCCTGCTAGAAAAAAGAAGGAAAGAAGCTTTACTGACACACTGACAACCAAGAGGAATAAACACTTATATCGGTTGTCTTCCTGTTTGAGACTCTCCTAGAAAACCTCTCCTCTCAATCTCTACACCCCACCTTGAAGGAAATTCACTAGAAACCCATTAGAACAAATAATGTTCACTTAATGTCTTTAAAATTTCTTTCAGTTTCCCATTCTCTAAATAATCAGAAACAGTAGATTCTACAAATATAAATTAAGTCTAACATAAACATAAGTAAAACATCAACAATGTATATCCACTGTATGAAAACTATAATTTGGTCTCAATGACAAAGATTTTTTTTCTGCAAGATTTTATCCGTGCCATGTTGGGATAACTAGAAATTGACTCTTGAGATTAAGTTCTTCTGGACCAGTAATTAACACTGGTATATACACCAACTATATCACAAGAGTGACTGTGCTGACCAGGGCACTACGAATTCATTACTGGATTCCTCATACTCATATTCTGGAGATTATGCCATAGGCAAGGGCACGAAAGTCTGAAGTCTAATCTCTTTCCATATCTTTGGAATAATGCCAAATTCTGCTACATTAACACATCAAATAAGCCAGATGTGAATAAACCCACTTCACCATTAGTCTATTTCTAAACAGAGACAATTTATTAATAACAAGCTGTATAATACTGAAAAGGATATGAGTTTCATACATTTAAGGTTTTTCACAGCTATGCTTCTAGTTCCAGATAAAAATTCATTAAATCAAGTACTCCTAAAACTAGGCCATAATAGAATTCCTAAATTGATTAACTATAGAAACTATATGTTAGAAGAAATGTAAGACTCTTCTCTATCTGCCACAACCTCACCATGTTTCAATAGTGCAGAATCAAAAAATTTCACTCCACCCCGAGAAGTGTCGTGAAATTTTCAAGATGTGAAACCCTTATTGGAGGAATAGAAATAAACCTAGATTGAGGACCCTCAACCTTTTCCCTTTTGCTTCTTGATAGATAATTCTCTGGACTAGTCTAGCCACGACATCTAGGCCTTTATGATTTCTCAGAGCTATGATTCTAGAACTGGACAAAAAACTCATTAAATCAAGTACTCCCAAATCTATGCCATAATAGAATTCTTAGATTAATTACAGAAGCTATATGTTAAATTTTACGTATGAATTATGTCTATGTGTGAACTTGAGAGTAAAGATAGAATATGCTCCTCAAGCTACTTTGGTTATAGCAGCCCCCACTTTTCCTAGCCTGTCCCATAGAGACCTATGTAACTCAACTAGAACTAGAATTCATCAACAGTGTGGTTTTACGGCCAAAGCTTCAGAATAATTTTAAAATGCTAATTTGCCAGCCCTTGTCCTCTGCACATATATATCCTTTTGAGAACCTTGGGGGGAAGGAGGAGCTGAAATAGAAACTAATTTGGCTATAAAACACTTTCTTAATCTCTCCCCATCACCATTCCAAATATTCTCTCATTTTTTAAAGATGTCATTTCGTTTACCTTATTTTTAAGAAAGAAATTTATTCCTGCAGATCAAAATTTCCTGCAACCACTTGAGAATTTCTGTGCTACTAAGCATTTAATGACTAGTTAATTTCTTGCAGATGTAAAAATACACTTGTGAGCTGCAGTAACATAAAATTTATTGTTACTACCATCAACAATAACCTAATGCAGATATAACCAGACATAAGAATGGCATTCTCCCATAATGAATACAAGTTTGGAGAAGCTTAGTTATGTTAAGCATGTCAGTTGAATGATACGGAAATTAAGAAGAAAGAGAAATGTTAAGAAATGGTAAGGGCAATTAAGAATCTGATCTAATTATATCAGTATTCATTATACATTAGGTTTCTTAGAGACGTCTTAGTTTTCAGTTATGATCAGAAAGGATCAGTAAGTGCTCTTGAGCTAAAAATTACCCTCAAGGTCTTGGCGTTTCAGTTAAACCAAATGAACTTAGTGTGGTAATTTTGACACATTTCATAAAAAAACACTTACACAAAGCAAGAGCTCTGGATCTGCATGAATTAGTTTCACCATGGACAAGAGAAGATACTTACAGCTTCTTGTCTCCAGGCCTGTAGGTTTTTCTTTAAATTTAAGGCTTGTTACTTTTTCTTTAAATATAAGACTCTAAAAACAAAACAAAAACATGGTATCAGACATAAGACTCAGGATAATAGCTATCCAACCTTTTAAAAGAAATTTATTATGAGAAAACTTTGAAAAAAGCTATTTTTATACTACCAAATGTGTGGTATAAGTAGAAACACTCAGTAGTAAGCATAAGGTCAGTATTATTAAGCTTACAAAATGGAAATTGTTTTTGCACCATTTATATTATTTTTTAATCAATCTAATGAAACAATGAAAATCTACTACAATACTCAAAGCTTAATATCAGGTTGTAAAAAGCCTCCTATTTAAAAAACTATTTTCCAAAATGTAAAAACATAAGGGAAAAAATATTTGGTCTATAGTTCTCACAAATCTCCACACTGGGTAACTCATTAACAAACACTCCCCACACATATACGCAAGTATTTCACAGACTCTACAGTATTGTCCGTTTTAAGATGCAGCATTATTTGATGTCCCAAAAGGAATGAAAACACACTGTCAATTGTAAGACACCATCTAAAATAAGATACACTCCCAATTTCAGAGAAGAGTAAAAATAAGTGCTTCTTAGAATTAATGAAATATGTTATCTAGACAATCTCTGTATTTACTAGTTTAATTGTAAAATTTGCTTTTTCCTTCGATGGCACTCCATCTCTTTTGAGGTACAGAATGCACGCATTTTGCCTGAAGAACATTCATAAAACAGAAAGAATTCAGAGAAAGGTAAACTTATGGAAAATATGTTTCCATTACAGAGACATAGGATGAATTAAAATAATCATAGATGTTTTTCAACCAAAAATCCAATAATTATATTCTAGATCTAATATCACCTATTATTATAACATATTTCCTTCCTTTTCTTCTTTAAAAGAACACAAAACTATCTGATTTTGACATGAATGCCTTTATGTAAACATATATATAACATAGAAATAGTAGACTGTATACCAACTGTGGACCCATAATACAAATGTCCAAGTAAACGGGCTGTCTTTCAAAGTTAAAAAGCAGACATGCATATCTACAACACAAATGAACCATCTTCTGTGATTAAGTGAAACATGCATTTGTTATTATACCCAAGAACACTGAAGGGCTGTAGTCCTCAGAAGGGAAGAATAGCTATTTAAATGCACACATTTATATTCAAGAATGTCACTACAGAAGAGAGATGGCAAAACTTACAAATAGTTTGGTTTTATATTTATAACTGCCCCTTAACGCCTAGGCAAATGTTTTATTAAATGATGTAATAAATTCTGGTTTTACTGTTTGCTCTCTTTCAACTGTATTTTTTCCTCACTCTAAGTTGAGGTGTTTCACCTTAGATCAAGCTGAAACTTTGATTAAACAAATGTATTTACTTTGATGTAACTAAGTGTAACTATCTAACGACTCTTCTCTAATGCAGCCATTGCACAGGAAGATAAGATCAGAGAACAAGTAGTAGATATCAGAATTTTTCCTTATTTAAGAATAATTTCCAAAAAAAGTAAATAGTCTTATGCCACATAACAACATTTCAGACAATGACAGACAATATGTAACACAGCTGAAAAATTCCTATCACCTAGTGACATAACCATCATGATGTCCAAGCACAATGCATTACTTTTTGTTTGCAGCGATGCTGGTGTAAACAAACTTTCACTTCTATTCATATAAAAAGAGTATAGCACATTCAATTATGTATAGTATACAATACCTGATAATGAGAATAAATAACTGTTACTGGTTTATGTATTTACTATAATATACTTTTTTTTTGAGATGGAGTCTCACTTTGTTGTCCAGGCTGGAGTGCAGTGGTGTGATCTCAGCTCACTGCAACCTCCGCCTCCCGGGTTCAAGCAATTCTCCTGCCTCAGCCTCCAGAGTAGCTGGGACTACAGCTGCAAGCCACCACACCTGACTTATTTTTTTGTATTTTTAGTAGAGAAGGCCTTTTGCCATGTTGGCCAGGCTGGTCTCAACTCCTGACCTCAGGTGGTGATCCATTGCCTGGGCCTCCCAAAGTGCTGAGACTACAGGCGTGAGCCACCAGGCCCAGCCTACTATGGTATACTTTTTATTGTTATTTTAGAGTATACTCCTACTTAAAGATAAAAAATTAACTATGAAACACAGCCTCAGAAGGTCCTTTAGGAGGTACTCCAGAAAAAGGCATTGTTACTACAAGAGATGACAGCTGGATCCACACGTTATTTCCTCTAAAAACCTTCCAATGGGAGCAGATGTGGAGGTGGAAGACAGTAACACTGATGATCTTGACCCAGTGTAGGCCTAGGCTAATGTATATGTTTGCGTCACAGCTTTTAACAGAGTTTTCAAGAAAATTAAAATAGAACGTTTTTCAAATAAAAAAACTTACAGGCTATAAAGAAAAATATTTTTATACAGCTAGCTGTACAATGTATTTTAAGCTGTTATTGCAAGTCAAAAAGTTAAAAAATTTAAAAGTTTATAAATTTTAAAAGCTACAGAAAAGTTAATTATCAAAGAAAAAATATTTTTTAATAAATTTGGTGTAGCTTAAGGGTACAGTGTTATAAAGTCTACAGGATAGATCCTGAGTATGAGAAAAAAAACAAGTATTGAAAGAGGCATCCTGTGCCCTGGACTCAGGGGCTTCCCTAGGGGGTGCCCCACTTGCCCAAAGCAGTGCAGCCTGAACCCAAAACTGTGAGCAGAGAGTCCCATGTGTGTTTGAAGGGTTTCCTATGTCCTCTGTGTTCTCCTATAGAAAGCAGCAGGGGTGTGTCGAGCACACACAAGACACGCTAACAACAACCTGAGCACAACCTCATGCTGCTGAGATGCACCCGGACCCTGGACAGGCCGTGGTGAGAGCAGCCCGAGGATCGTGGCTGGGGACTGTGTCTGGCTTCATGGAGGAAGTCACATGGAGTGCCTTCTCCAAGAAGACAGCCAACTCCCTGCAGGCAGCACACTCCACTGCGCACCTATCAGTCTGTACAAGTGTGGGATTTCATTTGGCAGATCCCCAAGGCAGGAGAGAAAAGGAGGAAAGCTAACCTAACTCCAGGCTCTCCATGGACACCAACATCTAGAAGTGTCTGACAGGAGGCATGCATCCTTGGCCCCGATGAGGCTGCGGGCCATCCCTGCAGTCCTGGCTAGGCAGCCGAGAGGCAGGCCTTGTGGATGCTCTGGGCACAGGTGCTGAGCAAGGTGGTAACCTAGTGCTTGTCCGGGAGCTGCAGCCGCCTGGAGGTCACGCGGTGGTGCATCGACCTGAGGAAGGGGTTGGTGCCTGCAACCGAACAGTGGGCATGAGCCTGAGGCAGCTGGCGCTGCACCCACGCCCTGCACACCCGGCAGTGCTCTGGGAAGTGGCAGCCCCAGGACTGGCTGAAGCACCAGGAGGATCCCTGCACGCTGCCTGCCTGGCCATCAGGCTCTCCTCCCGGAGCCTCATCATCAGTGAAGAACTGAATCTGAACGGGATTTGGAGCTCAAGGCTTTGCCTCTGACAACCTTGGGGACCCAGCCCTGGCTCTGCTATGTGCCAGCTCTGGGCTCAGGGAGACTGACTCCTGTCAACATGACTCTCTTTGGAGCCACATCACCCAGATGGGGTCTTGTGTGCCCAAGCTACTGGTAGGACCTGTCAGCTCCACTGAGCTCCCTAGTGGCCTCTGGGAAAAGTGGGGTCTGTCCTTGAGCCGTAGGGTTTCTCACCCCTCAGCCACTGAACACAGCCACCCTGGAAAGCTGACCGGACACAAGATGAAGGGGCAAAGGGACACAGAAGAGCAGAGACTCCTATCTCTCAGGTTACCACTGGAACCTGAGAGATTCCACACAGGAGGAGCCAGAAGAGGGGAGGAAGGGGCCTGAGCCGGGGAGGGGCACAGAGGCTGTCCCTGCAGCACTAGAAGCTTGGTTTTCCAGAATGACCCCTGCCTGCCCTGGGCCCCCAGACAGCTCCTCTGGGTCTGCCCACTGTACAGCCACTGCCAGTCCATCCACAGTGGACTCTGGGCAGGGTAGTGGGTGGGCACATGGTGGCACACTTGGGAGGTCCTTGTCGTTTGCAACACACAAGGCTGTACCTGTGACCCGGACGAGCCCTGGCCTGCCCCGCCTCACAGCCCTGCTCCCGAACAGGACTCTTCACACCCCGGGAGGTTCTGGTGAGGCTTGCGGCAAAGCCTGGATGTCTCTCTGACTCTCAGATTTCCAAACCTGAAGCCCAGAGTGCCCTGCGTCAATGGGTGCCCAGAGGTCCTGCCTGTCACCTCCCTAGGGCCCCAGGCAAGCAGAGCCGTATCTGTGTTGGGGAGGTGAGGGTGCGTGGGGGCAGAGGCATGGCCAGTCTGTCCTGGGCTCCGTGTATGTGAAGACAAAGCAGACAGCCTGCTGGGGTGTGAACACAGGGTGGGGTCTGGGCACGGTGCCCTCCGGCTCGGATGGCAGAGACCTGGTGCTGTGGACAAGGCTTGCGAACTTGTGCCGGCCTGGCCCTCCTGGACGCTCGCCCAGCTTGCAGACCAGGTGGACGGTGCCATTGTTGCTGCAGCGAGAAGAGTCCAGGTTTATCATGCACTTGGGGTCCAGCCTGGCCACCTCGCCCTGGAGCATGCTGGGGATGCTCTGCCGCTCATCGTCCTCAAGCCTGTGCTTCCGGGTGCACACCACTGTGGACGTGAGGAGGCAGCATGGTGACCACAGTGGGCACACATGGTCCAGGGCTGGCCATCCGCCCTCTGCAAAGCCCAGCCCAGCTGGATGTATGTGATGAGTGGGCCGTGGATGGCAGTCATGGCTGGAGCGAATGTGCGGTACAGGGAATGGCTGAAGAGGGTGAGCGGATATTGGCCAGGACAGCATCCAGGAGCTGCTGGCATAGGTACTGCTGTTTGGTCAGCGGCACCAGGGGCAGCGGGCTGGCGGTAGGATGCGCACGGTCAGAAGCCCGGGACCTGAGGGTTCTCCATTTAGGGGGCCTTCCCACCTCTGGCCAGTCCTCACTCACAGCCAGATTCCCAAGGCCTCTCTCTCAGCCTCCACCCTTGTGCAGACAATGTTGGCCGATCCTGGGTATAATCCCCACCCCCACAGCCTTGTCCTCCCCAGAGTCCCTGCTGTCTCTGGACCGGGTGGCAGAGGCACCCACGGGGGCCACAGACAGAGGGTGACTTCTCCCACGTTCCCGCCCAGCACAGCAAACCTGGCCTGGAAGAGGCCTGGTGGGCAGGGTCTCAGATCAGGCCCAGCCCCCACCCAGCCTGACCATGAAGGCCCCTCCAGTGGTGCCCCCAGGAGCTCTTGAGGGAGCCCCGATCCCCCAGGGGTCCCCAGCATCCCACTCACCACCGCCATGTCATTCTTGAGTTTCTCCAGGGCGATCTCACACTTTGGCAAGGTCTTCAGGGGACCTGCAGAGAGAGGGGACTTGGGCTGAGCTCTGTGCTGGAGGGCTGGGAGACATGGCAGGTCTCAGGCTGGGATCTGGGATCCCAACCACTGCCACTGGGCCTCGGCCCTCAGAAACCTCTGCAGGAGCTCCCTTCAGCTGACCAGCTGTTCCCAGACCCAGAGTCTAGGCAGGTGGCCCTCACCCCTAGGAGCTGCCCATCCCTGTTGGCAGTGAGGCAGTGGGTCAAGAGAAGGGACAGTGGCCGGGACCCTGACCAGGCTGGAAAGGCCTCAGTTGCACCTAGGCCAGTCCCTGTCCTGCTCAGTCCTATAACCCTAATGAAGAATCAACTCAAGAAGGCCTGGAGGACCACCCAATAGTGACTGGCATTCTATCCAGACAAGCAAAACAGAGAGACACTTCTAGACGGGGGTGGGGGGACACCCTGAGTTTAGGTGACAGGGAAGTATAGGCCAACGCCCATGCGGTTCTGAGGTGCTGCCCGAGCTCACAGCAGCCCGTGGCCGGTGGCCCTGCCTTCCACCTGCTTCTCACCAGCACCGTCTTGTTTCATTTTCATGACAGCACACATGGGTTGCAAATGGGGTAACTGAGATGCAGTCCCCTGTCCATGGTCACCGGGAAGTCAGGGGCAGAACTCCAGGTCATGCTCAGGCCCATCACGGCCAGCTGATGTTCAGGTCACTGCAAGCTGGGCCCCCAACTACTGGCTGGATGAGACCTGGCTGTGATGGGCCAGCATGAGGGCCGCAGCAGTGGTCAGGAGTAGGGCAAAGGCTGGGCACCGGCCAAGATGAAGCCTGGGCTCGAAGCCCCAGCACACACCAGAGTGGAGACTTGGAGGCCTCTGTCCAGGGCCCAAAGAGCTGCCTGGGGCCTTTGCTAACCCCACATCATCACCAAATGCCCATCCATGGCTGGACGACCCACGCCCTTGTGGACCCTACGTTGGCTGTGGGCAAAACTCACTGCTTGGAGAGGTCTGTCACAATGTCCAGAAGGCTCTTCATCTTGCTCAGGTCCTTTTTTCTGTCTGGGACAGCAGAGGGGACCATAAGACACGAGCCTGGTGGCATCCCCAGGGCACTGGCCCCCACCCCGGCCGCAGCCCACCTTCACTCTTGTCGATCTTGTTGACCACGCGGTGCAGGGGCTTGATGTGCTTGGACAGCTGCTTCAGCGTGTCCCAGTACAGCTGCTCCTGGCCCGGCTGGAGCCGGCTGGACTCATGACAGAGCTGGGGTCACTGCAGGACTATGGGCGGGTGAGGCCTCAGCCCTAGACCCTCAGGCTGGGAGCTTGGGCTCTGAGGGCCCCAGAGCACGCATGAATGGTATGACCTGAGGCCTTGTAAAGGTGAGGGGTGACCTAGCACCTCAACCTGCCGGGCCGTGTACAGCTCACATGATGGAGCTGTGGGTCCCAGGCCTGGCTTAGCAGGTGTGTGTAAAGGACTAGGGGAGGGGACACTGGAGTTCTGTGGGGTTTGTGCTGTTTCTGGGTGCTGGGAAGGCTGCAGTGTGGAGCTGGGCAGGAAGCTACGGGGGACAGAGCAGGGCTGGAGCTGCAGCCAAGCGGGAGAAACATGGGAGCTGGGCCCAGGCAAGGCAGCCACCAAACTCACTCTGCAACAAACCACAGTGGTGACCAATCCCCATCCTCCTTCCCATGCCAGCTGGGCGGGACCTCACCCGAAACAAGGGGTGGGAAAACTGGCAAGACCAGCACCCCGAGCACAGAGCCAAGAGCACACACAGCTGGCATCCTGCTTCTGGAAGGTGATGGGATGCCAGCGAGACTGCAGGGTGGACACTTCCTTCAGCTAGAAGTCTTACGAGCATACCAGCTGGGTCTGCACCAGCTGAAAACACCGGCTGTTCCATGGCTGCTCACTTTCCAAATACCAAGAAATGGAAAGAAAAGGGAAGTTTGGCCCGGCACAGTGGCTCATGCTTGTAATCCCAGCACTTTGGGAGGCCGAGGCAGGTGGATCAGTTGAGGTAAGAGTTAAAGACTAGCCTGGCCTGTCTCTACTAAAAATACAAAAGAAAAATTAGCTGGGCATAGTGGCACGTGCCTGTAGTCCCAGCTACTTGGGAGGCTAAGGCAGGAGAATCGTTTGAGCCTGGGAGGTGGAGGTTGCAGTGAGCTGAGATCACGCCACTGCACTGCAGCCTGGGCGACAGAACAAGACTCTGTGTCAAACAAAAAAAAAAAAAAAAAGAAAAGAAAAGGGAAGTTCTAGGCTGGGCTTGATAGCTCATGCCTATAATCCCAGCACTTTGGGAGGCCGAGGTGGGCAGATCTCTTGAGGCCAGGAGTTCGAGACGAGCCTGGCCAACATGGTGAAACCCTGTCTCTACTAAAAATACAAAAATTAGCCAGACATGGTGGCAGGTGCCTGTAATCCCAGCTCCCTGGGAGGCTGAGGCAGAATAATCCCTTGAACCCAGGAGGCAGTGGTTGCGATGAGCCGAGATCTCGCCACTGCACTCCAGCCTGGACAACAGAATGAGACTCTACATGAAAAAAAAAAAAAAAAAAAAGAAAGAAAGAAAAAAGAAAAAAGAAAAAAAGAAAGGAAAAGAGAATCTCATTTTCCTGCTGGGCTTGACCTGAGGTGTTTAGATGAAGTGAGGTCCTGGACAGGGGAGGGACGGTCCAAAGAGGCAAGAGCAGCAGCTTCCACTGGCTGGGCAGTCACTACGTCCCACCACCAGGCTGGCTCTCAACACACACTACGTCTTTCCTCTGCATGAAAGACCAGGACAAGGGAGCCCCCAGCAGGCCTGAGGACATGTGGAGACACACAGGGAAGTGTGGCACTTGGGTTCCAACCTTGTCACACAAGGTGGTCAGTCTCCCCCAGCTGTAAGTGAACATAACTTCTGTGGTGTGTTTCACACAAGACTCCATCTAAGAAAGAAGATGACTGCTGGGCACGGTGGCTCACACCTGTAATCCCAGCACTTTGTTAGGCTGAGGAGGGCAGATCACCTGAGGTCAGGAGTTCGAGACCAGCCTGGCAAACATGGTGAAACCCAGTCTCTACTATACTTTTACTGATAAAGCAGACAATGAACATAATGTATAGAAATCTTGAGCACAAATAGACATCAAAAGCACAAACAACAAAAGCAAAGATGTAATTACATTAAACTTGTCAAAAGTATAAGCAACAAAGGCAAAGATGTAATTACATTAAACTTAAAACCTTCTGCAAAGCAGAGGAAGCAATCAGTAGAATGAAGAAACAACCCAGAGAATGGAACAAAATATTTGCAAACTATGCATCAGCCAAGGGGTTAATACACAAAATATATAAAGAACTCAAACTACTCAAAAGCAAAAATACAAATAATCTGATTTTAAAAAATCTACCCAAAACCTTTGTCTCTCACCATTATTTCTCCACCTTCTTTTCCCGACCGCCTTTGGTCTCCTCCCCCTCGCCACCCATTTTCTTCCTCCATCTACCCCAAAACTTTTTCCCCACCATTTTTCCCCCACCGTCATTTCGCAAAGCCTTCTCTACTCTCCCGCTCACCAGCCTTTTCCCCATCTATCTACCCAAACACTCTCCCCACTGTTTTCTCCCACCGTCTTTTCCCCTTCTCCCTGGCCACCTTCTTTTTCCCCGTCCCACTCTCATCACCATCTTTTGCTCCTTCATCTAAGCAAAAATATTTTCCCCCCTCTTTTCCCAAAACCTTCTCCTCACTCCTGCCGCTCACCAACCTCTTTTCCCCCTTCATCTACCCAAAAACTGTTTTCCTCATCGTCTTTCCCCTGCTCCTCCTTGCCACCCTCTCCCTTCTCCATCTACCCAAAAACATTTCCCCATAGCCTTTTCGGAAAGCCTTCTCCCCACTCCTGCTCACCTCCTTCTTTTCCCCCTCCATCTATCCCTCAAAGTTCTCCCCACCGTCTTTTCAGTATTTCCCCCTTCCCACTCATCCTCTTTGCCCTATCCTGCTTTCCACTCTGTTTTGCCCTCCATCTACCCCAAACTATTTTTCCATTTTTTCCCCAACCCTCTTTCCCTGCTCCCTCTCGCCACCCTCTTTTCTCCTCCTCCTGGTCACCCTCTTTCCCCCGTGCATCTACCCAAACACATTTTACCCATCATCTTTTCTTCCCCGCCCCGTCTTTCTTTTCTGCCTGCTGTGTTTTTGCAAAACCCTGTCTTCCTCCCGCTGGCCACCCTTTTCCCTTCCCCCACTTGTTACCCTCTTTTCCCCCTCTATCTACCCAAAAACTTTTCTCCCCACTGTCTTTTCACAAAACCTTCTCTCCCTACTGCTTGCCCCCATTTCCCTCCCACCCTCTTTCCTCCTCCCCCTTGCCACCCTCTTCTCCTCCATCTACCCATAAACTTTTTACCCACTGTCTTTCTGCAAAACCTTCCCTCCCTCCCGCTCCCCACCCTGTTTCTCCCCCTCCATTTACCCAAAAACTTTTTTCCCACCATCTTTTCCCCACTGTCTTTTTGCAACACCTTCTCCTGCTCGCTATTCTCTTTTCCCTTTGTCACTAACCACCCTCTTTACCTCCCTCCATCTATCCCAAAACTATTTTCCTCCTCCTACCGCTTGCGCCACACTGCTTTCTCCGTTGCCGTCACCACAAACCGCAGCGAGGCGAGCCGTCCTACCGCGGCTCCAGCCTCCAGCGTACGGCCTGTGATTACCCATTCCCGGTCCTCTAAGCTGGGCCCTGAGCAGCTCTACAGGAAGATACCGGAACCTTAAAGGGGCAGCCTTCCCTTCAGGATCATTCATATACTGAGGTTATATATAGATGAAGGTTCCTAGACTGCATGTTCTGATTGGATGAGAAAAACCCTCCAGGGTTACTGGGATTGGACTTTATTATCATGTTCTGATTGGATGAGAGCAAGTCTTAAGACAACAAATCACAGCATGAAAATAAAGCCCAATCAGAGTAGGCCTAGAGGTTTTTCTCTCATCCAATCAGAACATGTAGTCCAAGAACGCATGTGCGTAACCTCAGTATATAAAGCACGGTGAGGGCAACCTCAGGTCATTTCAGGTTCTTCAGTGGTGGTGTGCTGCTCTTCGCTTAGAGAACTAGGAGAGGGGACCGCCATCTGCTGCCAGCTGGAGCCAGGGCACTGGCTGTCTCCTGTTGGTGGTGGGGATGGAGCGGTCGAAGGGTGGCCTGCAGTGGGAGCTTTTCCTGCCGGGCAGGAGGAAGAGTAGAAGGGAGAGGCACGGACGCATGCTGGAGGCTGGAGCTTGCGCCACCGCAGCTCGCCTCGCTGCGGTTGGTGGTGATGTCGGACACTGCAGGTCTTCCAGAGTGGTAGACGTGCCGTTGGGTAGGTGAGTTTTCTGGGGCTGCACTGCCCACCTCTGGGGGCAGGGGTTGGGTGTCCTTTTGGGGCTCACTGCCCAAGGCTGCACTCCCTGTGGCAGGCAGCTGGTTCGGGGCACTCTCTGGGGTATTGCTGGCGGTTGGGGGGGTTGGCTGGCTATCACTGGCTACACTGCCTGCGGTGGCGGGGGTGGTGGAGGGAGGCAGATTGTGTGCACTAATGTGTACTGCTGGTTGTGGGTGATGGGTTAGGGGCACTATTTTCTGCTCCACTGCCTGCGGCAGGGGGTGGGTTGGGTGGTTATCTGGAGCTATAATGCTGGCAGTGGGCGGTGGTTTAGGGGTGTTATGGAGTGCTGCACTTCACTTACTTGGGGTGCACTATCAGGAGTTGCACTGCCCGTGGTGGGGTTGGGGGGGGCGGGTTTGGGGCACTGACTAGTGCAGCAACCCCCTTGGCTGGGTCGGGTTGTGGGCCCTGTAATGTGCTACACTGCCTGTTGGGGGTGGTGGCTTGGGGGGGTACTGGGGTTATATGCCTGCAACTGGCACGGGATGTGTTGGGTGTGCTATCCCGGGGCTACACTGCTGATGGCAAGGGGCAGGCAGGTTAGGGGTGCTGTCAGGGGCTACACTGCGTGGCATTGTTGGGCTGCAGAGGTGGCAGCAACAGCAACAGTGGTGGCCTCCTTTCTCCTTCCAGTGACCATTCTTCTTTTCCCAGATTCCAGACTCTAGAGGGTAATCTTCTCCTGCTCATGCAATTGTGAGCACAGCAGGGCCCCCACACCCCCCGTGGTTCCCCAGCCTGTGCCTCATGCTGCCTGTTGGGGAGACCACCTGGGACTACCGGGCAGGGATTAGTGGGAATCATGGGGGACTGTGGGGCCAGGGCACTGTAGGTGGAGGCGTCAGGAACAGGAACCAGCACTTGGGTGGGGAGGGCTGCCTAGGTCTGAGTTTTTCCTAGTCCTGCTCCTGGAGGAGTGCAGCCCTGGTGGGCCCAGCAATTTCTGGCCAGCTGCACCTGAACGGGGGCACTTTCAGCGAAGGCACTCACACCCACCTCAGGCCCCAGTTCTTGGCCAGCTTTGCCAGAAGGAGAAGCTGGACTTTGGAGGGTGGGTGTGAGTTCCTTTCCTGAAACTGGTCCTTGCCACCCAGTGGCCAGCGTGACAAGGTGAGGCTCTAAGGCTACCACTCTCTGCATCCCATTCTAGGCTTTTCTGGCTTTGCCCTCCCAGCTGCTCCAAGCCAGGATGGAGGAGGAGGACAAGGAAGAGTCACCTGTGGTAAACTGGAGCCTGCATATGGCTCTGCAGCTGGTCTCACGAGATTGGTGGCAGCGACGGAGACTGCAGCTCGACTGGAGTGGTAGGAGGGTGCCCGCGGGGGCAAGGTGGTAGGAGCCTTGTAGGGTGGGCTGCTGCATTGAGGGCGACAGCGGTTGTATTGGCATCGGTGCTAGTGGTGGTATCAGCATTAAGTCTGGGGGCTGGGAAGGGGGAGTAGGAGCGCTGCAGGGCCCAGCCCGACCTGGGGATGGGGAGGAACCTGCGGGTACTGTACCAGGCCTTGGTGGCAGCAGTGGAGGTGCACCTAGGGAAAGGAGGAGTCCTTCCCCTTCTCCTGCAATCTGTGGAGGGTGCCCTCCTCCTGCTGGTGACTGAGCCAGGCGTGAGGGGCAGGATTGTCTTATTCTTAACAAAACTTAGGGGGTGACTATTTGTGTATCTTGTTTCTTTTTTGTTGTGATAGTCTCTGACTTTTTCAAATTTCATGAATTGGGGAGGGGATAAAAGGTATCATAATAGGCCTTCTACTTCCCACACCTGTTCTTTTTTCTTTCTTCTAGTCTGTATTGTCTTCTTCTCATCTTCTTGTTTCTCTTTATTTTCTTTTGCTGCTGCTTCTATTTCATGTTTCTATTGTGGTTTATCCTCCTTTTTAAATTTTCTTTATGCCAAGCAATGGCCTTAACAAACAACAAACCGAAAGTGAGTTAAAAAGAAACTACTGGTCCCTGTGTTGTATTTTTAAAATAAATGGTCCCTTACTGTGTTTTAGAGATGAGAAAAAAAATCAGTTGTATTAGTCACTTGAATAGGTATGCTTTCATGATCGTGTTAACCCACTTATGCCTAGTGTTCCATTATTGGAATACTGAGCATGAGGAATTAACTTACATCCTACTGCCCAAGGTCATTGACAAGGTCTGATTTTTCACTCATGCAAAAATTCAAAAAATTGCAGCCTCTTGCATAAGTGGGCTAATGCGTTGTAAGTAGTTACTCAAGGAATCAAAAATGAAGCATCACATAAAATATCGGTAGCAAACAGCCATTTCATTTCTGTCACATATTTATCTGGAGCTATGCAAGAGTCACCGGGGTAATAAGTTCCAGTTTATGAGATTATTAAGTGAACTGTATTCTCTTCATTTTATTTGTCTGCCACCATTTTCTTTTTTTCATTCATTCTTTCTTTTTTTTTTTTGAGACAGAGTTTCACTCTTGTTGCCCAGGCTGGAGTGCGATGGGGCGATCTCGGCTCACCGCAACCTCTGCCTCCTGGGTTCAAGTGATTCTCCCGCCTCAGCCTCCCTAGTAGCTGGGATTACAGGCATGTGCCACCATGCCCAGCTAATTTTGTATTTTTGGTAGAGATGGGGTTTCTCCATGTTGGTCAGGCTGGTCTTGAACTCCTGACCTCTGGTGATCCACCTGCCTCAGCCTCCCAAAGTGCTGGGATTACAGGTGTGAGCCACCACGCTGGCTCTCTGCCACCATTTTCAAGAGTATTGTCACCTGCATGAGCAAACCTGGTTCATCACCACCTCTTTGTAAGAAAAAAGGAAGTGGGGAGAGTTGTGTGTAACTTTTTTCTTTTTTTTTTTTTGAGATGAAGTCTAGCTCTTGCCCCCAGGCTGGAGTACAATGGTGCGATCTTGGCTCACTGCAACCCGCACCTCCTGGGCTCAAGCAGTTCTCCTGCCTTGGACCCCCGAGTAGCTGGGATTACAGGTACCTGCCACCATGCCCGGCTAATTTTTGTATGTTTAGTAGAGACGGGGTTTCACCATGTTGGTCAGGCTGGTCTAGAACACCTGACCTCAGGTGATCCACCTGCCTTGGCCTCCCAAAGTGCTGGAATTACAGGCGTGAGCCACCATGCCTGGCCGTGTATAATGTTTTAAGGCAAAGAGTCACAACCAAAAACAAGGCTTTATTAACTTTTGCCTCTAAGAACCTGCAGTGTTGAGCCCTCTTTTATTCCTAGTATTACTACCTTTGGTGTGAACCGTTTTTTTATTTTTATTTTTACTCATTCTTCTGGAAGTTTATACATTTTCTTGCCTGCTTTAAAGACAATCTATATTATTTTTCAAGCCCACAGTAATGTGTAAGGCCTGTAATTTGGACACTTTTCAGTTATGTTTAAGGTTATGAGCATGTAAGATACTGTTGATATATGGAAGAATATGTCTAATTACCACTAGATAGCTTATATTGAAGAGATAATATCTAAATGTTTGTCCAGAGTTGATTGGGTGCAGTTTCATAGGTGTGTTTCTCAATAAATTGCATCCATGTTTTAAAGCATATAGGAATTTGAATACTGTTTAACCTCATATAGTCCTTGTTTGTAGGTTTAATATTTCTGAAGACAAAAGTCATCACAGCCCCCTTTAAGGTTCAGTAATATTAATAAAATTTGAGATACACAGGGTTAGAATCCAACAAATTCAGAAGAAAATTGTAAAATTATATAGCTGTAGAGCAGGAATGAAACTCAGGTTCTAAGTTCCTAGGGGACCATGAGCTACCATACAGGGGCATCAGTGACTGGGCATAGAGTTGGAAAAATTGCAGGATGGTAAGAGAGTGAGCTGTGGAGCCTAACTCTATGTGAACATGAATTTTTAAACTGCATGGTGCCTCAGTTTATCCATCTTTATGGTGGGGACAGTAGTAAGTTTTTCTTTTTCTGCTCAGTTGTCCGAATTATTTCCCTTGTCTGTCTTGTTGCCACTCTTGATGCTCACGTGAGAGGATCTAAGGTAATTTCTGACAGCCTGGGACTCCTTAAGGAAAAATAGAAGGTTCGACAAACCCCATTTTAGGAGAAACTCTGTTTTCCTCATGGAACCCCAAGAACTTTAAGCAGACAGGTCCTTCTCAAAACCTAAGGCTCTCCTCTGTTTTGCCTTGCGTTATCTGACCTTTTTGGTTTAGGTGGACATCAGACATTAGTAGGGGAGAGAGATCTAAAGAAAGTTGTAGATGTGAAGATGTATTGATGGTAAGAAAAGTTATGAAGGAAAGAAATGTTGTATGAGAGAGGATCTTATATGGCAAATTGTTGTCCTAAAGTAGAATGACTAATTACGAAAGAGGAAAATACAGGACAGGTCAGAAAGTTTAATCATGTCATAGATGCTCTGTGGAAGTTGTGTTATGGTTCATGAAATGGGAAAGAAAATCTTAACAGCTGCTAGATCTTTTTCTGTCTAGAAGTGTTGTGTATGTGATGTATATATAAAGGAGCTCTAGTGGCTCGGCTTAAAAGAAAATGAAAGCTCTTAAATATTTTGTCAGAAAAACAGAAGCTCTAATGCCTTTTATTTCATGTGAGTTCAGTAATCTTGGGGAAGTAAAGACAGTGTTAAAATCATTGGTAAAATAAAAATATCTTCAAAATTTATCCATTTGGTGTAATTTAAGTCAAAGTTCAGAAGTGCTTTAATGTCATGAATTGATTGTTTGACTTTGGAAAATAGTTCTGTTTATCTGGTTTGGAGCCGTTAGATTTCTAGGTAAGGCCTCCAGACAGGTGGAGTTAGCCATGTCTCCTAGCTATGCTGGAAAGAGTCAGACTTTATCTACGGTTCCGTCTTGAATCCTAAACTCTGCACCTGGTATGTAATTAAAACTTCCTGCTGCTGCTAATCTCTGGGTTCCATTTAAAATCCTTCCGTCACATGAATACTATCCCCTGTACTAAATTTTTCCACAATTAAGTACTTAGAATAGTTTTTGCTGACTTGACCCAACCATTAGTGATATATTTTAAAACTACTTCTAATGTGTCACAATGTATTCAGCAAATGCAGGGAATGACATTTTTCCTTTTGTCAGCATTTACATAGCATTTATGTAGCAATGCTATTTCAAGTATTTTTAGTCATTTAAATATTGAATAATAGATAATGCTTTTGATTCTTTCATTTCTATGTAAATAAATGTAATTGAGATATTTAGTAAATAGTATCAATTACATGTCTCACTTATAGAATATACTTATCAAATTGGGATTATTCTTTTTATACACTACATCATATTTCCTTGTTGGTTTTATAATAACTTAGAAATAATATTCTGGATTAACTGTGTGACTCATGAGAGAGGGAGTTTGTGCAATTATAGTCTTTACAAATTTTTATTAGATTTTCAAGACTTACACTGGAACTGTGAGAACAAGGTAATAAATAAGCATATCTATTAATATCATCTTTGGTCAACTCTTGGCTGGACCCAATGATAGTGTAGGAATTAACATAATTTTTCCTACTAAAGGTATTGGATTTGTTTTGAGAGACCACAGTTTAATATCATTGACATAGAAAGTTTAAAAATTGTTAGACTAAAATTTTTTAGTGCTGTTGAAGTTGTTTTACAGAAAAATATCTATCCTGGTTTACATTGATAGTTTTTTTTATAAGAACTAGATCAAGAGAAAGGGAGAGTAGTGATAAATGTCCAGGTTTTCGAGTTGAAAAGTAACAATCAGTGTATTACAACAGATAGATTTGATGTCAAATTGCAAATGCTGAAAACGTTATATGTAATTGACTAGCCAGAGTAATTATACAAGGCAAAGAAAGGAAAAGCATCTAAATAGGAAAGGAAGGGGTGAGATTGTCTCTGTTTTCTGAAAATGTAATCTTTTAACATAGGGAAAATCTTAGACTCCACCAAAAAAACCCATTAAAGCTGATAAACACTATATTCAACAAAGTTGAGAGTTACAAAATTAACATACAAATAGTATTCTTGTTTTTATACACCGATGATAAACTATTATCTGAAAAATAAATTAATAAAGTAATTCCGTTTATAATAGCATCAAAACAAATATATAAATAAATAAAAGGCCAAGGAGTAATTTTAATGAAGGATGTGAATGATGTGTATACTGAAAATTATAGCACATTGATGAAAGAAATTGAAAGTGACATAAACATCCTATATTTATAAATTGAAAAAATTAATATTGTCAAAATTGCAATGCTACCGAAAGCAGTCTACAGATTAAATGCAACCACTATCAAACTCCAATGTCATTTTTCACAGAAATAGAAAAATTAGTCCTAAAATCTGAATGGAACCACAAAAGACCCTGAAAAACCAAAGCAATCTTGAGCAAAAAGAACAAACCTGGAGGCATCAGACTATACCTAATCTTTGACAAAGCAAACAAAACATAAAGTGGGAAAAGATGCCCTATTTGGTGCTGGCATAATTGGCAAGCCACGTGCAGAAAAATGAAACTGTTCTTCAAAAGGTTAAGTATAGAATTATCATGACTCAGTAAATTAACTCCTATGTATACAGCAAAAAGGAATTAAAACAAATGCCTTACACAAAAAGTAGCATACAACTGTTTATGGCAACAAAAAGTAGGAAACAACAGAAATGTCCATCAGTTGAGGAGTGGATTAATAAAATGTGATCTGTCCATAAAATAAAATATTATTTGGCAATGAAAAAGAAAACGGTATTAATAGATGCTCCAAAAAGGATGAACATTGAAAAAATGATAAGTGAAAGTAGTGAGTCACACATAACTATATATTATTATGATTCCACTTACATGAAATGTCCAGAATAGGCAAATCCTTCCAGAATTGGCAAATCCTTAGGAAGTAGATGGATGATTGCCTAGGGCTGGGAGGGTTTTAAAGGAAGAGTGGGGAAAATGGGAAAAGATTGCTAATGGGTGCAAGGTTTCTTATAAGGAGCATAAAAGTGTTCTAAAATTATATTGTGATTGTTTATGCACCCAGTTAATACACTAAAAAAACCTGAATTTTATACTTTAATTGAGTGAATTAAATAATACATAAATTATATCTCAATGAACCTGTGAAAAAAGTTTAAAAATATGTGGTATGCATAAACAAAAAGTTCTTGTATTTCCATAGGGTTTTGGGGAACAGGTGGTGTTTGATTATGTGAGTAAGTTCTTTAGAGGTGATTCATGAGATTTTGGTGGACCCAACACCTGTGCAGTATACACTGTATACAATTTGTAGTCTTTAATTCCTCACCCCCTCCCACCTTTTCTCCCAAGTCCCAAAGTCCGTTGTATTCTAATGCCTTTGCATCCTCACAGCTTAGCTACCTCTTATTAGCGAGAGCATACGATGTGTGCTTTTCCATTCTTAATGTTACTTCACTTAGAATGATAGTCTCTGATCGGCTGGGCGCGGTGGCTCACGCGTGTAATCACAGCACTTTGGGAGGCTGAGGCAGGTGGATCACGAGGTCAGGAGATCGAGACCATCCTGGCTAACATGGTGAAACCCCGTCTCTACTAAAAATACAAAAAATTAGCTGGGCGTGGTGGCGGGCATCTGTAGTCCCACCTACTTGGGAGGCTAAGGCAGGAGAATGGCATGAACCCGAGAGGCAGAGGTTGCAGTGAGCTGAGATCGTGCCACTGCACTCCAGCGTGGGTGACAGAGAGACTCTGTCTAAAAAAAAAAAAAAAAGAAAAACGAAAAGAAAGTCTCTGATCCCATCCAGGTTGCTGTGAATGCCATTATATTTTTTCCTTTTTATGGCTGAATAGTATTCCATGATGTATATCACAATTTCTTAATCTACTCATTGATGGGCATTTGGGCTGGTTACATATTTCTGCTATTGTGAATTGTGCTGTTATAAACTTGTGTGTGCAAGCATCTTTTTTATATAGTGACTTCTTTTCCCCTCTGGGTAGATACCCAGTAATGGAATTGCTGGATTAAATGGTAGTTCTACTTTTAGTTCTTTAAGAAATCTCCACACTGTTTACTATAGTGGTTGTACTAGTTTACATTACCACTAGCAGTATAAAAGTGTTCCCTTTTCACCAAATGCCCCCCAATATTTTTTATTTTTTGCTGTTTTGATTATGGTCATTCTTGCCAGAGTAAGCTGGCATAGCATTGTGAGTTTTTGGTTTTTTTTTTTGAGATGGAGTCCGCTCTGTCACCAGGCTGGAGTGCAGTGGTGTAACCTTGGCTCACTGCAACTTCCACCTTCTGGGTTCAAGGGATTCTCCTGCCTCAGCCTCCCGAGTAGCTGGGACTACAGGTGCCCACCACCACTCCCGGCTAATTTTTGTATTTTTAGGACAGATGGAGTTTCACCATGTTGGCCAGGGTGGTCTTGATCTCTTGACCTAGTGATCTACCCGCCTCAGCCTCCCAAAGTGCTGGGATTTCAGGTGTGAGCCACCGCTCCCAGCCTGACATTGTGGTTTTGATTTGCATTTCCCTGATCTTTAGTGATGATGAGCATTTTTTCATGTTTGTTGGCCATTTTTTATATCTCCTTTTGAGAACTGTCTATTCAAGTCCTTAGCCCATTATTTGAAGGGATTGGTTTTTTTCCTGTTAATTTGAGTACCTTGTAGATTCTGGTTATTAGTCCTTTCTCAGACGTATAGATTGTGAAGATTTTCTCCCATTCCATGGGTTGTCTGTTTACTCTGCTTATTGTTTCTTTTGCTGTGCCAAAACGTTTTGGCTTGATTAAGTCTAACCTTTTAATCTTCATTTTGTTGTTGTTGCACTTGCTTTTGGGTTCTTGGTCATGAAGTCTCTGCCTAAGCCAATGTGTAGAAGGGGTTTTCCAATGTTACCTTCTAGAATTTTTATGGTTGCAGGTCTCAGATTTAAGTTGACTTTTGTATAAGGTAAGAGATGGGAATTCAGTTTCATTTCTTGGGATGTAGCTTGCCAATTATCCAAGCACCATATGTTGAGTAGGGTGTTCTTTCCCCACTTTATATTGTTTGCTTTGTCAAAGACCAGTTGGCTGTAAGTATTTGAGTTTACTTCTGGGTTCTCTATTATGTTTCATTGGTCTATGTGCTTATTTTTATACCAGTATTATGCTGTTTTGCTGACTATGGGTTTGTAGTATAGATTGAAGTCAGGTAATGTAATGCCTCCAGATTTGTTCTTTCTGCTTAGTCTTGCTTTGGCTATGTGGGCTCGTTTTTTTTTTCCCATATGAATTTTAGAATTATCAGGAGCCACCAGGTGCTGCAGCAGCTTTGGGATAACTTGAGGGCGCATCCTGGGGAAGAAACACCTCCTGTCCATGGTGCTAACTGCTGAGGACAGTGCTTCGGCGTGGCTTCTCCGTGGCCCAGCTTCTTTGGGGCGTTTTTCTTTCATGGTGAGTACAGAAGCTTTCATTTTGTGGAATGTTCTGTGTATTTCTGCTAGATTCTCACTCCTTTTTTCTCTCTTGATATCTTGCCATTAATTTTACAGTAGTACTCATTCCCTGAGGGCTTTTGAGTTTGGAATATGTGGGAGGCTTTAGGGCTGTTTCTGAGGGAGACTCCCCATGTAGGTGGAGAGGAAAGCTCTGGCTGTGGGAGGAAGGGGAAGCCTGGCCCAGGTGGGGTTTTGGGGCCAGGCCCCAGTTTGGCTGCCTTGCTTTCAAGCCTCAGATGGAAGGAAAGGATCCAACTTAACCTCCAGGGTTTGCTGATTTTTTAATTGTTTTTATTTTTATTTTTATTTTGGAGATACAGTCTTGCTCTGTTGCCCGGGCTGGAGTGCAGTGGTGGATCTCAGCTCACTGCAACCTCCATTTTCTGGGCCCAAGGGATTCTCCAGCCTCAGCCTCAACAGTATTTTGGCCTATGCCACCATGCCCAGCTATTTTTTTTTTTGTATTTTTGGTAGCAACAGGGTTTCGCCATGTTGCTTGGGCTTGTCTCAAACTTCTGAGCTCAAAGCAGTCCTCGCGCCTCAACTTCCCAAAGTGCTGGGATTACAGGCATTAACTACTGCACCCGGTCTGGTGAATTTTTAAATCTGTATCCCTGCTATCAGGACGTAGGGGTCACATTTCTCCACTCCCTGCAGTGCCTGCCTAACTCTGTCCCTCTAGTCATGGCCACCTGACTGGGGGAAGGGACCTTGAGTGTGGTTTACTGTCCTCTTTGCAGAAATGTCTATTCAGGGTCCCTGCTCATTTTTGGATGGATCATTGGTTTTTTTGTTGCTACTTAGTACTGTTAATGTGTTGTATAGTTTCCATAACAACCCCTTAGCTGATTCGTGATTCCTCAAAACATTCTCCCAGCCTTTCTTTTTGGGTTCATTGTTTCCTTTTCCTTGCAAAAACTTTTCACTTTGATGTTGCCATGCATGTTTTCTTATGGCCAGGCATAATGGCTCGTGCCTGTAATCCAAGCACTTTGCAAGGCCAAGGTGGGCAGATCACTTGAGCCAAAGAATTTGAGACCAGCCTAGGCAACATGGCAAAAGTTCATCTCTACAAAAAATACAAAGAAATTAGCCAGGCGTGGTGGTGTGTGCCTGTAGTTCCAGCTATTCAGGAGGCAGAAGTGGGAGGATCAGTTGTGCCAGAGAGGTCAAGGCTGCAGTGAGCCATGATCATGCCACTGCATTCCAGCCTGAGTGACAGAGTCCTTGTAGTTATCACTTCTACGTTTCCTTCAAATGTTCTAACAATTTTTTTGAGACAGAGTTTCATTCTCTCACCCAGGCTGGAGCACAGCGGCATATCAGGGATTGTGAGTCCTCCAACTTAGTTTCTATTTCTCAGGATTCCTTAGACATTCAGGGCCATTTGTGGTTCCATGTGATCATCAGCATTGTGTATTCACGTTTCTTAAATTTCTGTGCATAGTAAAGTATATAATTAGAGAGTCTGCTGGGACTGTTTTTCCTCTGGCACATTTTGATTCATGTATATTTTTAGTAATGATCAAATCAGGGTACTTGGCATATCTGTTCTCTCATACAGGTATTATTCTTTTGTGAAAACATTGGAATTGCTCCCTGTGGCTTTTTTGAAAAATATAGTATTAACCAGAATCACGGAGCTGTGGTATAGAGCACAAGAATGTATCTGTCCCAACTAACTGCAACTTTGTTTCCACAACCAATCCTCCCATTCCCTCCTTCCCCTCTCCTCAGAAAACCACTACTTATCCAAGGCAAAGTTTTCTGGATTCCATATAAGTGAGATGAATCTGTGGTTATTTTTCTATGCTTGGCTTATTTTATTTAACATATTTTCCAGGTTCATCCATATGGCTCCAAATGAAAATTACATTAATTATGGATGAAGAGTATTGTGTTGTGCAGATATACTGCAGTTTCTTCATCCCTTCATCTATGGATGGACAGGTAGGTTGATTCCATATCTTCTATATTGCGAATACTGTCATGAAACATGGGAAGGCAGGTAACTCCTTAAGGTACCGGTTTCCTTTGCTTTAAATGCATACGCAGTGTGAGGAACATCCCAACTTTTTCACAGTGTATTCACTAATTCACATTGGCATCAATAGCGTATAAGAGTTTCCCTTTCTGTAAGTCTACACTGGCTGCTACCTTCCAAAAATGTTATTCCTGTTTTTGGTAATATTCTCAGTGGAGTTTGATGGTATCTGATATTGGAGTGTGATTCTGACTTACATGTTTGGAGTGATTAGTGATGTGGAGAATCTTTTTTTTTCACCTGTGAATCAGTTTCATGTCCTTTGCAGAAGTGATTGTGCAGGTCCTTTGCATATTTTTAGCTTGTGTATTTTTTTAATCTTTTCCCCACTTAGTAGCTTTAGTGCTTGCATATGTTAGATAACAACCCCTTCCAAAATCACGATTCTCCACAATTTTAACCCAATCATCCTTTCCGCCAAGGTAAGATGCTTTCTCTTTGGGTTCATTGTTTTCTCCCCCATGCAGAAGCTCTAAAGTGTTGGTCTCACAGTTTTTTATTTGCTTTTGTCAGCAGGGATTTCTGTGTCCAATCAGAGAGAGAAAAAAGAGATCACAAAGTCATTGTATTGTCTACAGGTATTTTCCCTGTAAGTGAGAGCATGTGGTATTTTGTTTTCTGTTAGATTGTGTTAGTTTGCTTAGCATAGTGACCTGCAGGTCCATCCTTGTTGCTGTCAAGAGCATGAATTTTTTTTAAGCTGTGTAGGATGTTGTGGTATCTATGTGTAGCACTTTTAAAGCATGTAATCAACTGTTAAGGGGGGACATAGGTCGATGTTATTTTATATTTCCATGTGAATA
This sequence comes from Homo sapiens, assembly GCF_000001405.40. NCBI lineage: Eukaryota > Metazoa > Chordata > Mammalia > Primates > Hominidae > Homo > Homo sapiens. Next base: position 19,469,201 of record NC_000014.9, on the reverse strand, counting down.
GCACTTCCAAGAACATACCCATGCCTGTGTCATTTTGAAAGGAAGATTTATGATTTATTTTCCTTTGTGTAGATACCCAGTTATGTGATTGCTCATTTGGATGGTAGTTGTTAAGTTCTTTGAGGAACCTCCAAACCACTTCTCATAGTGTGAGAGCTAGTTTTTATTCCCACCAAGAGTGTAGCAGTGTTTGCTTTCCTCCATTGCCTTGCCACCATGTTAATGCTTGGCCTTAGGACAAATGGCCATTCTGACCGATGTGAGATGGTATCTCAGTGTTCATGAGAGTTGCATTTCTCTGATGATGAGGGATGTTGAGGTGTTTGTTCATGTTCTCTACCCATTGTTTGAATGGTTTGTTTTTCTGCCTCTTGATTTTTTTAAGGTCATATTAGAGTCTGGCTATCAGACCTTGGTGAGAAGCATAGTTTGGGAACATTTTCTCCCATCCTGTAGCCTGTGTGTTTACTGTGCCAGTGATTTATTTTGCTATCTGGCAGTGTTATAGTTTCTTAGGCCCAGCTTGTCCTTTTGGTTTTTCTTACTGTTGCTTTTTGTTTAAATGCTTTTCCAAAGCCCGTACTGAGAAAGATATGTCCTAGGTTTCCTTGTAGGACTTTTATAGTTTGAGGTATTCTGCTGAAATCTTTCATTCACCTTGGGTTAGTTTTTGTATCTGACGAGAGTTAAGGCTCCAGTGTTGTCCATCTGCATGTGTCTAGCCACCTAGCCCAGTGCCCTTCACTGCATAGTGAGCCTTTTGTCCATCTGACGTTTGGTGTTTCAGCATGGCTTTGGAGTTTCAGGGCATTTTGTGGTCCCATGGGAATTTTAGCATTGTTTGTTTATGTTGTTTTTAGGAAACAAAATTGGCCCTGTCCTAAATATGTACAACTAGAGGGTCGAGTGGGACATTTGGGTCCATGCATGCATCGTATAGGGATGAAATCAGGGTATTTAGCATCCTTTTATGCCTGGTAGAGTTTTCATGTCTTTGAGTGAGGAGAGCGAGAACCCTCCTTTCTGGCTGTCTTGAAGACCACCCTTTGGTAAAATTTTCCCTAGTCATCCTGCTGAGGAATAGAACAGCAGGTTTCATTCCTCTCATGCAACGTGTCACTTTGTACCTGTTTCCTATGCCCACCCTTGCCCAGCCTTCTTTTCCAACCCTGGCAAGCACGATGGTGCTTTGTAGGTCTGTGTGAGATAAAGTTTCCTAGATTCCTCATGAGTGAAGTGATGCGAGGTTTGTCTTTCTCTGCCTAGTGTGTTTTGTTTACCATAATGTTCTCCAGGTTCCACAGTGTTGCCACGGATGACCTGATTTCAGTACCCGTGTCTGGCTGAAGAGTATCTGGTTGTGACTGGATACTGCAGTTTCTGGATCTCATCCTCTGTGGGTGGACAGGTAGGTTGATTGCTTATCTTGGCTATTGCGACTGTTTCCACAGTCAGCGTGGGAAGGCAGATACGTCTTCTGTGTACTGATTTCATATGATTCCAGTAGCAGCACAGCTCAGTGGTTGTAAGTTTAGTTTTCTGAGGAACCTCCAGGTGGCTTCTGTAGTGTGCATACTAATTACCTGTTAACAGTTGTGGATAAGAAAGCTAACCTCTCTGGAAATTCACAGCAGCTTCTTTTAAGATACACAAAGGTCTTTGTAATAATCGTTCCACCAAGAGAGGCACAGTATCTGAGTCTTGTTCTGATTTTCATTTTTGCCATGATTAGTGGTGTTAACCGGGTGTTAACAAGCATACTTATTTTCAGTTTTATGTGTCTTTTGCAGAAAAGCCTCTTTGGTTTTTTTATCCAGTTTTGGTTTGGTAATTAATTTCTGTTTTCTGGTGTTTTTTGCTAGTTAGTAATGTTAGTTACTTACACCTTTTCCAAAAAATGCCTCATCAGCTGTGTTTTTCTCCAAATGCTTCTTATCATCCTTTGTATGTTTCTTTCTTTTCATTCATGTTTTTCATTCTTTCTTGCCCACAAGCCATGTAGTCTGATGCAGTTTCAGGTGTGTGTAGTGTTCTGGTTTTCCCTTACTTTGGTGACTGATGAAGTTAAAGAAATTCACCAGCTTATCAATCTGTTGCCAGTGAGTTTTGGTTGTTGCTTGTTTGTATTCTTTTTTGTCTTCTTTATTTTTTCTGTTTTCCTTTTTGCAAACCATGAGCATAGATCCAAGTTGACCCTGGTATCTGCACACTATATGCTTTCTTCTTAGAGAGTGACTTTATCAGTTTTGGATAGGTCTTTCTTTCAGTTGAATGAATTGTGAATTTCGCACAATAAGGACCCTATGTTATTTTGCTTAGGGATATCCAGTTCCCTGAACACTGTATTGGACAGACTCTCCCTTCCCAGGGTGACTTTTGTGGTTGTTTTCAAACATGTGCTTACTCGTATGTTGTTAAAGGAAAGTATCTTGGTCCCCCAAAATCACTAAGGAAAACTCAGGCTGGAAACTGCTTAGGGCCAACCTGTCTCCCATTCTGTTAAAAGCCACCCCTCTGCTCACTGAGATAGATGCATATCTGATTGCCTCCTTTGGAGAAGCTAACCAAAACCTCTAAATAATGTAATTATTTGTGTATCTCTTATCCATGACCTTGAAGCTCCCTCCCTGCTTCCAGTCTTCCTGCCTTTGCTTAAAGTTGTTCCACCTTTCCAGAACAAACCTATGTACTTCTTAACATACATTGATTGTTGTCTCATGTCTCGCTAAAATGTATAAAACCAAGCTGTGCCCTGACCACCTTGGGCACATGTTTTCATGACTTTCTGAGGCTTTGTCAGGAGTGTGTCCTCAACCTTGGCAAAATAAACTTTCTAAATTAACTGAGACCTGTTTCAGATTTTCAGAGTTCCCCTTTGGTAACCACGAGGGATTCTGAGTGGAGATGCCCCTGACCTTTGGCAAATCTCCTGTCAGTGCTTGGGACCAGTGTGAGCTCACTTTATGACCCAAACCAATAGGACAATTTGCTGAGATCTGAGAGCACTCCCTCCAAAGAATCCTTCATCTCCAAAACTTTGGTCAAGATCTAAAGTTTATTTTGCTGTACAACTCCTCTTTTTTTTTTTTTTTTTGGAGTTTTACTTGCGTCCAACAAGACAAGTTTTCACACCTCCATGATGTTGGAAGGCAGGTAACTACTTTATAGAGTTTGAGCTCACTTCTTCTATTAGGCAAATTTGTTTTGTGTGTTTGTTTGTTTGTGTGTTTTTCCTGCTTCTAGGATAGTAGAGAGTAGTTTGCAGCCTGAGATCCATCACTAGGTAAGAAACTAGTTTTGGATTCTGTCTTGCAAATTCCTTTTAAAGAATAAAGTTAACATTTAACAACCAGCCGGTGTTAATTTCTGCTTACACGTCAGAGTGCTCAGAAATCATATAATTTGTGTGACCATTGTTAGTTTAGCAGCATTTTGTCCTCGCTGAAATATGGTAATAAGATTAAAAGAGTTTTGTTTAAAGGAGCACAATTGTGTAAAAGTCAGCTTAATTAAAAGGGTAACATCCAGATGTGTGTGCATGTGTGCGCATGTTTGTATTTGAAAGGCCTTCATGTTTTTTGTTTTTTTGTTTGTTTTACTCTCCTAAGACCTTGTCTTTTTGTTGTTGTTGAGCAAATGTGTTTATGTTTTTTTTGTCTTTTTTTTCTCAGTTGACTGAATTCTGTTTTCACTTGATTTTTCTTGACTAAAGTAGTTATTGCAACAGAGGCTACTCTTGGGTTTTTAAGGAAGACTGTAGTTTAATTTAATGTTTAATTTGGCTCGAAGAAAATATTAGTGTCTCCCTCTAGCACCACCAGCCTCTTTCCTTGTGTGCTTTATGTAGTAAATTTTGCTATTTGATTTTCACCTGAATTGTTTCCCTTAACGTTCAAATTTAAGGCTGTTTAGTTGACAGCTGCCTAGGGTTGTGAAACAAGTTACCAAGAATCTGAAAGTCTGAGAGAGAAAAAAAGGGGGAGGTCTTCAATCTATAAAATGTACCGTGACAGCCCAATGCGTTCACCTTGCCCGCTGCCTAGACAGAACCGATTTATCAAGGTAGAGGAAGTGCAGTGGAGAAGGAGTAATTCACGCAGAGCCGGCTGCATGGCAGACCAAAGTTTTTACTCAAATCGGTCTCCCCGAGCATTCGGGGATCAGAGTTTTTAAAGATATTTGGTGGGTAGGGGCTTGGGAAGTGGGGAGTGCTGATTAGTCAGGTTGGAGATAGAATCATAGGGGGTTGAAGTTAGGTTATCTTTCTGTCTTCTATTCATGGGTATGACGGCACAACTGGTTGGGCCAGATTACTGGCCTGGGCAGGGTCTGCAACACGTATCAAGCCCTGATCTTAGGTTTTACAGTAGTGATGTGATGTTACCTGCAGGAGCAGTTTGGGGAGGTTCAGACTTTCGAAGCCAGAGACTGCATGACCCCTAAACTGTACATTCTAATCTCGTAGCTAATATGTTAGTCCTGCAAAGGCAGACTGCTCCCCAGGCAAGAAGGGGTTCTTTTCAGGAAAGGGTTGTTATCAATTTGCTTTCAGAGTCAAACCGTGAACTAAATTCCTTCCCAAAGTTAGTTGAGCTTACACCAAGGAATGAACAAGGACAGCTTAAGGGTTAGAAGCAAGATAGAGTCGGTTAGGTCTGATTTCTTTCACTGTCATAATTTCCTTAGTTGCAGTTTTGCAAAAGTGGTTTCAGTACTTCCATAGATATGCCTGATAGATTTTTAGATGTATTTATGTATTGTGTACAGAATGTTGGACTACTAAAAATATATAAAAGCTCTAATCGGCTTAAAGAAAAATAAAACCACTTAAGTTAAATACTAAGAAAGACTTGCGAAATGCTTTTTCAACTTTATGTAACTTAAGCAAAATCTTTAATAAATAAGCTATCTTTAAAATTATTGGTAAAAAAATATTAGAAATGTCTTAAAAATTGGCAGCATACATTTTTGTTTACATTTAGTATCAACCAATTTCATACATATTCCTGCCAAATACTATAAGGTGTCAAAATTTGGCATTGGGGTTTCAAAAGTATAAACCCAGCCCAAAACGGAATGATCTTTACTTGTGTAATTTTTAATAAGTAAGACATTGATATGGGGTTTAATAAAAACAGCTGCATGTTGAATTTAGTAAGATTACTAGCACTTCTAATCCTGCGGCATTTGGCAGTCTAGTCCACAGACAATAAGGTAAGGACTGTTACTGCCTTTGTTTCAAATCTAAACTATAAACCAGGTTCCTCTCAGTGTTAGTTCAGCCTATGCCCAGGAATGAACAAGGACAGCTTGGAGGTTATGAGCAAGATGGAGCCAGTTAGGTCAAATCTTTTTTTCACTGTCTCAGTTATAATTTTGCAATGGCGGCTTCATAACTTTAAATCATGACTATCACAGATTTCATAAATAATCTAGATAAACAATTAAAATAATTAGGTAATTGTAATGGGATAAATACTTGTAGACAAACTGGTCATAATTTAGAATATAAAGTTAAGTTAAATAATAGATATTTCATTATTTGGGTATTTTCCAATACACATATATTGTAGGAAAACATTCTTGCCAAAAAAGTGTCTTTTTTTCTAAAAAAAAAAAAAAAGAACATGTTTTGTCTAATTCAAAGCTTATTTAAAGTTATATATAAAACAAAGTAAAAGGAACCAGGAAATAAAAAAATGTAAAGAAAGTTGTAAAGAGGTAGTTTTTGAGGTAAAAAAGAGTTTAAAGAGAAATACTATTATATAAGAAAGAATCCTGTGTAGTAAGTTTAGTCCTAAAATAAAATAACTGGTTGTTTAAAAAGAAAGGATGTTCAGAACAAATCAGAAAGTCTGACCATGTCATGAACAATGTAAGTTACAATAAGGATTTATATATTTAAAAAATCCAAAAACTTTTATATAATAAAGTTGTCACATTAAGTTTTGGTTTACTTAGGAAAAAAACTGAGATTTTTTAAAATTGAAGTTATTACATCCATGTATCTTCCTGTATATGCTTTCAAAATCCTTGCAACATTGAGTTACAGGGCTTTTTAACTCCTATGTCTAAAAACGAAAACCAATTCCTGCTAAATCTTAAATACCCACAGCAATTAAAGCCTCATCTTCAGGAACAGTAGAAGATGCCAATTTAAATAAACTGCTGCATTCCTGAGACACAGGGCAGGAAATGAAAGCTATTGAACTCCTCAAGACCAAGAGACTATTGTGAAAGAGGTGGGAGCATAAGATTGTAAGGGCCGATTTTGAAAGATAAAGTTGGTTCAGTTTCTCTATACATTAATTATTAATGTCAAAATCACAATGATGCAAAACCAGTATATGGACCCCTGTGTCAGATTAACAAGGTTTTCTTGAAGCATTTACCAACTCCTTAGTACAGGTTATAAAAGGCTTATGGAAGTTATATTTTATAATCAAGATTACATTTTATAGATTTAGAAAATTTTAAAAAACAAATGTAATTGGCTTCATGCTGTTTTTATTAGGGCTGCTTGTTTAAAAAATTAAGTCTCCTGTCTCAAAGGATGAAGGTTTTCACTTTTAAAAAATCCTTGAATTATCACTTTGGTTAAATAAATGACTTTACAATGACCTGTAATCCTATTTTTTAATATCAAGTGTTTTAAACATTTTATATTTGACAAACTTTCCAAAATCAAATTATATATTATGTCTTTTTCCATCCTAAATAGAACATTAGTTTCTCTAAAGTCTAAAAATGACATAATTTGGCTTATCTGGTATAAAATTTATACAGGAAAGTACTGTCAGATAAGAAATGGTGTTTGGCTTTCTTTCATATCCATTTGTATAAATATGTTATTGGTATGTGTTCCAAAATGATGGGAAACTCCTGTAATTCTGATATAACTTAGTGTACATTATTCGTAATAATCATAATTGCTATGTTAAAATTATCGTGTGCCACGGAGGTAACACATTCACTTGTCAATTGTATCTTTTAACTATGGCTGCCTTTACTTTTTTTTCATCCACAGACGGTTATCTTGTTTTGTCTTGTTTTGTCTTGTTTTAAACCCTCTTTATAAGGTGGGTTTATAATCAGCTGTAGGACTCTTAACAGGTGCACTTAAATTCAGGTTTTCTGATAATTTTGGAAATTGTTACATTGGAATAAAGCAAAAAATTTCGGAACTCTCTCATGGAGAGCTGAAATGTTCCTGACTATGAAACGGAACAGGAGTTAATAGAAATAACTGAACCAACAGAAAATTGAAGTAATCTTTTTGACTTCTTGCTTAAAACATTGCTGATACTTTGTTTAGTTTTTCAGAGTTAAGAAAACTTTGTTAGTTGCAGCTTTTAACAATAAAGTATATTCCTGTGAACAAAATTTGGAGCATATTTGTTTTTCTCTACCTAATTTCTCCAGAATTTGGAAACTGGGGGTATTCTTAATTTATGGCAACATAGTTATTTGCATAAGTGCAATAAGAATCTGTTTTATTTTGCAATAGGACACAGTTGGAGAAGTTGGTTATTTTATCAAGGGTTTGACTGAAATGGTGTGCTTTCCTTTAAGGAATCAAACTTGACTTATAGAAGCCAATAAAGCCCGTGGAAAAACTGGCCTCATATTTTGTGTACACAGTCCCTGTACAGGGTTTTGACCTGTGGTAAATAAAGAATGTCACTTTCTGACAGGTGCAGAAGCCCCAGGTTTATCTTGGAACCTCAAGAGGAGAGGAAATTCACTGAAATCATAGGTATTTGATGGCACAAATCCATGGCTGGGCCTGGCTTAAGAAAGTCTTATCTAAGATTCCTCCTATGGAACAAAGTTCCATCAAAGCCAATTTAAAAGCCTGTGTAAAAAATAATTATTGTTGTTGCACTGTATGCAAATAATTAGACCAAGAATAATAAAGCAAATCAGTTCTAACATGATTTATCTTTAGTAAAAATGGAAAACTGGAGAGAGAAAAAATTATGTTTCAAAACCACAGTAGACCTGTTTTTAGATTCTAGTCTTGCCTAATATTTTTTTCAATTTTTATTATTTTCTACAGTTGGGACCAAATTCTAATTTTTCTTGGCTACAAGTCTTTAATGTTTTCAATTTTTTTTTCAATTATTCCTAACTTGGAGTCACTGAAAACTAAGCTGTGCTTTCTTAAAACCCTGTGAACTGAAGCCAGACAAATTAAACTTCAGAAGAAAATAACAGCAACCTGTTGACATACCTAAGCCACTTTCATACCTGCCTACTGAGGCATGGACTGCAGAGTAATGTGGCTTACATTGATTTTTCCAGGATTGTTCTTTTGTTTGTTGTTGTTTTTTCTCACTTCCTCCCCCCTATTTTAACTTCAAAGGATGTGAGACATCACAACCTGCTAAAAATGAGCTTTTGGGACCTACCTCTCTAGGAATAAACCCTCCTAGCCATGAGAGATGAGATGAAACCCGAGACCAGAGACTCATTTTCTTGTAAAATGCTTTTTCCAAAAGATTTTTTAAAAAGAAAAGGGGGGAAATGTGAAAGGAAAATATCTTGGGCCCCTAAAATCACTAAGGAAAACTCAGGCTGGAATCTGCTTAGGGCCAACCTGCCTCCCATTCTATTCAAAGTCACCCCTCTGCTCCCTGAGATAGATGCATACCTGATTGCCTCCTTTGGAGACTAATCAGAAACTCAAAAGAATGTAACCATTTGTGTATCAGTGATCTGTGACCTGGAAGCTCCCTCCCTCCTTCCAGTCTTCTGAGTTAGCTTCAACTTGTCACACCTTTCTAGACCAAAGCAATATACTTCTTAGATATATTGATTGATGTCTCATGTTTCTCTGAAATGTATAAAACCAAGCTGTGCCCTGACCACCTTGGGCACATGTCATCATGACCCTGAGGCTGTGTCACAAGTGTGTTCTCAACCTTGGCAAAATAAACTTTCTAAATTAACTGAGACCTTCATTTGAGTGTGCTGCTGGACACCCTCATTGTGTTCGTTGGCCTGTGTTTCTCTGTTAATGCCTATCACGAATCGCTTGGGTAACTAAAGCTTTGGGAAGTAGTTGAAAGTGGAAGAGTGTGATGGCACTCCACTGACTTTGTATGTGCAGAAACTGCTTTGGGAATGCAGGGCATTTCATTGTCCCACGGGATTTTTAGTAGTGTGTTGTGATCCTATTTGGAAAACAAAAATAGGACATGGTCTATGTTTTTATTTAAAGGGTGCAATGGACCTTTTTACATGAATCAATGAAACTACAGGACCTAGCATCTGTTTCATGCTACAGTGAGGATTTCTTGATGGAGAGAGCATTCCAAATCCTTTCCAGCAATATTGAATATTATGCTATGATATTGTTAAGCCTAGTCACCCTGCTGTGCTGTAGAACACCAGAGTACCTGTGCCTCATCTGAGCATCCCTTTGTAGCCATTTCCAATCCTCCTCCGAGCCTCTGGTACCCACTGTTGACATTGCTACTGTATGAGATTCACTTTGTTAGATTCCACGTGCATGAGATTGCACAGTATTTGTGTTTGTCTTCCTCTGCCTGGCTCATGTTTTTTAACTTAATGCCCTCCAGGTTTCTCCATCTTGCTGGTAGTGAACTGATGTCCGGAAGTTTGATGGCCGAAGAGTATACCGTTGTGCATATATCCTTCAATTCCTGATTTTATCATCTGTAGAAAGACAAGTAGGTTGATTCCCCACCTTGGTTATTGTCCAGAGTACTTCATGAAACATGGGAAGGGAGATACCTCCTTAAGGTAGGTTTCCTTGGCTTTGCAGGTATACCCAGTGTTGGGATGGCTAGAGGAACTGGTGGTTGTGTTGTTAATTGTTTCAGAAACCTCCAGCTGTTTCCCAGTGGGTATACAAATTTGCATTCAAACCAGTAGTATGTAATAGTTCCTCTGTCTGCAAATCTACACTGCCCTTATCTTCCAAAGTTTTATTGCTGTTTCTGGTCATACTCGTTCTCTGGGGAGAAACTCTTCTGATGTGGAGAAACTTCTGTTACCTGAGAGGCTGTTTCAGGTTTTTTCAGAAATGCCTATGCCAGTCTTTTGGGCATTTTTAGTATTGGTTTTTGTCCACTTAGGTGTGACAAGCATTGTATATTGGTTTTTGTCCACTTAGGACCATTAGTTTCTTGAATATGTTAGATAAGAAGCCCTTCCAGATCCACAGTTTTCCATAATTTTCTCCCAGTCTGTAGGATGTTTTCTGTTGGGTTCACTGTTTTCTCTCCAGTGTTGAAGCTGTGTGAAGCTCTGAAGTTGTCCTTAGTTTCACATGGTCACATTAGCTTTTCTTAGTGGTGATTTCTGTGTCCCTTTGAGGAGAAAAGCAAGATGGTGAAGCCATTATGTTATGGTCTATGGGTATTTGGTTCCTATGTCTTCGTTTTCTGCTTGTAGCTTAGGTTCACAGGTTCAAGTTTCCCCACAGTAGACATACACTCTATGCGTTTCCCTTGGAGATTTTGGTTTCAGGATTGAATTTAGGTGTTCAGTAGATTTTGTGTCACTTTTTGTGTCTTGGGTAAAGGAAGGGTTTGGTCCTTTACACGTGACCCCCACCCCCCCCCAACAGTTTCCTCAACCATTGTTGTGCTTTTGGGGTAAAAGCAAGAATCCCATGGGTTCAGTGTTTATAACTGTGGGTTGATTATTTGGCTCCTTCGTTTTGTCCATTCTGTTATCTTTCTGTGTTCATGCCACTAAGAGGATGGATTGGGTCACTGTAGGCTTTTTGTTTTGTTTTGTGTGTTTTCTTCCTTTTTTCTATTTTTATTTCCAAAGCTGGGTTTTCTAAAATGATAGCTACTTTTATTGTGATCAAGGGGTACGCCTGCAGGTTCACTTCACTACATGGCTATACAGTAGAATTTTGATGCTTGAGGTCCTAACGTACCTGTCGTCCAGGCAGTGAACACAGCACCAGTTGGGTCTTTCTTCCTCCAAGGCTCCCTGTCTCCCTTCTTTTTCTGTCTGGTAGTACCCAACGTCTGTTGATTTCATATTGATGTTGATGTGCATTGGGTGTTGAGCTTCCACTTATAAATGAGAACCTGCAGTGTTTGGTCTTCTGTTCTTGCCTCAGTTGCTTAGCAGAGTGGCCTCCAGTTCCACCCATGTTCCTACTGAGGGCATGATTTTGTTTCTGTGTTTGATTTTCCTTAGTGGTTTTTTCAGCATTCTGTGATGTATAGGTACCACATTTTAAAAAATCCAATTTTCTGTTGGTGGGCATCTAGGTCAGTTCCACATCTTTATTCCTGTCAGTAACACTCCCGTGGACATGTGAGTGTCTGTGTCCTTTTGATAGATGCATGTGTTTTTCCCTGGGGTAGACGCACCGGGGGGGATTGCTGCGTCAAAGCGTAGCTCTGCTTTCTGTCCTTTTTTTTTTCCAGAAATCTTCAGACTGATTTCCACAGTTTGAGATCTAGTTTGCATTACCTCCAAGAGAATAGCCATGTTTGCTTTTCTCTGCTGCCACACCAGCATGTTATGTTTTGACTTAGGACAAATGGCCACTCTGACCAGCGTGTGATGGCACCGGTACCTCATCTCTGATGATTGGTGATGTTGAGCATTCCCCACGCCTGTTGGAATGGCAATCCCTTGGAAATGTCTTCTCAATAGTTACTACCCATAGGTATGTTGCTCAGGCCACTGTGTGGCCCCAGCACTTGGTTTGCATAGGGACTTGGGGATTGTTTGTCATCATTAGCCGGGACAAATGTTACACTGCTGTTCCTACAGTGAGTAGTGGGAGTGGCGTATGGGGGCATATGCTTATGTCCACAGTTCCATCAGAAATCCCACTGCCTTAAGACAGTCTTACGGAAACCGAGTCCCAGCCTTGCAGCACCGGGTAGCCCTGTGGCATTTTGACATTGAGTGTGTCTGCATTGTTGAAGTCACTCAGCATGTTGCCATGCGTTTATCCACTTAGGTCAACGTTAAGGGAAGTTCATCGCCTCTGCTTCTTCAGTAACTGATGTCTGGTGCATCAACTGAATGCATTTCAGGCTTTTCAGCAGTTCCCCCAGATCTATGGGTAAAAAAAGGTTTTCACCATGCCCACCTCCCCAGTGAGTGACCAATGTCTCATTGTTAATGCATCTGATGCACAGAGTTTAGTGGTCTGAGGGAGGTCAGTCGCCAAGCGGAGATTGAAATCACATTTGTATTTACATTATTACTTTTCTACAGTTTGGTTTGTTGCAGGCTTTCACACTACTAATCTGGGCTGAATCCTTGAATTACTTTGTCTACCAAGGGTTTCAAAGAACTTGATAAACTTGTTCTAATTAGCCAACATATTCATCCATGTTGTCCGTATACCAGGTGTAAAAATAAAACGTTTCTTAATGCACACAGGACATGGAAGGCAATCTACACATTTTCAGGTGTAGACTTTGCTTGTGACTCTTTTGTGAGGAATAGTCATTGTTATTTTAGGAAAACCCTGAGTTTATCCAACTCTTGTTAGAATTGGATAAGTGTAAAAACCTACAATAGAATGCAAGTGTGAGAGCCAATTCCTCTGGTAAAATAAACTCATATTATTATTTATATATGTCTGGTCATTGTATTAATAAAATCAGTTTGTTTTGGCTGAAACACATGGTTGGCCTTTACAATAGATGTGAAAATGGGCTTATAGATCATTGCTCTTTATTGTGAATATTAGGTTGTATTTATTGCCAAACTCTTTCAACAGCTTCTAAGCAGTGAATTTTCAGTGCATTGTTGTTGTTCTCCAAGTACAAGCAGCCACTTCAGTTTTACCACATTCATCTTCCACACACTGATGAACCATATGGAGGCAGCAGGAATTGAAGTAGAACCAGAGGGAGTAGTTAGGACAGACATTCTGATTCATTCATTCTGATTCTCACTATTGTCAGTGAGTAAAGGTTCATTGAATTTTTCTTCTGATGAATAAAATGGTCAGTTTTCTCAGTGCAATGGCTTACTTTTGGAAGAGCAGCTCTAAAGACTTTACTACTGATTAGTAAAGTCTAAACTGCTTTCTGTATTTTTTTTTAAATTCAACTTTTATTTTAGACTGAATAAAAATGTGCAGGTTTATTGTGTGATACTGAGTTTTGGGGTACGATTGAAGCCATCACTAAGGTAATGAGCATCTCACCTTCTCCTTCTCTTCACTCTGTTACAGAGAACAGACCCTCCCAGTCTTCAGTGCACTCTAAATACTTGCTAATTCTGGCCAATGGAAGGCATCTGTGGAAGAAAAAAGCCTCAGATCATGTGCTATCTGTCTTTATTCAGTGTGACATATTAGGTAATGGTCACAGACACTCACCATGGCCCCAGTTTTTAATAACATGACCCTGCTTTTGTGTTCCAGTAACTTCTGTTGTTTTCCCAATCCTAAGTATGATAGAAACTTCCTGCTGCTGCTAATCTCTGGGTTCCATTTAAAATCCTTCCATCACATGAATACTATGCTGTGTTCTAAATTTTTCCATAATTAAATACTTACAATTATTTTTGCCTACTTCTTTTGCCCCTTAGTGATATGTTTTAAAAACACTTATAATGTGTCACAATATATTTAGCAAATGTAGGGAATGACATTTTTACTTTCGTCAGCATTTACACTAGCATTTATGGAGCGATGCTATATAAAGTATTTTTAGTAATTTAAACGTTATATAACAGATATCCGTTGATTCCTTTGTTTCTACGTAAATAAGTATACTTGAGATATTCAGTAAACAGTATTGAATACATGTTTCATTTGTATAATATAAAATTATGATTATTCTTTTTAAACAGTACATCATATTTGCTTGTTGGCTTTATGATAACTTAGAAATAATATTCTGGATTAACTGTGTGACTCATGAGAAGATTTGTGCAACTATGTTTCCAAATTTACTTGATTTTCAAGACTTACACTAGAACTGTGAGAACAGGGTAATAAATAAGCATATGTATTAATATCACCTTTGGTCAACTCTTGGGTAGCCCCAACGGTAGTGTAGGAATTAACGTAATTTTTCCTACTAAAAGTATTGGATTTGTTTTGAGAGACCACAGTTGAAAATCATTGACATACAAAGTTTAAAAATTGTTAGGTTAAAAAATTTTAAATGCATTTGAAGTGGTTTTATAGAAAAATAATTATCTAACTTGGTTTATATTGACAGGTTGTTTTCTTGGATAAGAACTAGACGAAGAGAAAGGGAGATTAGTGATAAATGTCCAGGTTTTCAAGTTGAAAAGTAACAATCAGTGTATTACAACAGATGGATGTGATGTCAAATTACAAATGCTGAAAATGTTATATGTAATCATGTAGCCAGAGTAATCATACAAGGCAAAGAACGGAAAGGCATCCAAATAGGAAAGAGGCTGGAATGCAGTGGCACCATCTCAGCTCACTGCAACCTCCGCCTCCGGGTTCAAGTGCTGCTCCTGCCTCAGTCTCCCAAGTAGCTGGGACTACAGATGCGTGCCACCACGCCCGGCTAATTTTTGTATTTTTTTAGTAGAGACAGGGTTTCACCATATTGGCCAGGCTAGTCTCAAACTCCCGATCTCGTGATCCACACACTTCGGCCTCCCAAAGTGCCGGGATTACAGGCATGAGCCACCGTGCCCAGCCAATATAGAGATAATCTTAAAGACTCCATAAAAAAGAAAAAAAGTGTTAAAGCTGATAAACGCATTGAAAGTTGAGAGTTACAAAATTAACATACAAATAGTATTCTTGTTTCTATACACCAATGACAAACTGTTAACTGAAAAACAAATGAATAAAGTAATTCATTTGATAATAGCATCATAACATATATAAGTAAATAAAAGACTAAGGAGTAATTTTAATGAAGGATGTGAAATATTTGTATACTGAAAATTTATAGCATTGTTGAAAGAAATTGAAAGTTACATAAGTAGAAAAACATCCCATATTTATGGATTTGAAAAATTAATATCATCAAAATTTCAATGCTACCGAAAGCAATCTACAGATTAATGCAATCACTGTCAAAATCCCATGCCATTCTTCACAGAAATAGAAAAATTAGTCCTAAAATCTGAGTGGAACCACAAAAGACTCTGAAAAACCAAAGCAATCTTGAGCAAAAAGAACAAAGCCAGAGGCATCAGGCTACTTGATTTTAAACAATATTAAAAAGTTATAGTACTTAAAACAGCATAGCACTGGCATAAAAACAGACACCTAGACCAGTGTGAAGGAATGTAGAACCTGTAAATAAATCCATGTGTCTGTGGTCCGTTGATTTTTGATAAAAGGACAAAGAATACACAATGTGGAAAGAAAATTCTCTTCAATAAATAATGTAGAGAAAAACTGACTATTCACATACAGAAGAATAAAATTGGATTGTTATTTCACTCTTTATACCAACATCAAGTAGCAATGCATGAAAGACTTAAATATAAACCTGAAACCATAAAACCGCTACAAGCAAAGACAGGAGAAAACCATATGACAGTGGCCTCAGCTATGATTTTCTACAGATGACCCCAAAAAGTACAGGCAACAAAAGCAAAAATACACGAACGAGATGCCGTAAAACTAAGAAGCTTCTCTGCACAGCAAAAGAAACAGTAATAGATTGAAGAGACAACCCACAAATGGGAAGAGAATGTCTTTAAACCATATCTCAGGTAAGGGGTTCATACCAATAATATGTAAGGAACTCAACCCAGAAATGAGAAAACAAGCTTACTAAAAAATAAGTAAAGGAGTTGAATAGACATTTTCTAAAAACAGACATACAAAAGGCCAGATTTTTATCAAAAATGTTGATAAAAAACATCAACATTCCTAATTATCAGAGAAATAGATGTCAAAACCATGAAGATATTATCTCACAGATGTTACTGAGGTTATTATAAAAAAGATGTGGCGGGGCACGGTGGCTCACACCTGAAATCTCAGCACTTTGGGAGTCCAAGGCAGGTGGATTGCCTGAGGTCAGGAGTTTTAGACCAGCCTGGCCAACATGGTGAATCCCCGTCTCTACTAAAAATACAAAAAATTAGTTGGGCGTGGTGGCATGCACCTGTAATTCCAGCTACTTGGGAGGGTGAGGCAGAAGAATTGCTTGAACCTGGGAGGTAGAGGTTGCAGTGAGCCAAGATTGCGCCACTGCACTCCAGCCTGGGTGACAGAGCAAGACTTCATCTCAGTAAATAAATAAATAAATAATTAAAAAATGATGGAAGATAACTATTGATTAGAATGTGGAGAAAACGGTTGTACACTGTTGGTCGGAATTGAAATTATTACCACCATCTTGGAAAATAGTATGAAGCTTTCTCAAGAAATTATAAATATATTTACATTATGATTCATCAATGCCTCTTCTGGATATACGTCTAAAGAACTTAAAATCAGTATGTCAAAGAGACATCTGCAATTTCATGTTCATTGCAGAGTTATTGATAATAGCTGTGATTTAGAAACAACCTAAGTGTTTATCAACTGAAGAACGGATTAAAAATATGTGAAAATTTGAAACCCTTATACACTGCTGATGAGAGTTTAAAACAGTCTGGCAGTTCTTCAAAAGGATAAGTATAGAATTACCATATGACTCAGTAAATTAACTCCTATGTATACACCAAAAAGAAATGAAAACAAATGTCTACTCAAAAGGTAGCATACAAGTACTTACAGCAACAAAAAGTGGGAAGCAACAGAAATGTCCATGAATTGCAGAGTGGATTAATAAAATGTGGTCTGTCCATGAAATACAATAGTATTTGGCAATAAAAAAGAAAAAGGTATTAATATACATGCTTCAAAAAGGATGAACGTTAAAAACATAAGTGAAAGCAGTGGGTCACACGTAACTATGTATTATTATGATTCCATTTACATGAAATGTCCAGAACAAGCAAATCCTTCCAGAGTAGGCAAATCCTTAGTTAGGAAGTGGGTGGATGGTTGCCTAGGGCTGAGAGGGGTTTCAAGGAAGTGGAGAAAATGGGAAAAGATTGCTAATGAGTGCAAGGTTTCTTTTAAGGAGCATAAAAATGTTCTAAAATTATATTGTGATTGTTTATCCACCCAGTTAATACACTAACAAATTGAAATGTACACTTTAAATGAGTGAATTAAATAATGTATAAATTACATCTCAATGAACTTGTGAAGAAAGTTAAAAAATATGTGATGCATACACAGATACACAAAAACTTATCGTATTTTTTTATTTCCATAGGTTTTTGGGGAACAGGTGGTGTTTGATTATATGAGTAACTCCTTTAGAGGTGATTAGTGAGATTGTGGTGCACCCAACACCTGAGCGGAATACGCTGTATCCAATTTGTAGTCTTTTATTCCTCACCCACCTCCCACCGTTTCCCCCAAGTCCCCAAAGTCCACTGTAGTATTCTAATGCCTTTGCATCCTCATAGCTTCGCTCCCACTTGCGAGTGAGAGCAAACTGTGTTTGGTTTTCCATTCTTAAGTTACTTGACTTAGAATAGTAATCTCCGATCTCATCCAGGTTGCTGTGAATGCCATTATTTTTTTCCTTTTTATGGCTGTGTGTGTGTGTATATATTATATCGATAATATATATATATAATAATTTCTTAATCTACTCATTGATGGGCATCTGGGCTGGTTACATATTTCTGCAGTTGTGAATTGTGCTGCTATAAACATGCGTGTACAAGTATCTTTTTCACATAATGACTTCTTTTCCTCTGGTAGATACCCAGTAATGGAATTGCTGGATTAAATGGTAGTTCTACTTTTAGTTCTTTAAGAAATTTCCACACAGTTTACTGTAGTGGTTGTACTAGTTTACATTCCCACCAGCGGTGTAAAAGTGTTCTTTTTTCACCATATCCCCACCCACATTTATTATTTTTTGATGTTTTGATTATGGCCATTCTTGCCAGGAGTAAGGTGGCATGGCATTGTGGTTTTGATTTGCATTTCCCTGATCATTAGTGATGATGAGCATTTTTTCATGTTTGTTGCCCATTTTTATATTTTCTTTTGAGAATGGTGTATTCAAGTCCTTAGCCCATTATTCGAAGGGATTGGTTTTTTTCCTGCTGAGTTCTTTGTGGATTCTGGATATTAGTCCTTTCTTAGATGTATAGATTGTGAAGATTTTCTCCCATTCTGTGGGTTGTCTGTTTACTCTGCCAATTGTTTCTTTTGCTGTGCAGAAACTTTGTGGATTAATTAAGTCTCACCTGTTTATCTTCATTTTGTTGTCGTGCTTGCTTTTGGGTTCTTGGTCATGAAGTCTTTGCCCAAGCCAATGTGTAGAAGGGTTTTTCCAATGTTATCTTATAGAATTTTTATGGTTTCAGGTCTCAGATTTAAGTTGACTTTTGTATAAGGTAAGAGATGGGGATCCAGTTTCATTTTTTGGCATGTGGTTTGCCAGTTTTCCAAGCACCATATGTTGAATAGGGTGTCCTTTCCCCACTTTGTTTTTGTTTGCTTTGTCAAAGACCAGTTGGCTGTAAGTATTTGGGTTTATTTCTGGGTTCTCTATTCTGTTTCATTGGTCTGTGTCCTTATTTTTATACCAGTATTATGCTGTTTTGCTAACTATGGCCTTGTAGTATAGATTGAAGCCAGGTAATGTAATGCCTCCAGATCTGTTCTTTCTGCTTAGGCTTGCTTTGGCTATGCGGGCTCTTTTTTGGTTCCATATGAATTTTCGAATTATCTTTTCTAGTTCTGTGAAGAATGATGGTGATATTTTGATGGAAATTGCTTTCAAATTGTAAACTGCTTTTGGCGTTATGGTCGTTTTTACAATATTGATTTTACCCATCTATGAGCATGAGAGGTGTTTCCATTTGTTTGTGTCATCTGTGATTTCTTTCAGCAGTGTTTTGTAGTTTTCTTTGTAGAGGTCTTTTATACTTCCTTGTTAGGTATATTCCTAAGTGTTTTGTTTTATTTTTTTGCAGCTATTGTAAAAGGGATTGAATTCTTGATCTGATTCTCAGCTTGCACATCGTTGGTGTATAGCAGATCTATTGATTTGGGTACATTAATTTTGTATCCTGAATTTTTGCTGAAATGATTTATCAGTTTTAGGAGCTTTTTGGAGGAGTCTCTAGGTATATAATCATGTCATCAGCAAACAGTGACAATTTGACTTCCTCTTTACCGATCTGGATGCCCTTTATTTCTTTCTCTCATTTGATTGCTCTGGCTGGGCCTGTCAGTGCTATGTTGAATAGAAGTGGTGAGAGTGGGCATCCTTGTATTTATTGTTCCAGTTCTCAGAGGAAATGCTTCTAACCTTTCCCCATTTAGTATTATGTTGGCTGTGGGTTTGTCACAGATGGTTTTTATTACCTGAAGTTTGTCCCTTCTGTGCATTTTTTGCTGAGGGTTTTAATTATAAATGGATGCTGGATTTTGTCAAATGCCTTTTCTGTGTTTATTGAGATGATTATGTGACTTTGCTTTTAATTCTGTTTATGTGATTATCACACTTATTGACTTGCCTGTGTTAAACCGGAAGAGCCAAGGTGTTCTCAGGAGCCACCGTGTGCCACGGCAGCTTCGGGATAACTTGAGGCTGCATCCTGGGGAAGAAACACCTCCTGTCCGTGGCGCTGACGGCTGAGGACAGAGCTTTGGTGTGGCTTCTCTGCGGCTGGCTTCTTCGGGGAGTTCTTCCATCATGGTGAGTACAGAAGCTTTCGTTTTCTGGAATGTTCTATGTATTCCTGATGGGTCTTCCTTTTTTCTTTCTTTCCATCTTAGTATGAATTTTATAGTAGTACTCAGTCCCTGAGGGCTTTTGAGGTTGGAAAGAGTAGGAGGCTTTAGGGCTGTTTCTGAGGGAGACTCCCCATGTAGATGGAGAGAGAGGAAAGCTCTGGCTGTGGGAGGAAGAGGAAGCCCGGCCTAGGTGGGGTTTTGGGACCAGGCCCCAGTTTGGCTGCCTTGCATCCAAGCCTCAGGTGGAAGGAAAGGATCCCAGCCACCTCCAGGGTTTGCTGATTTTTTAATTGGTTTTATTTTTTTGGAGATAGGGTCTGGCCCTGTTGTGCATCCTGGAGTGCAGTGGCAGATCTCAGCTCACTGCAGCCTCCACTTTCTGGGCTCAAGGGATTCTCCAGCCTCAGTCTCCCCATTAGCTGGGCTTGTGCCACCATGCCCAGCTATTTTTTTTTTTTTTTCATATTTTTGCTGGCCACGGGGTTTCGCCATGTTACCCAGGCTTATCTTGAACTTCTGAACTCAAAGCAATCCTTCCACTTCGGCTTCCCTAAGTGCTGGGATTACAGGTGTGAACTACTGTGCCTGGTCTGCTGAATTTTGTTTTTCTTGTATTTTTGGTAGAGGCAGGGTTTCGCCATGTTGCCCAGGCTGGTCTCAAACTTCTGAGCTCAAAGCAATCCTCTCGCCTCAGCTTCCCAAAGTGCCGGGATTACAGGCATGAACTACTGCAGGTGGTCTACTGAACTTTTACATTTGTTTCCCAGCCGTCGGGACATAGGGGTCACTTTTCTCAACACCCCCCGCCCCCCACAGCATCTGCCTAACTCTGTCCATCTAGTCACGGCCACCTGACTGTGGAGGAAGCGCCCTTCCATGTGGTTTAATGTCTTCTTTGCAGAAATGCCTATTCAGGTTCCCTGCTCAGTTTTGGATGGATCATTTGTTTGTTGTTGCTACTTAGTACTATTAATGTGTTGCATATTTTCCATAACAACCCCCATTAGCCGATATGTGATTTGTTCTCCCAGCCTTCCTCTTTGGGCTCATTGTTTCCTTTTCCTTGCAAAAAGTTTTCACTTTGATGTAGCCATGCATGTTTTTTTATGGCCAGGCATGATGGTTCATGCCTGTAATCCAAGCACTTTGGGAGGCCAAGGTGGGCAGATCACTTGAGCCAAACAATTTGAGACCAGCCTAGGCAACGTGGCAAAACTTCATTTCTACAAAAAAATACAAAAAAATTAGCCAGGCGTGGTGGTGTGTGCCTGTAGTTCCAGCTATTCAGGAGGCAGAGGTGGGAGGATCACTTGTGCCGGAGAGGTCAAGGCTGCAGTGAGCCATGATCATGCCACTGCACTCCAGCCTGAGTGACAGAGTCCCTGTCTCAAAAAAATTTTTTTGATCTTTTTAGTAACATTCATTTCAATAAGAGTGAAATGACATCTGAGTGTGGTTTTGAAGTACTTTTTTTTGATGAACAGTGATGTTGAGGACCTTTTCTCTTACCTGTTAGTTTTATGTCATCTTTGCAGATAACTCTATTCAAGTTTTTTGCTCAATATGAGTTCAGATATGTATTTTTATGCTACTTAGTATTGCTTTTTTCTGTGTACATGTTTGGTAACAACAATTTATCACTTCTATGATTCCCTCAAATTTTCTAACAATTTTTTTTTGACACAGAGTCTCATTCTCTTACCCAGGCTGGAGCACTGCGGCATATCAGGGATTGTGAGTCCTCCAACTTAGTTTCTATTTCTCAGGATTCCTTAGACATTCAGGGCCATTTCCATGTGATCATTAGCATTGCGTATTCACATTTCTTAAATTTCTGTGCGTAATAAAGTATATAATTAGAGAGTATGCTGGGACTGTTTTTCCTCTGGGACATTTTGGTACATGTATATTTTTAGTAATGATCAAATCAGGGTACTTGCTGTATCTGTTCTCATACAGGTATTATTTCTCTGTTGTGATAACACTCAAATTGCTCCCTTCTAGCTTTATTGAAAAATGTACTATTTTGTTAACCAGAGTCACCCAGCTGTGGTATAGAATGCAAGAATGTGTTTGTCCCAACTAACTGCAACTTTGTTTCCATAACCAATCCTTCCATCTCCTCCTTCCCCTGTCTTCGGAAAACCACTACTGTACCTTGTACTTATTGAAGGCAAAGTTTTTTGGATTCCATATAAGTGAGATGAATTTGCTTGTTTTTCTATGCCAGGCTTATTTTATTTAACAATATATTTTCCAGGTTCATCCATATGGCTCCAAATGAAAATTACATTATTTTGTTAAGGATGAAGAGTATTATTGCATTGTGCAGATACACTGCAGTGTCTTCATCTCTTGATGTGTGGTTGGATAGGTAGGTTCATTCCATATCTTCTATATTGTGAATAGCGCTTCATAAAACATGGGAAGGCAGATAATTTTTTATGGTACCAGTTGCCTTTGCTTTAAATGCATACCCAGTATGAGAAGCTCCCAAGTTTTTTTCACAGTATGTTCACCAATTTACATCGACATCAATAGCATATATGAGTTTCCCTTTCTGTAAGCCTACACTGGTTGCTGCCGTCCAAAATTTTTATTGCTGTTTGGGTAATATTCATTCTCAGTGGAGTTTGATGGTATCTGATATCGGAGTGTGATTCTGACTTACATGTTTGGAGTGATTAGTGATGTGGAGAAACTTCTGTTTCACCTGTGAATCAGTTTCATGTCCTTTGCAGAGGTGGTTGTGTATATCCTTTGCATATTTTTAGCTCGTGTATTTTTTTTTTAATCTTTTCCCCACTTAGTAGCTTTAGTGCTTGAATATGTTAGATAACAACCCCTTCCAAAATTATGATTTTCCACAGTTTTCCCCCAATCATCCTTTCCGCCAAGGTAGGATGCTTTCTCTTTGGGGTCATTGTTTTCTCCCACATGCGGAAGCTCTAAAGTGTTGGTCTCACAGGTTTATATTTGCTTTTGTCAGCATGGATTTCTGTGTCTCATGAGAGAGAGAGAGAGAGAGAGAGAAAGTGAGAGAGAAAGAGATGGCAAAGTCATTGTATTTTCTATGGGTATTTTCCCCCTAAGTGAGAACATGTGGTATTTGGTTTTCTGTTCTTTCCTTAGTTTGCTTAGCATAGTGGCCTGCAGGTTCATCCTTCTTGCTGCCGAGAGCATGAATTTGTTTAAGCTGTGTAGGATTTTGCAGTATCTATATACAACACTTTAAAACATCGAATCAACTGTTAAAGGGAACATAGGTCAATTTTATTTTATTTTTTCTTGTGAATAGCACTACCAAGAACATACCCATGTCTGTGTCATTTTGAAAGAAGGGTTTATGATTTAGTTTCCTCTGTCTAGATACCCAGTTATGCGATTGCTCATTTGGATGGTAGTTGTTAAGTTTTTTGAGGAACCTCCAAACCGCTTCTCATAGTGTGAGCACTAGTTTTTATTCCCTCCAGGAGTGTAGCAGTGTTTGCTTTCCTCCGCTGCCTTGTCAGCATGTAAATGTTGGACTTTGGACAAATGGCCATTCTGACCGACGGGAGATGGTATCTCAGTGTGTGTGTGAGTTGCATTTCTCTGATGATGAGTGATGTTGAGGGTTTTTTTTGTCTATTGGTCACTTGTACATCTTATTTTTACAAGAACGTCTTCATGTCTTGTACCCATTGTTTGATTGGGTTATTTGTTTTTCTGCCTCTTGATTTTTTTAAGGTCATGTTAGAGTCTGGCTATTAGGTCTTGGTCAGAAGCATAGTTTGGGAACATTTTCTCCCATCCTGTAGGCTATGTTTTTACTGTGCTGGTGATTTATTTTGCTGTCTGGCAGTGTTTTAGTTTCTTAGGCCCAACTTGTCCATTTTGGTTTTTCTTGCCGTTGCTCTTAGGGACTAAGTTATTTAAATTCTTTACCAAAGCCCGTGTTGAGAAAGGTCTTTCCTAGTTTTTCTTGTAGGACTTGTATAGTTTGTAGTCTTCTGCTGAAATCTTTCATTCACCTTGAGTTAGTTTTTGCATCTTGTGAGAGGTAAGGCTGTAGTGCTGTTCATCTGCAAGTGGCTAGACACTATCCCAGTGCCATTCATTGCACAGTGAGCCCTTTCCACATCTGAATTTTGGTGTTTCAAAGGTCAGATGGTTGTGGGTATGTGGGGTTGCTTCTGGGTTTCCTATTCTGTCTAGGTGGAGGTGGGTCTGTAGCTTTTCTGTGAAATTTGAAATTGGAGAGTGTGGTCCATCTGACATCGTCTGAATCTCCCAGCCTGGCTTTGGAGTTTCAGAGCATTTTGTGGTCCCATGGGAATTTTAGCATTCATTGTTTCTTCACATTGCTTTCAAAAAACAAAATCGACCCCATCCTAAAGGTGTACAGGTAGGGGGTAGAGTGGAATATTTGGATCCATGCATGCATCACATAGTGATGAAATCAGGGTATATAGTGTCGTTTTTTGCCTTGTAGAGTGTTCCTGTCTTTGAGTTGAGGAGAGCCAGAACCCTTCTTTCTGGCTGTCTTGAAAACTATCCTCTGGTAAAGTTTTCTCTAGTCACCCTGCTGAGGAATAGAACAGCAGGTTTCATTTCTCTTATGCAATGTGTCACTTTGTACCTGTTTCCTGTCCCCACCCATGCCCAGCCTTCTGTTCCAACCCTGGCAAGCACTATGGTGCTTTGTAGGTCTATGTGAGATTAAAGGGTCTTAGATTCCCCATGACTGAGGTAATGTGAGGTTTGTCTTTCTCTGCCTAGTGACAGACATTTAACATAATGTCCTCCAGGTTCCACAGTGTTGCCACAGATGACGTGATTTCAGTACCTGTGTATGGCTGAAAAGTGTTTGTTTGTGAATGGATATTGCGGTTTCTGGATCTCATCCTCTGCAGGTGGACAGGTAGGTTGATTCCTTATCTTGGCTATTGCGACTGGTTCCAGAGTCAGCATGGGAAGGCAGATGTGTCTTCTGTGTACTGGTGACATATGATTCCAGTGCACACCCTGCGGTAGCGTGGCTCGGTGAAATGGTCGTTGTATTTTTAGTTTTCAGAGGAGCCTCCAGGTGGCCTCTGTAGTGTGCGTACTAATTTACCTTGCCAACAGTTGTGGATAAGAGAGCTCCCCTCTCTGGAAATTCACAGCAGCATTTGTGGTTTCCCTTCTTTTAATATATATGAAGTTCTTTGTAATACTCTTTCCTTTGAGAGGGACACGATATCTGAGTCTTGTTCTGATTTTCATTTTTCTTATGATTAGTGATACTAACTAGGTGTTAACAAGTACATTTGTTTTCAGTGTTGTGTGTTCTTTGCAGAAAAGACTCTTTGGTTTCTTTGCCCAATTTTGGTTTGCTAATTACCTTCTCTTTTCTGCTGTTTTCTGCTAGTTAGTAGTGTTAGTTACTTACACCTTTTCCAAAAGTCTCCTTAGCTGTGTTTTCCCTGATATCTTTCTTATCATCCTTTGGATGTTTGTTTCTTTTCATTCATTGTTTTCGTTCTTTCTTGCCCCCAAGCCATATAGTCTGATGAGTCTGATGCGTATTCAGGGGTGTGCAGTGTTGTGGTTTTCCACTACGTTGGTTACTGATGAAATAAAGGAAATTCACTAGCATACGAATCTGTTGTGAGTTTTGCTTGTTTGTTGTTTGTATTCTTTTCTTTCCCCCATATTTTTTCGTTTTCGTTTTTGCAAACTGTAAGCATAGATCCAGGTTGACCCAGGTATCTGCACACCATATACTTTCTTCTCAGAGAGTGATAGTTTCAAGTTTTGGGTATAGGTCTTTCATTCATGTTGAATAGATGGTTGTGAATTTCACACAATAAGGACCCTATGTTGTTATTTTGCCTAGGGATATCCAGTTCTCAGAACGCTGTATTGGACAGACTCTCCATTCCTGTGGTGACTTTTGCGGTTCTTTCTAAACATGTGCTTACGCTATATCAATTTGAATTTACTCCTGGGCATCCTCATTGTGTCCGTTGGCCTGTGTTTCTCTGCTAATGCCTATCACAAATCATCTGGGTAACTAAAGTTTTGGGAAGTAGTTTAAAGTGGAAGAGTGTGATGGCTCCACCGACTTTGTGTGTGTAGGAATCTGGGTAACTAAAGCTTTGGGAAGTAGGTTAAAGTGGAAGAGTGTGATGGTCCACTGACTTTGTATGTGTAAGAATCTGGGTAACTAAAGCTTTGGGAAGTAGTTTAAAGTGGAAGAGTGTGATGGCGCTCCACTGACTTTATGTGTGTAGGAATCTGGGTAACTAAAGCTTTGGGAAGTAGTTTAAAGTGGAAGAGTGTGATGGTCCACTGACTTTGTGTGTGTAGGAATCTGGGTAACTAAAGCTTTGGGAAGTAGTTTAAAGTGGAAGAGTGTAATGGCGCTCCACCGACTTTATGTGTGTAGGAGCTGCTTTGGGAGTGCGGGGCACTTCGTTGTCCCACAGGACTTTCAGAAATGTGATGTGATCCTATTTGAAAACAAAAATTTCACATGGTCTATGCTTTTACTTTAAGGGTGCAAGGGACCGTTTGACATATGGATCAGTGCTGTTGTGATCAGATTACAGGAACTCGCGTCTTTGTTTCAGGCTACAGTGAGGATTTCTTGGTGGAGAGCATACCCCGATCACCCCTTCACGCTATATCGAATATCATGCTAGGGTATTGTTAAGCCTAGTCACCCTGCTAAGCCGTAGAACACCAGAATTCTTGCCATTCATCTGAGTGTCACTTTGTAGCTGTTTCCAAGCCTCCCCTCAGCCTCTGGTACGCACTGCTGACATTGCTCCTCTATGAGATTCACTTCGTTAGATTCCACGTGCATGAGATTGTGCTGTGTTTGTGTTTGTCCTCCTGTGCCTGGCTCATTTCCTTTAACTTAATGTCCTTCAGGTTTCTCCACCTTGCTGGAAGTGACCTGATATCCAGAAGTTTGATGGCTGAGGAGTATACCATTGTGCTTGCGTCCTTCATTTCCTGCATTTCTTCCTCCATGGATGGACAGGTAGATTACCTCTATACCCTGGTTATTGTCCAGAGTACTTCATCAAACATGGGAAGGCAAATATCTCCTTAAGTTTCAAGTTTCCTTGGCTTTGCCGGTATACCCAATGTTGGGATGGCTAGAGGAACTGGTAGTTGTATTGTCGTTTCAGAAACCTCCTGCTGTCTCTCCCAGTGGATATACAAATTTGCATTCCTACCAATAGTGTGTGAGAGTTTCTCTGTCTGCAAATCTACACTGCCCTTATCTTCAAAAAGTTTTATTGCTGTTCCTGGTCATACTCGTTCTCTGGGGAGTTTGGCAGTATCTGAGTGTGGTCGGGATTTACATTTAGGGGATGATTACTGATGTGGAGAAACTTCTGTTACCTGCAAGTCTGTTTCAGGTCTTTTCAGAAATGCCTATGCCAGTCCTTTGGGCATTTTTAGTGTATGTATTGTTTTTTATGATTTTTTCCACTTAGGACCATTAGTTTCTTGAATATGTTAGATAAGAAGCCCTTCCAGATCCACAGTTTTCCATAATTTTCTCCCAGTCTGTGGGATGTCTTCTGTTGGGTTCACTGTTTTCTCTCCAGTGTTGAAGCTGTGTGAAGCTCTGAAGTTGTCCTTAGTCTCACGTGGTCACATGAGCTTTTGTTAGCGGTGATTTCTGTGTCCCTTTGAGAAGTAGAGCGAGATGGCAAAGCCATTGTATGGTCTACGGGTAGTTGATTCCTATGTGTTTTCTGTTTGTAGCTTAGGTTCACAGGTTCAAGTTTCCCCACAGTAGACACACACCCTATGTGTTTTCCTTGGAGGTTTTGGTTTCACAATTGCTCTTTGGTGTTCAGTGGATTTTGTGTCATTTTTTGTGTCTTGTGTAAGAGAAGGGTTTATTTCAGTCCTTTGCACATGAACCCCCCAGTTTGTTCAACCATTGTGCCTTTGGTGTGCTTTTGGGGGAAAGCAAGAATCCCATGGGTTCAGTGTTTATAATTGTGGGTTGATTATTTGGCTCCTTTGTTGTGTCCATTCGGTTATCTTTCTGTGTTCATGCCACTAATGGATGGATTGGGCCACTGTAGGCTTTTTCTTTTGTTTTGTGTGTTTTCTTGTATTTTTTTCCTTTTTTTCCATTTCCATTTCCAAAGCTGGGTTTTCTAAAATGATAGCTACTTTTATTGTGATGGAGGGGTGTATGCCTGCAGGTTCATTTCACTACATGGCTATACAGCAGACTTTTGATGCTTGAGGTCCCAACTTACCCGTCACCCAGGCAGTGAACACAGCACCAGTTGGATCATTCTTCCTCCAAGGCTTCCTGTCTCCCTCCTTTTTCTGTCTGGTAGTACCCAACGTCTGTTGATTTCATCTTTATGTTCGTGTGTGTTCAGTGTTGAGTTTCTGCCTGTAAGTGAAAATCTGTGGTGTTTGGTCTTTTGTTCTTGCCTGAGTTCGCTTAGCAGAGTGGCCTGCAGTTCTATCTATGTTGCTGCTGAGGGCATGATTTTGTTTCTGTGTTTGATTTTCCTTGGTGGCTTGTTAGTATTCTGTGGTGTATAGGTATCACATTTAAAAACACCTGATTTTCTGTTGGTGGGCATCTAGGTCAGGTCCACGTCTTTATTCCTGTGAGTAGCACTCCCATGAACATGCAAATGTGTGTGTCTTTTTGATAGACACATGTATTTTTCCCTGGGGTAGATACACAGGGTTGGATTGCTGGGTAGAAGGGTAGCTCTGCTTCCTTTCCCTCTTTGTTGTTGTTGTTGAGGAATCTTGAAACTGCTCTCCGCAGTGTGAGACCTAGTTTGCATTACCCCAAGAGTGTAGCTGTTTTCGCTTTTATGTACTGCTACACAAATATGTTTTGTGTTTGGACAAATGGCCATTCTGACTGGTATGTGATGGCACTGGTACCTCATCTCTGATGATTAGTGATGTTGAGCATTTTCTCGTGTCTGTTGGTCTTTTTTAGGTCTTGTTTTGACTAGTGTGTTTGTATCATTTGCCCATTTTTTACTTGTGTTATTTTTCTGCTTCTTGATTTAGGTAAGGTCCTCTAGATTCTGGCTGTTAGAACTTGGTCAGATGCTTGGTTTGGGAACATTTTCTCCCATCATGTAGTCTATGTGTTTACTGTGTTGGCAATTGCTTTGCTGTGCAGCAGGTCCGTAGTTTCTTAGGCCAGACTTGTACTTTTTGTTTTTTCTTGCATTTCTTTTGGGTACTAAATTGTCTTAAGTGGTTTGCAAAAGCCTATGTTGAGAAAGGTGTTTAATAGGTTGTCTGTTAGGACTTTTATATTTGAAGTCTTCTATTTCAGTCTTTGGTTCATCTTGAGTTAATTTTCCATATGATGACAAGCAGGGCTGCAGTGTTAATTGTCCTGCACATGGCTAGTCATGTATCCCAGCGCCATTCATCGCATAGTGAGCCTTTTCTTTCTTATTTCTGTGGTTTTGTCAAAGGTCAGATGGTTGTACTTCTGCCAGGCTACTTCTGCATTTTCTAACTTGTCTAGGTGAAAGCTAGGTCATTTTTTTTCTGTTACGATCTATTCTGATTTCTTGGGTTCAAGAACAGATAAATAAATTTTAGAAACTGAAGAACCCACTTAGACATTCTCAAGGTTAGAAACCATCACCATCATCCTATTCTGTGATGCTATGGACTTTATTGAGTTACATCTTTGCCCTTTTCCCTCAAGTCTCTCCTCTGGATTTATTTTGTGAAATTAGATTCTGAATCACATTTTGTTGCATAAACTGTGCTTGAGCAAAAAAAAAATTTTTTTTTCTAAAAACATCCTTAGTATACATGGGGTGAAGAACAACAAACGTGTCTCCTCTTTCCACTAGTCACACCATTACACTCCTTTCCAGCCTCTTTGCTGCTGCATATGGCCATTCAAATGAGCCCTAGCTAAGTACATGTCGATAGAAGTTAATGTTTGCTTCTTGCAAGCCTGGCCCGTGATTCTATGTTCTGATTTAGAACATTCTGATTTAGAACATAAAAAGGAAGTGAGACTTGCTGAATGAGACAGAGAAAGCACTCTTGAACGCTTCCTCTGACAAGCTCCGAGGCACACTAGTTGTTTTGCAGTGCTTTGGACAGCTACTCATTTGTTGGACAATAATTTCCCAACATGGGGACAACCCAGAACATTTTCCACGTTCATATTCTGCTTCAGTTGCTCATGGTTTTGGTCAAAGCTAGACAGTGACTAATGCAGGAGACTCAGACCCCAGGCCAGCGTGGAGTCCTGTGGTTGAAGACAGGCTGGACCGTCAGAGGAAGAAAACAGCCATTTTTTCTGGATTTTCACTTTCTCTGTTTTCAGGAAACCTGAAGCCGGTTATGTTATTCAGGCATGACTGAAAAGAGATTATTTTGAGTTGTTTTGGTGGCACCAAGAAATGTGCCAATGTGACGGCCAAAAAAGCAGAAAGACCAAGGCATTGAGTGTGGGAGAGCCACTGATGATGCTGGGTTTGGTAGGCTTTTCGAGATCTCCCAGCCCCAAAACAGCCAAGCAACTTTGTCCTGGGTTGTGAGTGGGCTCAGCCCCTGTGTACACCCATGCTTGGATTCTGGCACACATGGCACCCACAGGAGGCAACGCCCCCTCCAGGAGACCGGTTGGCAGGACCCTGTCTCCACACGTGAAGACAGCAGGCAGAACCCACACGTCCTCTACTTCTCCCAGTGCCAGTCACCCATGGGGGTTCACGATGAGACTCACAGGTCCAACCTGCAGGCAGAGTTACCACCCCAGCCTGAGTCAAAGTGGACCTTTTTCTGCCAGAGGGGTCTGCTTTCCCATTGGCCAAAATGGCCTCAAATGACAGGGACAGAACAAGGCACAAGTGCCCATTAGAGTGTCTGAGCCCACCTGCTGTCTGCTCCCACACATCTCCTGGGAGGTCCCAGCAGGCACCCAGGCCTGGGCCACAGCTTACCCCACATTCAGAAGTGGATAGCACAGCTGCCCTGTGCAGGCCTCAGGGAGGAGAGGGAGAAAGAGAGATGACAAAAGCAAGACAGAAGAAATGCAGCAAAAGCACACACACACACACACACACACACACACACACACACACGCACACTGACACTCATCTGGGGCAGGCCATCCTGTCACCATGACGAGCAGTACAGGCAGCCGAGAGCCGGGCAGGAGGCGGTGCCGCTGTCCCCTGAGTTAGGGTCTGGATCCAGGGAAGAATATAGAGTCCATAGAGTCAAGGGCCACTGACCTCAGGACCTGCAGTTTGCAGGGAGGGGATGCTGTGAGAAGAACTGTTCCACGTCACAGCTAAATATGTCTGACTTCAAGAAAATATTTCAAACCAAAGTACATTTATGGAAGATTCTCGATGATATAAAAAAAAGCACAGTTTAGAAAATGGGAAAGCAATCACTGGACAGATTCATATATTTTCATCTAAATTTAGTTACAGAGTTTTTCTAAAACTGGGATCAGGCCAGGTATGGTGGCTCAGGCCTGTAATCCTAGCACTTTGGGAGCCTGAGGCAGGAGGATCACTTGAGACTGGGAGTGGGAGACCAGCCTGGGCAACATGGTGAGACCCCTTATCTCTACCAAAAATACAGAACTTGGCCAGTCATGGTAGCACGCCCCTGTAGTCCCAGCTACTCAGAAGGCTGAGGTGGGAGGATTGCTTGAACCTGGGAGGTTGAGGCTGCAGTTAGACAAGATTGCACCACTGCATTCCAGCCTGGGTGACAGCCCGTCTCAAAAAATAATAACAATAATTCCTGATTTTAATAACGATTCTGGAGTTGTGTAGGTTCTCACTCACGTGGGAGCTAAAGAAACTTGATCCCATGGACAAAGAGAATACAATGGCAGTACCAGAGGCCGGGAAGACTGGGTATGTGGAAGGGAGAATGAAGAGAAGTTGGCTATTGGGTACAAACCTACATTTAGAAGAAATAGGCTGTAATGTTTGACAGCAGGCTGTGGTGGCTAAGTAATATTATTATGTGTAAATATTCAAAGTAACCAGAATACACATTTTATGCATGTAACAAGTATTTGTATGTACCCTACAAAGAGGTAAAATATTATGTGTCAGTAAGATGGAGAGGTTATGCCCAAGCCTCCAGAGAGGGGCTCCTTGGATCCACACAGCACATCTTGCCCACCTGCATCCATTGCTGCACTATGCTCGTCATATCTGGGCCTTCATGTTCTGGTCCCCAAGGCAGGTGATGCTGAGTCAGGTGGCCACACTGTGGACCTGGGTGTTGGTGGCCCAGAGGGTGGGTGCTAGAGGCTTCCTGCCCTTCTTGTTCCACTGGGACCAGATGGAGCCAGGCAGTGACAGGCTACCACCTTCTTGACCAGATCCTGGAACACAGGAGTGTCTCACCTGGCCCCTCATCATCCCAACTTAGCACCCAAAGTACCTTCGGGCCTGGACCATGGCTGGGCCGGAACTCAGGATGGTTAGGATGCAGCTCAAGCCTTGTGGCATCTCTGGGTTCTCTGTCCACTGAGGGTGCCCTGGGACACAAAGCTGGTGGGAAGAGGTTGGCATTTCCCCAGCCTATCCTTACTCATGCCAAGCACCCCAGACTGTCCTTCCTGGTGCATTGCCCTGGTCACATTCCCCAGGGCAGCTCAGGGCTTTGTTTAGGGATTTCCCATAGTCAGGTGCCTGATAAGTGTTGAGATGTGCAAGGCCACGTGGGCAGATGGGTAGGTACTCTTTGGTGAGCACCCCCAGCAGGGCAGTCCCCCACCCAGGTGTCTACCTGCTCCTGCTTGTGTTTGACTGTTACAGCACCTCATGCCAGGGCCACCAGCTCCCATCCCTCCTGTCAGGAAGGACACAGACAGCAAGCGTCTGGGGGTAAGGCATTTGCCAGGTGACACAGGTGGCGAGTGCCGGAGCTGGGATTTGAACCCGGATCATGGTACTCTGTATGGGGCAATGGAAGGTTTGAGGATGCCCATGTAGGAAGGAAGGGCAACGTGGCCCCACTGAGCCCAGCTGCTCCCTGTGAGCCTGGAGGAAATTGCTCAGCCCCCCAGCTGGGGAGAGAGTCCAGGAGGCCAGGCTTTCTCTTGCTTCCTGGCTCAGGGGATCACAGAGGAACAAGGAAATTTAGTGTGTGTGTCTTCTTTTTGTTTCATTCAAAATTTAATTTAGTATCAAGCAAGAGGAGCTTTAGCTTAACCCTGCATATCAGGCAAGATTTCAGTTACAAAATAGTACCTTTTTTTTTTTTTGCACTTGTGATTGGCTTTTCCTCTACTTCTTTTGGTAAGAGCAGGTTGGTGTCCAGGCTCAGAATCCATTTTTCCTCCCACACCAAAGCACCTGTGGTGTGGGTGAAGCAGACTGGAGCCTGGCTGCATAAAGCTTTGCAGCAGGAGAGTCCTGGCAGGAGCATTGAGGTGCCACTGCCCTGGTCCAGCTCAGAGGCCAGCACCAGGGAGGCTCAGTGTCTTGTTCTCAGGATCTGCACGTGGGGTTGCCTTTCTGCATCTCCCCATCAGTGGTAGGTGCTCCTCCAAGCCCCCTCTTGCTGGCCTGGACACAGCGGCCTGCACCTTGACCCTATTGCATGCCAGTGGAGCAGAGCCCCCCAGGCCAGAAGCCCCACAGATGTTGGCCCTGGCTTGGACAGGCAGGGGGCACCGGGGCAGGAGCTGGCTGCGATCCTGTGGCCCCAAATGCCCCCTCGCTGATGGCCTCGTGTTCTGGGTGTGGAGCAAAGAGGAGCAGGTATCGAAGGCACCTCAGGCAGGTGCTGGGCTCAGTGGGCGTCTTGTGCTCCATGATTTTTTTTTTCAAATTTTATTATTATTATACTTTAAGTTTTAGGGTACATGTGCATAACGTGCAGGTTTGTTACATATGTATACATGTGCCATGTTGGTGTGCTGCACCCATTAACTCGTCATTTAGCATTAGGTATATCTCCTAATGCTATCCCTCCCCCCTCCCCCCACACAACAGTCCCTGGTGTGTGATGTTCCCCTTCCTGTGTCCGTGTGTTCTCGTTCCATTCCCACCTGTGAGTGAGAACATGCTCCGTGATTTTGAGGCCATTTGCAGCCAGCTCCGCCAGCCGGTGCTCTGAGCTGCAGCAGCGGCCATGCACAACAGCACCACCAGGAGTGTCCTGGGGGCTTTCTTCAGAGGAGGCTGTCAGCATCCTCAAGTTCCAGCCCCTTAGCCCCAGTCCTGCTTCAAGAAGCTTTTTCTTTCACCAGAGGCTTCTCAATGGCCTGAAAGCTCGGCTGACTCCCAGGAAGTTTGCCGGGAAACACCAGGCTGTCAGTGACATTCGTGGTTCCAAGGCTTATGCAGGTTGCACGCATCGGCCACTGTCTGTGCCACGTGTACTGACACCACCAGAGATGCGCACGCCGCACGCCGCACGCGCACGCCGCACGCGCACGCCGCACGCGCACGCCGCACGCGCACGCCGCACGCGCACGCCGCACGCGCACGCCGCACGCGCACGCCGCACGCGCACGCCGCACGCGCACGCCGCACGCGCGGCAGTGGCTTGGCTGGCTTGTAACGGCTTGCACGTGCATGCCGTGCGCGCACACCGGACGCGTATAACGGTTTGGCTGGCCTGTAACTGCTTGCACGCGCATGCCGCACGTGCGTAATGGCTTGGCTGGCCTGTAATGGCTTGCACGCGCATGCTGCACGCGCGTTAACGGCTTGGCTGGTCTGTAACAGTCGGCATGCGCACACTGCACGTGCGTGACGGCTTGGCTGGCCTGTAGCGCTTGGCTTGGCTTTGCGTTCTTTGCTTGGCTTGGCGTTTGTCGCTTGGATTGACATTTCTTCCTTGGACTGACGTTTTTTCTGTCACGTTACTTTGCTGGACTTGACCTTTTCTCTTCTGGGTTTGGCATTCCCTTGGGTGGGCCGGGTGTTTTCTTGGGGGGTGGGGTTGGCCCTTCCTGGGGTGGGCGTGGGGTCGCCCAGCGTGGGTGTGGGCTTTCCCCAGGTGGGTGTGGGTTTTCCCTGGGTGGGGTGGGCTGGGCTCCCCTGCTGGGGTTGGCAGGTTTTGGTCGGGACTTTTCTCTTCAAACAGATTAGAAACCCGGAGTTATCTGCTAGTTGGTGAAACTGGTTGGTAGACGCGATCTGCTGGCTACTACCGGCCTCCCCTGGCTGTTAAAAGCAGATGGTGGCTGAGGCTGGTTCAATGCCGGCTGCCTCCTCTGTGAAGAAGCCATTTGGTCTCAGAAGCAAGATGGGCAAGTGGTGCCGCCACTGCTTCCCCTGGTGCAGGGGGAGCGGCAAGAGCAACGTGGGCACTTCTGGAGACCACGACGATTCTGCTATGAAGACACTCAGGAGCAAGATGGGCAAGTGGTGCCGCCACTGCTTCCCCTGGTGCAGGGGGAGCAGCAAGAGCAACGTGGGCACTTCTGGAGACCACGACGACTCTGCTATGAAGACACTCAGGAGCAAGATGGGCAAGTGGTGCTGCCACTGCTTCCCCTGCTGCAGGGGGAGCGGCAAGAGCAAAGTGGGCCCTTGGGGAGACTACGACGACAGCGCTTTCATGGAGCCGAGGTACCACGTCCGTCGAGAAGATCTGGACAAGCTCCACAGAGCTGCCTGGTGGGGTAAAGTCCCCAGAAAGGATCTCATCGTCATGCTCAAGGACACTGACATGAACAAGAAGGACAAGCAAAAGAGGTAACCAGGCCTGGGCTGGGAGGAGGTGGGATGTGGGAGGATGATGGGGACATACCCTCCTGGCGGGGGAGGAGGGGAGCCTGGTTTTCTCGCCTCCGCAGGCCTCACACCACCCTGGATGTGGAAACCTCAGAGAGTTCAGGGCACAGGCCCCTTTATGAGCAGCAACACAAAAACAAAACTTTAGCTGATTTCCAATCAAATTATAATTTCCCTCCTAGAACACTAATAGACTGTTTTGAAGTGATTTAACTCGCAACATTGTCGATGCAGCAGATTATTTTTAATGTACAGATTTTAAAACAATGTTCTGTACGTTAAAAAAGTGTATATTGAGAACTAAGAATGAAGCCCCATAACACATCAACTTCAGGGCTAAATATTCTTCAAATAAAATCCAGTATGGATTTTATATCAATGTACACTATGTAAATATGTTCTTTACTGAGTAATCTTAGAAGATTACTTAGAAGAACTGAAATGGGAAGATGGTTCTTGTGCTTGAATAGGAAGATTGAATTTTCTGAAGATGTGAGCTTTTTGGCTGGGCGTGGTGGCTCACACCTGTAATCCCAGCACTTTGGGAGGCTGAGGAGGGCAGATCATGGGGTCAGGAGATCGAGACCATCCTGGCTAACACGGTGAAACCCCGTCTCTACTAAAAAATATAAAAAAAATTAGCTGGACGCGGTGGCAGGCACCTGTAGTCCCAGCTACTCAGGAGGCTGAGGCAGGAGAATGGCGTGAACCCGGGAGGCGGAGCTTGCAGTGAGCCGAGATCACGCCACTGTACTCCAACCTGGGAGACAGAGCAAGACTCCATCTCAAAAAAAAAAAAAAAGTGAGCTTTTTCTATTTATCACTTTTACTTAAGCCAAATAAAAATAGCAGTTTTAGAGTTTTTAAATTACACATGCTGTCTTTTATTATTGTGCTAAGTTAATTTTTTTGTAGCAGAATGGACAAAGGCTTGCTTTTCCAGATGTCAAAATGTGCATGTTATTTATTTCCACAAATTGTTTACTAACAGCTGAAAAGACATCAATGAATAAAACAGAACAGGAAATTTAGAAATACCGAAATATATGTAGGAATTTAGCGCTTGATAATGGTGACGTTTTGTATTATTTAAAAAAGATGGATTGTTCATAATTCATTTTTGGAGAAAACTAGCTAGATGTTTATATCACAAAAATCAGAGTATAGATTAAAAATTTTAAATATACAAAAAGAGAAACATACCAGAAGAAAACACAAGTGCCTATTTACATATGCAGATATATATACACATGTATATATATGTATATATGTATATATATATGTATATATATATATACGTATATACATATATATACATGTGTGTGTATATATATATATATATATATATATATATATATATATACAAAATTTCTTTTTTTTTTTTGATGGAGTCTCACTCTGTTGCCCAGGCTGGAGTGCAGTGGTGCGATCTCGGCTCACTGCAACCTCTGCCTCATAGGTTCAAGCAATTCTCTGCTTCAGCCTACTGAGTAGCTGGGATTACAGGCGCCTGCCACCACGCCTGGCTAATTGTTTTGTATTTTTAGTAGAGATGGGGTTTCACCATCTTGGCCAGGCTGGTCTTGAACTCCTGTCCTCGTGATCCACCCACCTTGGCCTCCCAAAGTGCTGTGGTTACAGGCGTGAGCCACCATGCCTGGCCTATATATGCAATAAAATAAGCACATTTTAAAATTGGGCAAAGTACTTTTTTGCATATCTACCAGTGACCTATGTGCATAGGAAAAGATAGCATTCCTGGTAGAAGAAGGAATTTAAATTAGAAGAGGAATGAAATACTGTTTTCTATTTAAGTTAGAGGAGGAATGAAAGGCCAGGTGCAGTGGCTTACGCCTGTTACCCCAGCACTTTAGGAGGCTGAGGCAGGTGGATCATGAAGTCAGGAGTTTGAGACCAGCCTGGCCAGTGTGGTGAAATCCTATCTCTACTGAAAATACAAAGAATTAGCTGGGCATGGTAGCATGCACCTGTAATCCCAGCTACTCAGGAGGCTGAAGCAAGAGAATTGCTTGAACCAGGGAGGTGGAGGTTGCAGTGAGCCGAGATCGTGCCACTACATTCCGGCATGGGTGACAGAGTGAGACCCCATCTAAAAAACAAACAAACAAAAGGAATGAAATACTGTTTTCTATCCACAAAGTTTGTGAGGATGAATAACAGTGGTACTTATATAGTTGTTTAAAGTTTAAGTTGCTGCAGCTTTTCAAACAGGCACTTTAGTGGTAAGAACCACATTTTAAAAATGTTATGCTTTTTCCTCATCAGTTCCATTATACTGAAATATCTTCACCAAATAGATGTCTGTTTTTCTTAGTATTGCTTAAAATAGCAGTGTATTTAGAAAAGCCCATATAAAGATTTCATGAACAAATTTCAGTGCATCCATAGGACGGAATAATATGTAACTATTGAGGGTGTCAGTACATAGAGATATGTCGACATGCAAAGATGTACTTTGCTATAGCAAGTGAGAAAAAAATCAGTTTGTTACACATATACACGAACAGAATCTGCTCTTGTGTTAGCTGAAAATATGTAGAAAATATAATCAAACTTGTTTCTGGGGATTTGTAAATGAAGTTTTTCCTTTTATCTGTGATTTCTGCAATGAACATCTGAACTTTTAGTTTAGGTTCAT
The DNA here is from genome assembly GCF_000001405.40 of Homo sapiens. NCBI lineage: Eukaryota > Metazoa > Chordata > Mammalia > Primates > Hominidae > Homo > Homo sapiens. The sequence continues at coordinate 19,431,070 of NC_000014.9, read as the reverse complement.
TAGTAATGACATAATCCTTGGGAAGAGAAGGAATATGCTTCTTGCATAGATGCAAATAATTTCTCACATTCTATTATTTATTTTTATTTCTGTGGTTGGCTATCTACTGTGAACTTTTACCCTCTTCAGAAGTAGAGGGATTGTGTTTACCTGTTCCTGTAGATTTTATTGTATATAGATTTTATCACATAATTACCTTTTCATTATATATAGATTAACATGTAAAAAGTATGAATTAATCATTTTAGTTGAGTTATATATTTATGAAAATTAAAATAGCAAATATAAATGATATTACTATTGCAAATGTATTGCCCTACTCTACAGGAGTTTTCTTTAAAAATATTGAACTCCCAAGCTGTGTTCATCCATTGTTTTCAATCCGTTTAGTCATCAGACATAAGCCAGACGCCTATTATGGGGCAGGCATATTCTACTATCTCTCAGGATCCTTCCATCTTTGAAAACATTTATGTTTGCCTGCTGGGCTTGAGCAAGCTGAGAGATTTAAAATTGGGGCATTAGGACTTAATCTCAATTGAAGCTTCTCCTCCCTCCTTTCAAACAGAAGCATTTCTGAAGGTAGAAAATAGTAAAAGACAACCCTTAACTGCCCTTTTGAAAATGTATAAGTCTTGGATAAAGACTGTTTTAGTTGTTTTAAGAACTAAAATGTGGTACATAAACAGCATGGAATACTATGCAGCCATAAAAGAAGGAACGAGAGCCTGTCCTTTGCAGGAACATGGATGGTGTTGAAAGCCATTATCCTTAGCAAACTAACATAGGAAGAGAAAACCAAATACTGTATGTTCTCACTTATAGGTGGGAGCTAAATGATGTCAACACACAGATACCTAGAGGGAAGCAACACACACTGGGGCCTATCAGAGGGTGGAGGGTGGGAGGAGGGAAAGAAGCAGGAAATAGAATGAACGGGTACTGGGCTTAACACCTGGGTAATGAAATAATCTGTACAACCAACCCCGTTGGTGCACGTTTACCTATGTAACAAACCTGCACATCCCGCACATGTACCCCTGAATGTAAAAGTTGAAAAAAGCTCCACAAATAGTTTCATAAATCCATTTTAAAAAGAGAAAATTTATAACAGTCTTAAATCCTAATATGAATGATTGGAAATATCTGATGTACATACATTGTATAAATCTAAGTATTGAAAAAAATGAGCCCATGCTATTCATTTCAATTCCAAGTTTTGTTTGGCTTAAAGTTTATTGAAAACCAAAGTAAGAATTGGTTTATTTTAGAAATTTGTTTTTGTTTTCACTTCAGCTCTCTTATTCCATAGTACTTTTAAGAACTAAAATTTAAATGCTGGTCATCTGACTGGAACCGCCCCAGACCTGTTACATTATAACATATTCTACTTAATGTAAGGCACCAGAGATTGTACGATGCCCCATTATTTTATGTCTCAATAAGAGAATTATTTAAATGCCACCAATTATAGTAAATCATGAATTGTAAGTGGTATTTCAGTGGAGACAACATGGAGACAATGATCATCTCAGAATCACTAAAATACAATGTTAGCTGTAATATTTAAAACACACCTGAAAGTGTAGGTATAATTGTATCATCTCACTTAATTCAAATGTTGTCTTTAGTGGTATTAGTAAAAATCATAATATCTAACAATTATTGAGCTGTTATTTGTGTTAGGAACTATTCTGTATCTTTTGTGCCGAGTCTCATTTAAGCATTACAGTGGTTTCCTGTGAGAAAGCTACTATTTTCATTCCTATTTTATTGATGAGGAAACTGAGACCCCAAAAGGCTAAGCAACAGCCAGAAAGTGACAGAGCTTCAAGTAGGATTCCAGCCCAAGTTGAATGTCATCCAAGGGCTATGCTCTTTGTATTCATATAGGCTGCTCTTTCATTAATACAGCGAGTAATGAGAGATAATAAATCGTGTGCTTTTTTCATGGGAAAGTTAAATGTTTGTTTTGAAGGCACAGTAATAGCAGGCTATTCAGTGTTTGTGATTATGTGTGTCATTGATATGGCTGTAGCTAGTGCACTACAATTTCCTAAAAAGTCTTCTCACCCTCATAGGACTGCTCTACATCTGGCCTCTGCCAATGGAAATTCAGAAGTAGTAAAACTCCTGCTGGACAGACGATGTCAACTTAATATCCTTGACAACAAAAAGAGGACAGCTCTGACAAAGGTATGCAGTAGCCAACTATGTCAGCGTGAAGTGGGTTTGATTTCAATACATAGCATAAAAATGAGTTTTCTCCTTTAAATATAACTAGTTGGTGAAAGCTGTGGAATGTTATTTTGAAATCCTAGGATTTGTAATTTGTTTATGGTGTAATACTGACAGGCCGTACAATGCCGGGAAGATGAATGTGCGTTAATGTTGCTGGAACATGGCACTGATCCGAATATTCCAGATGAGTATGGAAATACCGCTCTACACTATGCTATCTACAATGAAGATAAATTAATGGCCAAAGCACTGCTCTTATACGGTGCTGATATCGAATCAAAAAACAAGGTATAGATCTACCAATTTTATCTTCAAAATACTGAAATGCATTCGTGTTAACATTGACCTGTGTAAGGGCCAGTTTTCCATATTTGGAAGCTCAAGCATAACCTGAATGAAAATATTTTGAAATGACCTAATTATCTAAGATTTTATTTTAAATATTGTTACTTTCAAAGAAGCATTAGAGGGTACAGTTTTTTTTTTTAATGCACTTGCGGTAAATACTTTTTTTTGAAAACACTGAATTTGTAAAAGGTAATACTTACTATTTTTCAGTTTTTCCCTCCTAGGATTCTTTTCCCCTAATGAATGTAAAATGGCAAAATTTGCCCTGAAATAGGTTTTACATGAAAACTCCAAGAAAACTTAAACATGTCTCAGTGAATAGAGATCCTGCTTCTTTGGCAAGTTCCTAAAAAACAGTAATAGATACGAGGTGATGCACCTCTCAGTGGCAAGGCTTAAGATATTTCTGATTGCTCATGAGGCAGAAGTGGAAAGGGAAAAAGAGAGCAGTCAGAAATATCAGGGCCAATTTGGAAATTAGGCAATAGAGGGAAAAGACCATGAAGAGGTTGTGTGTGTGTGGTGTTGTTGTTGTTGTTCATTTATTTATTTCCTTTGTATGGTGAGACAAAGTTCTCTTTGATTTTAGAGAATGACAGTTTTCAGTTTGGGAGAGGGAGTTAGTGGGTTGTAAACTGCCTAGAGATGAATTTTAGGAGGCCTCTGAGGAACCAGATTGGCAGTGAATAGGTGGGTAATGTAAGGGGAAACCCTTGAGCAGGGGGAATATCAAGTAATTAACTGACTTAGTATCCTCTTCTGGTAGAAGTGGCCAATTAGAGCCTCAGCTCTGCTTTCAAATCTAGAGTGTCTGGATGGGAAGGTGGAAGATAAATGAGTAACAAGATCAAGTTGGATTTTGAGTTGACTAGATCCTGTTGTGTTACCGGGAAAAATTATGTGGTGTTTTCAGCAAATGGGTCTCTCTCCTACTCTTTACTCTTTTTGGCCAAATCTTCAAATAAGAAAGGGAATTGGTTATGTGGGTGGTGAGAAATGAGACTGAAGTAATTGTCTATTGTACTAGCTTTCAGCTAGAATTGTGCATCCCAGTAACCTGAGGAAAATTTTTAAATAATCAACAAGTCTAGGCTTATTCCTGAAGATTTTGATACAGTAAGTCTAATAAAGCTTGGATATGTATATTTAAAAATGTTTCCTTGAAGCCAGGCATGTTGGTGCATGGCTGTAGTCCCAACTGTTAGGGAGGCTGAGGTGGGAGGATTGCTTGAGCTCAGGAGTTCGAGTCTAGCCTTGTCAACATAATGAGCCCCTGTCTCTAACAACGACAGCAACAATAACAACAGCAACAATTTTCTCAAAATCTGGATACACTCCTGCTTAAGAACCACTGAATACATAAATGTAATATATAAATTCTTATATCTCAGAAACTTAAGGTATCTCTAGAAGAGTTGGAGTTGGATATGTGCTGATTTCTTTAAATCTTTCCTTTCCAATAACATTAATCTGACTTTTTTTTTTTTTTTTAGATTGAGTCTCACTCTGTTTCCCAGGCTGGAGTGCAGTGGTGTGATCACAGCTCACTGCAACCTCGACCTCCCGAAGCTCAGATGGTCCTCCAACCTCAACCTCAGTTGTTTTTTTCTTTCTTTCTTTTTATTTTTATTTTTATTTTTATTTTTTTTTAGTAGAGATGAGGTTTTTGCCATGTTTCTCAGGCTGGTCTTGAACTCCTGGGCTCAAGCAATTCATCCCCCTCAGCCTCCCAAAGTGCTAGGATTACAGGTGTGAGCCACCATTCCTGGCCTAGTCTGACTTTTATCTCTGTGGTTGAGACATTAAAATGAATATTATTGGTAGTATCTATCAGGTTACAGAATAATATATTTTCCTTTCTACCATCAGTTATTCACTGCCATTCAGAAGGTCTTTAGTAGTTTGCTGTGAGCAGTCTTTCAATAAGTAGAGGATGGCCCTCTCAGGATTTTGTGTCTCTTTGTTCAGTCATTCAAGTGCTTAGGTCAGTAAGTCATTAAGAGCAGAGTTTTCTCAATTGGAATTAAGCAAATTCTAAACTGTTTTTTATCAATTGAAGCTGTATTGTGGACTGTCCAGTGTGTCTCTTTAAGTATGTAGAGCTTTGGCATAATCAGCATGGCAGTTTTACACACTTAAAACCATGGAGTTATTAAGAATACAGATAGAAATTCTGTTAATTTAGTTTCAGTAGTCCTATGAACTGATTATTTAGTAACAATCTGGGAAAATTAAATATAAATAGATTTTAAATAAATAAATGTTGGAAAATTTTTTCAGATGGGCAGTGTGAGTTTTAATAGCAATTTTTGTTGCATGTTGGAGGTTGAACTTTCAGTAAAACATGAAACTAAAGAAATATTTTACATGCAAATTCTTGCTTTATACGCAATTTATCTTAGGGTTGAGGATATAGAAACAAAAGATACAGCCCCTGCCCTCAAGGAGCTCTTTGTTTAGATGGGAAAAATATTACCATCCAATAATACCATATCAAATGCTGGGTTAGAAGCAAAGAGCCTTGGAAGCAGTAAATGTTTAAAGTGAGTTTTTGAGATGAGTAGAGTTACTGTGGTGAGGCAGAGAAGGGGTGTTTCCAAGGGAAGGAGCAGCGTGTGGGAAAGCACAGAAGAGTGAGAAGGAAGCGACTACATTTTATTTACTTTCTATGCATGTAAGTCCATAAGATCTTATATAAAGTTTCCACTTCGGTTGAGGAATATGTACTTTTTTGAATTACATACGTTTTTGCTTTATATTGTTTTACAGCATGGCCTCACACCACTGTTACTTGGTGTACATGAGCAAAAACAGCAAGTGGTGAAATTCTTAATCAAGAAAAAAGCAAATTTAAATGCACTGGATAGATATGGAAGGTATAGTTCTTTCTTTTAATCTGTGTGTTCCAGATGGATAGCAGTCACTCAAGTCATAAATATTAAATAAGATTAATGTATACTTATTGGGATATAGTGATCAGTATGAACACAAATCAGTTCGGTAGAAAAACAATTATTTGGACTGGGCAACATAAAAGTTTTAGTAGGATTCATCTTTTATTATATTGACTGATGTTATTTGCTATGTAATGTTTTTGGTTACATGATCTTATGTTAGCTAAAGGGATTTCATATTTTATGAAGTTTGAACTTTAATTTTAGTTTACTTTATGACTCAGTATTGAACTTCTTAACCCTTTCTAATAGTTTTTAACCTGTGTCTTACATGCTTTTCCACTAAATACGCTGTATTAACCATAAATAGGGGTTGAAAATCCTTTTGTCTTTTCAATGATTCTGCCTTAAGTTGCTTTCTTTGAAGAATATTAATGTTAGCTTATCCCTGCATGACAATTAATTGCTGTTCCCACGTACTGTGGGTTCAACAGCTTTTTTCCTTTTTTATTTCCAGTGTATTTTGATGTTTTTATTTTTAATTGGTATGGAGAGAGGGAGTGAAGATAGTTTTAAGTGGATACACTTTTCCTTTAATGAAGACAAGCCGTAGGTGGGTGATAAAGAGAAAAAAGTTAGGCTTTAGATTCACACAATACTGGGTTTAATTCCTAACTTTCTTACTTGCTAGGTGTGTGACCTTGGGAACGTTATTTACCACCAAATATGTTGTCATATATGAAAATTAGGAGAATACATTCCTTCAAAGTTTGCTGTGCATAAGAAAGATATATGTGGCATTTAATTCAGTGCCTAGCACATGCTTATTGGCATCATTAACTGAAACTCCTGTGACTACTATTCTTACCATTATTATTAATCTTACTTGCTTTCAGCACGCAGAGAGGTCTTATTTATTTTACCCCCTAGCTGATTTTCTATTACAGCATATCAGTCTAGGGAAGCTGTGATGAAATCTTCACTTAAATCTTTGTTCATTTCAGATAAGTGGCCCTAATATTGTTTCTTGTCCATCAAAGGACTTTAAATTAGTAGCTTCTGCTATGCAATACCCCACTGAGATAAGAGGGTTTTTTTTTTGTCCCTTCCTTTTAACCTTGGTGGTATTTTACAAATATGAACACTTGAGCACTGAAGATGCTTATGTCTTTTAGTGCATGTAAATGTTTGATTCTGCACGGACAGGCAAGATGTTAAATTGGTAAAGTATATCAAATTAGCTTTTAAAATAACTTTATTACTGTTCCTATCTCTGTCATTTTAGAACTGCTCTCATACTTGCTGTATGTTGTGGATCGGCAAGTATAGTCAGCCTTCTACTTGAGCAAAACATTGATGTATCTTCTCAAGATCTATCTGGACAGACGGCCAGAGAGTATGCTGTTTCTAGTCATCATAATGTGTAAGTGTTTACATTAAAAGGCTAGTTAATGCTAAATTGAGGTTTAAAATAATTATAACAGTTACATCTTACATATCAGGTGAGATGTCATAGTTCAGTTCAGGTAGTTTTCGCGTGGCAGTGAGTTAGTCCCCTGCATCAGCCAGAAATCAGACAAAAAACAAGACAAGTTAGAAGTACCAGTGGGTGCAGGATTCTTTATCTCAGGACTTTTAAGACCTTTATCCATAGAGATCCCAACATTGTTCATTTGATCCAAGTGTAGCACCTATGCATGGGATAAAAAATAGTATCACATCTTTGATTTTTCTGATTAGTTATTTGGGTCTTGAAATGTCCAGTTTATCAGAAAGTCTTGTACTGTCTTCTGGGGACTATGTCCTAGATACTCCTTGAATTTTTCAGGAACCAAAGGGGTTCACTAAATCCAAGGAAGACGGTCCCTTTTATCAAGTCAGAAGGAGGAGAAAAAAAAGGACATTGCAATCATTCTGTTGTTTCCATTGATTCTGCTGCTGCATTGTTGCCACTCAAACTGGTCCTGCTGCCTTAAGATGAATCGGTAGATTCAGGTCCCTCAAGTCTTCATGGCAATTGATACAGTGACTTTGATGTTTTTTGTTCCCATACCTATGGTTATATGCTCAGCCATTGTTCCCAAAGCAGCAGCCCCCTGCTCTGGCCCCTGGGCATCCTGACTTTATCCACACACAAAATGAGCAAATTGACCCTTCCCCCCATATTCAGAACCTAATGTGGAACCCACATCTTAGCCAAGAATTAGCTGAGACCTTCATGGTAAGAGATCCTTTGAGGCCGTTGTTGGTCTTTTCTCTAGCAGATATTAGGTAGGCTTGTTCTAAAGGGTCAGAGGAGTTCCAAAGGGTCAGAGGGGTGGCAGAAAGAGATCAGTGTTTGTTTCTTCTTCTTTGCTACCAGATCTATACTGTGAGGCACCTTTATATCCTGTATAGAACCTTGGGCAGTAGAAAGTCCCATATGAACCTTCCCCTGAGCAGTGGCTCCCAGCTGTGGTTGGCCCCTTGAGTGACCCGATTTACATGATAATGAAAATCGTCCAAGCTACTTCCATCTCTAGCTCAAGATTTTAAGATATTTTCAAACTCTAGCTCACAGGAAGCCATTGAAGAGAAATCTCAGAATCTCAGGTAGGTTAGTTGGACTCAACAGAGCCAAGCCTTGTCCATGAAGCATCACTAGGCATGTGTAAAAGTAGGGCTTTGTGCTTGCTTCGGCGGCACATATCCTAAAATTAGAACAATACGGAGAAAGTTAGCGTGGCTTCTGCATAAGGAGGCAGCACAGATCTTTGAAGCATTCCATATTTTGTGCAGTCACTGGAAGGTCATTTGACTATTTGCTGACTAGCTCTAAGGAAACAGTGTGAATCAAAGCGAAATGGGTGCCACCCAAATATTGAAATTGTGATTTGCGCTGCAAAAATAGTCATGTAAGATGGTCTATGAGATGACTTAGAGCTGAATAACATGTTTGGTGCAAAATATATTGTTAGTATGTATGTCGAAAATGACAGAATGTCAGCTTGCTACTTCTTCATGGAAACTAAAAAAAATAAAAGTAGACTTTTGGTCTCCCATGTCAGCCGGAATTGAACATCAATATAAAGCATCATTGTAACCAACATCTGCGGGCTCAGAGTTTGAGTCTGTAGAGAAGGCTCATTGGTCCAAACCAGGTCTTAACATCCATTGGTTTTTCTGCCCTTGGTGTGATTGATCAACTCCGTAATAGTGGACAATCACATTATCTACTTTAATGAGATATTTAGGAATACATTTAGTTACAAACTATGACATAGTTGAGATGCCCTGAAATATAAGCCATAAAGAGTAGGACAACTAAGAGGCAAAATTAGGACTTAATAACATTTTCTGAAAACTACAACATTTGCATATTAGAACCTATGAACAAAATACGCATTGGGTTTTATTTGTGATTCCAAGATAATTTTAGTCATAAAGTTTAGGAAGAGATTATTCCATTGCTTTACTATTTCTCTCAGCATTTAAAAAATGTGATCTCATTAAATTTTTATCGGAACCTAGGGAAATAAGGCAGCAAAGTCCTCACTTTGTTGAAGAAGACATTGAGCCTAAGAGAAGCAAGTTGTCCAAGAACAAATAGCTGTTCATTATGGAGCTAGGACTTATGCAGAGTTGGGACACTTTCTATTATGTCAGGTTAATGCAACCTAATTTACTGGGTCACATGCCCTCGATTTATGAGTATTTCACCCTACATTTTTTTCTTCTTTAATTAGAAGCTTAAAGAGAAGTTTGCAGAATGTACTCATAAGTGGATAGGATAATACTGTTAAGTTCTGATATTCTGATATTGTTTGAAATACTGTTAAGAATTTCACATTTGGTAAGTATTTTTTATATCAGTATTAAAATAGTAATTTGGTTTATTACAATTTTATACATAGAATTTGCCAGTTACTTTCTGACTACAAAGAAAAACAGATGCTAAAAGTCTCTTCTGAAAACAGCAATCCAGGTAAGACTTATAACAGTGAATTACTTTAGGTTAGTTTTCCCCAACCTTTTTGGCACCAGGGACCGGTTTTGTGGAAGACAATCTTTCCATGGGCTGGGGAAAGGTGGGGATGGTTTCAGAATTATTCAATCATGTTACATTTATTGTGCTATTTTATATTATTATTACATTGTAATATATAATGAAATAATTATACAACTTACCATAATGTAGAATCAGTGGAAGCTCTGAGCTTATTTTTCTGCAACTAGATGGTCTTATCTGGGGGCAAAGTGAGACAATGATAGATCATCTGGCATTAGATTCTCATACGAAGCACACAACCTAGATCCTTCGGATAGGCAGTTCACAACAGGGTTCGTGCTCCAATGAGTTTCTAATGTTATCACTGATCTGAGTGGAGGCAGAGTTCAGGCTGTAATATGAGCCATGGGGTGTGGCTGTAAGTACAGGTGAAGCTTCCTTGGCTTGCCTAGTGCTCACCTCCTCCTGTGTGGTGTGGTTCATAATAGTCCGTGGACTGGTATGAGTCTGTGGCCTGGGAGTTGAGGACCCCTGCTCTGGGTGGTTCTACCATAGATAAAAAACTAAAAGTAAGGAATTTTTGATCACAAAAGAACACTGAAGCACAGGTCATGTTACATATGCTTGTCCCAATAAGGTCTCACTATTACTGACTTCATTCCTCCTCATTTGAAGTTGGAAAGAGATATATTGACTTTTTTGGAACAAGATGTGTTCTTCTACCTGCTGGTTAATTGTCATGATAACAGTAATTTTGTTAGAACAAGATGCTCTGCTACCATTTGCCAAAAGAGTGTCATAATAAATATGCAAATTGCCCAACTCTAGGCTCAGCAGATTATCATAAAAGTAGAAAAATGTTTCACACTAACAAAAATGCTAGTATGCTACCTGATTGTAGACACCTAATACATTGTATAGTCCAAACTGTATGAGGACACCTTTAATTTAGCCATCTATTTATCAAAGAGCTTCTGTAAGTTAGGTTTTATAAGTTGCAGGAGACAAAAATGGAATAGATGTAGTTTTCATCTTTAAGGTGCTCATAATAGAGCTGTCTCCATTTCATTGCTGTGCTTTTTCAACAGAATTTACAAAGAAAACATTTCTATTTTCACTTGTCCACTTAACAGATAACTATCAAATGTCTTTTAGATACTAGCCATTTTTTCTAATGCTACAGAGCACAAACAATTAAAAGTAGAGACAGGAGCTTGTTATTATCATTGTCATTTTCATTATTTGACTACTTTATTCAGTGCTTACTGTGTGCTAGATGCCCACTGGAAGCTTATAATTATGATTTATTATATATTGATTATGTGCCAGACATATGTGATGAGGAATGAAAATTTTGGAAAAAAGTAGGTATGATTTAAGGTAAGCATGCAGAGAGAGAAGAATTTTTCTAGGTAAAGAAGCAGAAGAATAATGTTTGGCAGAAGGAACATGCAACGAGGTTGTGTGTTTGCCAGAAGGAACATCTAATGAGATTGTCTGTTTGGCAGAAAGAGCAGCAAGTGCAAAAGACAAGATGCTTGAGTGAACTTTGCAGGGATTCTGAGCAATTCACTTTTGCTAATACCAAAAGTGTGAGATACGAGAGGTTGGGAATGAGGTGAATACTCAGCTAAGGCAAGTTCATGATAGACTTTTTAATACTATAGAAATGAGTAGGTTTTACCCCATGGGCCATGGGAAGTTTACCAGGTAGAATGCTTTGGACTGCAAATACTAGATGAGCGGTGGCTAAAACAGTAGGAACCAGAGTTGTTTTGTTTGTTCATTGATATCCTAGGATCCCACTTGTCCCTCTTTCAGCTGTGCTGTTGGCAGTGTTTTATTCACGTAACTGGGAGAAAACTTAGAAGCATGCAAGGGCTTCCTGTAATATTTCATTGGCTAGGTCAGAGTACCTGCTCATTCCCAAACCAGGCACTGGGAAGGAAAATACATGATTAGCTTAGAATAAACATTTCTCTTTCTGAGGCTGAGGAGGGGGATTGGGATAATAAATATCCCAATAGACTTGTGTTTCTTCTGCAAGAAAGAATAAGGAATGGCTATTGATAGGGAGCCAACAATGTGTGCTGCAGGGGCTCATTGGAGAAATTTGAGCAGGGGAGTCACAAGATTAAATTTGAGTATTAAGGCTTCTGGTTATGGTGTAAAATGGGTTAGAAAGCTTTTTCTGTAAAGGACTAGGTGGGAAATATTTTAGACTATGTGGTCTCTGTCATGTCTTCTTAACCCTGCTGTTGTCTGCTGTTGTAGTGTGAAAGCCACCAGAATTATATGTAAGCAAACAGGCATGACTGAGCTCCTATAAAACTTTACTCACAATGCCATAATGCAGATTGGATTTAGTCTGTAGCCTATAGTTTGCTGGGATTGATGGAAGGTTCTTTACTATGTAAAGAAACCAGGAGACAAAGGAAGCTTTTGCAGTAGTCAGCTATGGTTTCCTTGTCATACATCCTTGGAGTAGCATCAATGTATTACAAGGTTTTCACCTGTCCATAGTGAAATAAATAAAGTTAGGAATCTCAATTACTCGTTTTAATATGTTGGCCTTTGTTTTTGTTTTTTTTTTTTTTGGTGTTATGCTTTTTTCATTTGTTTAGCTTAATTTTTTTCCCGTAAGAAATAACATTAATTGTTGGCAGTTTTTTTTTTAATAAAAGCCATTTTGTAAATGTTCATGTTCCCAGTGGCAGTGGGAATACAAAATGGAGGCAGAAGAGAGGTATCGTCAATATGATTTAGTGATAATTGAATGAGAAAGGCTTGGGGGACAGAGAGAAATCTCAGATGATGTACAGGTTTCCAGGTTGTACACTAGTATTTAACCTAGACGTGAGGAAGGAGTAGGAAATTTTCTGGTGAATACAGAAGAGCAAAGAACAGCAGGTCAGCAGGAATGACTAATGTTTTTCTATGCATGTTTAATGGAATATTCGTGTAGGATATTTTGAGTAGGTAATTGGATAATCAGCATTTGTAACTTGCATCCTAGTAGTCTGACTCTCACTAATAAGACTTGTCAAAGTTCCAAGAATCTGAAAGTGGATGATAAATGTCCATGTGTATCACCATCCATGACCGAAAGTCAGCATCCACAGAACACAGAATTGGGACAGATGAACTTAATAGATAAAGATGAATATCGGAGTTGTTCCTCTTAGGGAATGATACTCTCCATGAGCTGTGTGAGTCACGGCTGCCAGAAAAGAAAGAGCAAGGAGCGTATGAAGGCAGCACAGCAAATTCAGTCCTAGAGTGCCCTGCTTGGCTTCGTGTCATAGTTCTGACTTCTAATAAATCATTTTCTGCAAAATATGCTCTGTGTTTTTCCCTCTTGCTGCCTGCAGCCAAACAGAATCCCTTTAGCAGGGCATTTTTGTGTTCTTCCTTTAAACAAGGCAACATATAAATAATGAAAACAAGAGAAAGAGTGGTTTTTGTATGGGATAGTATTTAACGTAAACTTGAGAGTGAGTACCAGGATTATACTTAGAATTTATGGACTGGATGGGAAGACTGGATAGAAATCTAAAGATTGCTGACTCAAACACAATGTAATTTCTTTGCTTTATTGTCACAGCTCTGAATTCACGACTCTTAGTTGTATTCATATGCACTATAACTTTACAAAGCATCTTCCCAAACCAAATCTTTACTGATTTATTATAATTTGTATGACTTTATTATAGAATTGACTTTCCAAGTGTTCATGAGAATTATTGAGAATTCGCTACATAGTATCATTTCAGTTGTGTCCACATGAATTATCAGTCACCTTGTCTTAATGAATAATGGTTCACTACAAATATTGGTTTTGGCATTTAAAGTGATCTATATCTAAATGCAGATAGGACCAGGGACCACTCTTGAACATTAATGTCCAAGCATCTTAAAATTACACATGAGGCTTTCATAATCTGACTTCTGCCCCACTCTCCATCTTTAGCCCTTTTCCCTGTGTGCCCTTTCTCTGGCATTACTGAGCTGCTGGTAGTGCCCTACTCACTCATCCTTCTGTTGTAGGCAAATACTTTCATTCTTTCAGGCCTCGCTCCCGCTCTTGCTGCTGCCGGGCATGCTGTCACCCTTTCCTGCCCTCTACCCCTTTTAATCTGGCCAGCCTCAATATTTAAGTCTCTGCTTGGGCATGTGTTCTAGAAAAGCCATCCCTGAGATGCTTTATTTTCATTCTTTTTAGACCCTAATGCCTAGCATGTATGTAGCAGGACTCAATACAAATTTTCTGAGTAAAACAAAGACTGTTTTTACAAAGATGATGTGCAAGACTCTCCCCTGCAGTTTTGGAGCAGAGGGGACAGACATATGGAGAAATAATGTACAGCTTAGGGGGTAAAGATGCCGTAGAAAAATCAGTAAAATACTAAGGCAGCCTCAAGGAAGGAGATACCTGTTTATTTGGGGAAAGACATGCAGAATCAAGGAAGACTTCACATAGAATTGTTTCAAAAGATGAAAATAAGGCTGGGTGTGGTGGCTCATGCCTGTAATCCCAGCACTTTGGAGGCTGAGGTGGGCGGATAATGAGGTCAGGAGATTGAGACCATCCTGTCCAATGGTGAAACCCCATCTCTACTAAAAATACAAAAATTAGCTGGGTGTGGTGGTGCTTGCCTGTAATCACAGCTACTCAGGAGACTGAGGCAGGAGAATCGCTTGAACCAGGGAGTCAGAGGTTGCAGTGAGCTGATCGCACCACTTCATTCCAGCCTGGTGACAGAGCAAGACCCTGGCTCATTAAAAAAAAAAAAAAAAATTAAAATAAATTTGTCAGAATTATGGAGGGAAACATTTTAGATATTAGGAAAATGTTGTACAGTAATAAAGGTGTCAGCAGTGATTTTGGAAATCATTTATAAGGTACTATTAGGAAGTGGAGAACAATATACTGTGTCACTTTATTGTTTCTACTGTATTTTAAAGCTGTGTTTATGGTGGTTTTGTTCATTTATGTTGGGTGGATGAATTTATGAGGGAATTTTTAACATGTGTGTATGTCTTCAATCTGGTGACATCTGATGTCTCCCCAAGTGGTTTTTTGAAGTTTTTGAGAATTATTTCGTAAATGACAATTTCATGAAAGATTAAACACTCAATTTATGAAATAAAATGAAATGTCTTAAATCTGTTTTTAAAAGGCAATAGTTTTTAACTGTTGTAAGTGGTTGATTTTAACTGAATATATGGATTTTTCAACAGAACAAGACTTAAAGCTGACATCAGAGGAAGAGTCACAAAGGCTTAAAGGAAGTGAAAATAGCCAGCCAGAGGCATGGAAACTCTTAAATTTAAACTTTTGGTTTAACGTTTTTTTTGTTTTTTTTTTTTTGCTTTAATAATATTAGATAGTCCAAATGAAATTACCTTTGAGACTAGGCTTTGAGAATCAATAGATTCTTTTTTTAAGAATCTTTTGGCTGGGGGGGTGGCTCATGCCTGTAATCTCAGCACTTTGAGAGGCTGAGGTGGGCGGATCATGAGGTCAGGAGATCGAGACCATCCTGGCTAAGATGATGAAACCCCGTCTCTACTAAAAATACAAAATCTTAGCCGGGTGTGGTGGTGGGCACCTGTAGTCTCAGCTACTCAGGAGGCTGAGGCAGGAGAATGCCATGAACCTGGGGGGTGGAGCTTGCAGTGAGCCGAGATCTGCCACTACACTCCAGCCTGGGTGACAGAGCAAGACTCTGTGTCAAAAAAAAAAAAAAAAAAAAAAAAAAAAAAAAAATTTTAATAGATTCTTAAAATTTATTGTAATAAATTCAGCAACCTTATTAAAAGAAGAATCAATAGATTCTAATTTAATATTTGATATTTAACTTCAACATAACCCACTATGAAATTTAAAATACTCTTATTTTAAAATATTCTTATCTGCCTTCTTGATTAGCTTATAGCTAATCTTTCCTTTTGGAATAGAGGCAAAAACAAATTTCAGAACTTTGTTCTTTTATTTTTACAACACCCTAACATGATGAAGAATGTAACATCAATTATTGGATTATATTATTAAGCAATAGAATTATGAACAATGTAACACTGATGGTCCCTGAGCTGGATTCATGGTTAAAGAGTAATCATGGCCAGTGATTGAAAATCTGCAGTTTTATATTGTCAGTCACTGATACTAAGGTTGTGGTCTCTCATTGACCTCAGTGTTTCTGTTCAGGGAGGGAACCAGGTCAAAAAAGCAACCCAACTGCCTATTAAAGGAATCATATCTTGCAGAATGGGACCTTTGGTGTTAGTGCACAAACACAATAACATTCTAATTTATTTCAGTTGCAGAAAATCAGGACAGATTAAAATTTTTATCTACTGTCATTAGTACATATTAGAATATATTAGAACTGGACTTAAGCAGATAATCTAGATACATAACACTATCATATTACAGTATATAATTTCAATTAAAATTTAAGAATTTGCATCTCTTTCTGTTTGGTGTTGATTTCGGCTCCTAATAATTTAAAGTGTGCCTACAATCCAGTTAGGAATCTTTTAAAAAAGCACTTCAGTGCACTGTGGGGGCTCACTAGTTAGGGTTTCATGAGGTAAACTCTTTTCAAGTGAGGAAGGTTTTGCAACACTACAAATGATCTGCTGATTCATTTTTGGTAGATTTAACACATAACAAGTTAAGTTTAGTCCGAACAAATAGTGACCAAGTTAAGTTTGCTGGTTCATGTTTTTCTTCTCCCTTTGGCTAAGGTGAATTATTTTTCACATGTTAGAAGCCAGTGATGTGGCAGTAGCTAAACATAGATTAAAAAGTTAATCTTAATTTTAATTATTATTTATTTTTTTAAGTTTAATTTTAATTATTTTCTAATTTTTATTGTCCATACTTGATTACTTAAGAATAAAATTATTTTAAAAACATGTGCTCCAAAAGAGGAGACATCACAGAAATACAACAAGCAAATTAACCTTCTGTTTTTGCATCTGCAGGAAATGTCTCAAGAACCAGAAATAAATAAGGGTGGTGATAGAAAGGTATACTTTTATATTCAAATGTTTGTGTTGAATTAGATTTTTACATTATGTTGTTTAACAAAGTGTAGTAAGTGTAGGCATACGTGATCCTATCATGTAAGTAGCATAAATCATCAGTGAAAAATTTAATACTTAACTCAGAATTCTATACATTGAATTTTAAAGAGATGCAAACCCTAGAGATATTCTTTCATTATTATGGAATAGTCCCGAATGGTGCCATAAAATGCTAAGTAATGCCACTTTAGGAGCTTTGGATCAATAATTTTATCTTTCTTGGTTTTAGTCTGATTATCAATAGAAAATGTGGCTAAAGTAGATAATTTTTTATTCTGTGTATTTTCCAGCTAGAAAATTTTATGGCTATCGAATGTGAAATTTGGGGAGCAACTCATTTTCTGGAATTCCATGATTGTACCTCTGCAGTTTCACTCTGCTCCTTATGTTGTGGGAAACTTTGGTTCCCATGTTTCAGTGAGCACCTTCGTGTTTTTGATATCCTAGGAACCTAATGAAAAAAGAATGCTCAAAGGCAGTGGGGGAGAAGAATATCTTAGTGCAGAAAAGGGTCATCTTCCGTTCTATTCCTGAAGCCCCACGGTGTCTCATCCTCTAAAATGACTGTTTAATGTAAAATCTAGGTGGTAAAGAGGGATGAAGACACATTTTTCATCTTTGTCTTTTTATTTATGTGTTCCCACCAGTCAAATGGGGGTAAATACATATATAAGATTCTGAAGAGTGATTGAGAATAAAAGCACAAAATAAAGGAGGGCCCTTTTTGAATTTTGGAAAATTCTGTTTTACTCATTGAAACAGAAATGAAGCAAACTTTACAAAAATTTCTGTGATATATTAGTGATATGATAAGTACATCTTAAAATTATATGGTAATAGTTCTGTGTATATGATCCAATTTAAGAGTGAAATGTTTTTAATGACTAAAATAATGATAAACTGGTCAAGTGATAAAATCAATTAAAAATATTCTTTCTATTCAATAAAGGGATAACTATCCTTAATATCAAACTTTCATTCAAGGTTGAAGAAGAAATGAAGAAGCACGGAAGTACTCATATGGGATTCCCAGAAAACCTGCCTAACGGTGCCACTGCTGACAATGGTGATGATGGATTAATTCCACCAAGGAAAAGCAGAACACCTGAAAGCCAGCAATTTCCTGACACTGAGAATGAACAGTATCACAGGTAAGTCTGTGGCAACATTGAACAGGAGATAACTCTATGCTGTGAATCTAATTCATGATGAACAAATTTTATACTTTTACTAGGATATTCAGCCTTGCCTGTTAATCAGAAAAATGAAAATCAGTAAACAATGAGTTACCATTTTTTCCAGTCATTAATTTATTTGAAAAATAGCCAGTATTGGCAAATGTGAGGGAAAAGGCATTTTCTTTTCTTTTCAGTGACCTTTTATTTTAGCTTCAGGGTACATGTGCAGGTTTATTATATAGGTAAACTGTATCATGGAGGTTTGGGGTACAGATTATTTCATCAGCCACATAATAAGCAAAATACTCGAATGGTAGTTTTTTGGTCGTCTCCCTCCTGCCACTCTCCACCCTCAAGTAGGCCCCAGTGTCTGTTATTCTCCTCTTTGTGTCCATGAGTTCTCATGTTTAGTTCCCACTAATGAGTAAGAATATGTGGCATTTGATTTTCTGTTCCTGCATTAGTTTGCTTAGGATAATGGCCTCCAGCTCCATCTGTGTTGCTGCAAGGGAAATGGTTTCACTGAAAAAGACATTTCATACACTGTTGGTAAATACATTTTGAACATTAATTTAGTAGCATATTCACACACACACAGATATATAACAGAGTAAGGATGTATAATACATGTAAAGGATATTTGTGTAGATATGTTACATACATACTTACATATAAGGACATTTATTATAGCATTATTATACTAAAAATTTGGAGCTAGTCTACTCCCTTATCAATAGGAAATAGCTCAATGTCCATACCCCCAAAATAATGTATTATGCAACCGTTTTTGAAAAATGAGGTTAGATCTAGGGTATACTGATTATTTCACAATTAAAATGTATTTAAAGCATTTAGTTTAATGACACATCTTAGGAGTTCTTGTTAAAATTCTTGTAATATCTGCTGTGTTGGAAATGGAAGCTACATGCTACATTGACACTGTACCTTGTTAGCAACAAGATTGCTAATTATTAAATTTTTGTTGTCAGTGCCTGAGTGCTGAAATATTGGACCCTCAGTCTGAATATTGCCAAGGGATTGTACATGGGGATCTATATTTAATATAAACATTTCAGTGTATTGGGTAAAACTTTTATTAAAATACATCAAAGATCTTTGATCTACTAAACCAAGAGTTGGCCAGCTTTTTCTGCAAAGAACCAATTAGTAAATATTTTAGGCTTTGTGGACTACATATATTTATTTTCTTGAGACAGGGTCTGGCTCTGTTTCCCAGGCTGGAGTGCAGTTGTGTGATCATGGTTGTGTGATCACTGCAGCCTCGACTTTCTGGGCTCTAGTGATCCTCCCACCTCAGCCTCTCTACTAGCTGGGACCACAGGTGTGCAACATCACACCCAGCTAATTGTCACTATGGACTGTAAAGTGAATAAGCATGGCTGTGTTCCAGGATACTTGACTTACAAAAACAGTCAGTGGGCTGGATTTGGCCCACAGGTGCTTATTTGCTGACCTTTGTGCTAAAAGGAAGGTGCTGCTAATGCATTGACTCTTATATGTAAAAGTGTCCTGCATGGGTGACATTATCTTTCCTTTGAGAAAAGGATATATTTGAGTATTCACCTCACCATATTTTTCCACAGTGACTTCATATAATTTTAAAAACTTCATTTATAAAATAAGATTATTTTCTGCATTTCTCTCTCTTTATTCCTGTTAATAGAACTCAGTATTTTACTGTGATCAATTACTTTGTATATTTGATGAGTGTCAACTGTCCTAGAATTGGCTGATTTTTATCAAGCAAGAAATATTCTCGTTGAGACCTTTAGTATTTCTTGGTCTTTATGTATAAGCATGAACAAAATGATAATCAGCTTATGTAATCTAGAAATGTTCTAGGGGCCTTTAAAACCTTGGTCTGGCATTTAATGCCACATGTGTATAATTTTTATAACCTTTGAAATATATAATTGTTACATAGCATTTGAAACCTCCACCTGTTATGTAAAATTTGGAAACTATTTCTTGTCTATCACTTTTCCATGACTGTGGATGAAAATTACATCATTCTCAGTCGTGAGTGTTAAGTATGTTGTCCTTTAAGTAACTGTCTACACTCACGAACTCAAATTTTCTTTCCATTCACTCTTGATCTCAATGCCAGTAAGTCTTCAATTTCAGCACTCCTCCAGAGTTGTTTTTCTCAAGGTTATCACTACTTTTTTCTGTAAATAAATCTATGCATTTTTTTCTTACACCTCATTTTATTTAATCTGTCAGCAATATTTGAGCCAATGGAGGGCATCTTCTCCCTAACGGCGTCTTCACTTGGCTTTCAGGACCTCACTCCCTCAGGCTTTTACTCCTGCCTTTCTAGTCCATTCATCACGGTCTGTTTTGCTTGCTCCTCCTCATGTTTCTCCTTTTGGACATTGCTGTTTCTCATGGCTCAGTCCTCAATCTTCTTTCTCATGACATTTTTTTTTTTTAAGATGAAGTCTGGCTTTGTCCCCTAGGCTGGTGTTCATTGGCACGATCTTGGCTCATTGCAACCTCTGCCTCCTGGCTTCCAGCGCTTCTCCTGCCTCAGCCTCCTGAGTAGCTGGGATTACAGGTGTGTGACACCATACCTGGCTAATTTTTGTATTTTTAGTAGTGACAGGGTTTCCCCATGTTGGCCAGGCTGGTCTCAAACTCCTGATGTCAGGTGATCTGCCTGCCTTGGCCTCACGAAGTGTTGGATTACAGGCATGAGCCACAGTGCCTGGCCCTTCCTGACTTTTTCTACTGTATATATGCTAGTGATTTCCAAATGCATGTCTCCAACTCAGATCTCACTCCTTAATTCCAGATCTCTGTATCAGCCTGGCTACTTGACAGGCCTAGCCTATCAGACGTAGCTACCTAATAAATAGTTATTTGATTAGCTGTTGAGTATCACACACTTGTCAGATCCAAAATTGGGCTACTGATGGCCTTCCTGAAATCTACACCTCATGTAGTCTTTCCTACTTTGGTTAATGGCAACTCTTCCAGTTGCTCTGCCAAAAACCTCGGTGTCATTCTAGACTCATCTTTCTCTCTCTCTTGACACTTCACATCTAATCTCTCAGTAAATCTCGTCAGGTCTACCTGAAGAATATGTCCAGAAGCCAGTCATATCTTGTACATGTGAGCCACCATCATCTGCCATCTAGATGAGTGTCATAGACTGGGAATTGATAGTCCTGGTTTTTAAAAATTTCCCCTTTCATCAATTCTTAACTCAGTGGATGTATTTAAAACATAAGTCAAATTGTGTCATTCCCCTGCCCCAGCCCTTCTGATTGCCTCCCATTTCACGCTGAGTATGTGTCAGAGTTCCTCCTAATAACTAAAAGGCAGTCAACCATCTGGCATGTTATCTCTCCTGCTTAAACTTCTGTTTCTTATCTCTTTTGCTCTGTTTCAGCCACACTGAACTTCTTGCTATTCCTTACCTATCTCTAGTGCTTAAAAACTCCAGTCACACCTCTGCACTTAGCAGTTCCCCGTGTCTGGAATGCTTTTTCCCCAGATATTCTTCTAGCTTACTGTTTCCATTACTTCAGTTTTTTACTTAAAATCCCCTTTCTAAGAAGAAGAAAAAGGGTAAAAAGAAACACATTAAGGAATAACCACTTTCGGAGGAAGAACCATGTACCAGCACAATTCCTAGTCCAGAGAAAAATGAAGAAAAAGAAAAAGAGATAACGAGGACTAACAGAAAGGAATTACGATTGTATCACCAGGACGCATCAGGCTTAAGATTCAATTGGGAGCATACCAGGGATTCTCTCTAACGTAATTGAGGGAAGGTTCAATGAAACAGTGATTTATCATCTCTAACTTCAAACCTATTTGTGTCTTGACATCAACTCTGTTAACATCATCATTTTTTAGAGTCTTTGATGTACAAATAAAAGTTTCTTTGTGTTAAAGAAAAATCCTCTTTCTCATCAGGGACTTTTCTGGCCATCCCAACTTTCCCACGACCCTTCCCATCAAACAGGTAAACATTTCATTTTCCTGCTTTAGTTTTTCTCCTCTAATGTACTGTATATTTTGCCTTATCTGTCTGTTGTTATTGTGTGTTTATCTCACTCTCATGAATAGGGTTTTTATTGTTCATTACCATATCCTTACTTCTTAGAAAAAGGCCTAGCCTATCAGACGTAGCTACCTAATAAATAAGTATTAAATGAATGAATGGAGTTTATCCTGGCTATATTGTTTGATTGATTCTCACTTAAAAAGTGTTTGACAGAGTTCATTTTAACAATTTTGCCTGGTAATTATATGTATTTTTAAAATTCTTTTGGCTTTTTATAATCTACATTCTTTATGTTAATATTTTTTCACTTAGGGAGAAAAGTCCAATATTGTGGTTATTCACTATTCTTTTACTGGTAATCATGATAATTGCAATTATGGTAAAATGAGTCAGAGGAATTGCAAACTTTACTGGTATTTTATTTATTTAGAGATAGAGTCTCGCTCTGTCACCCAGGCTGCAGTGCAGTGGCGTGACCTCGGCTCACTGCAACCTCCGCCTCCTGGGTTCAAGTGATTCTCCTGCCTCAGCCACCTGAGGAGATGGGATTACAGGCGCGTGCCATGATGCCCGGCTAATTTTCGTATTTTTAGTAGAGACGGGGTTTCACCCTGTTGGTCAGGCTGGTCTCGAACTCCTGACCTCAGGCAATCCACCCGCCTTATCCTCACAAAGTGCTGGGTGGATTACAGGCGTAAGCCACCATGTCCGGCCACTAGTATTTTATTTAAAAAAATATTAGGGTGGTAAATGTAATGGACTCACAAATTGTTTCCAAGGGATTATAGACCTTTGGTATTTGAAATAAAAAGACAGTTGGAATCTTTTGCTTCGGATAGTAAGACTATACTGGTCAGGCACTGTCTATTCTGATGAAGCAGCTGTTGCTGCTTGGCTGTCTTTCAGAAGCAAGCTGCTCACATTGATATTGGTTGGTGAGCAAAGCCAGTGGTCATTGATCGATTGACTAGATTTTGAACTGGCTCTGGGTGGCTTCTTGTTACCATGGCTACAGGTCAATTCTTTCCTAAGTTTGAGTCAACTTTAAACAGAAATTTTCTGTTCAAAAGTTGCCTTCCATTAACTATGTTCAAAATGAAACTTTTTAATATTTCAGAATTGTGGATTTAAAGTTTTGGTTATGATGACTTGGTTAATAATAGCTCTCACGGAGATTTTTTTTTGATACATCGTCTTAACCAGAAGAGTTCTCTGTATAATTTATTTCTTAAAAATAATTGTTTTGTGTTTGTTTTGGGTATTTTTAGAAGCTTTTGCTCAAGTCCTAACATAATCTCCAGTAGGAGATTTTAGTCTGTCAGTTCATGTATGTATATGATAGTCATATTGTCATATTGTCTTTTTAAATTCCTTTTTATGTTCACTTTTTTCTCTGTACAATAATAGTGATGTTGTTATACATTTTTATCTCATTAAAAAGTAGTTACAATATTCTGCTGGCAAATCTAGCTTTTTATATATTTTGACTGAATAGGTTAAAAGTGAAAAAAATTTATCAGATCATTCTATTTTCAAACAAAATCATCACTAATAAAAATTATTATTTTGAATTATAAATAATGACATTTAGATATTTTAAAAATAAGGATACCCCCCCACAATAGTTTGGCTTTGTGTTTCTATGCAAATCTCATGTCAAATTGTAATTCCCAGGTGTTGAGGAAAGACCAGCTGGGAGGTGATTGGCTCATGGGGTCGGTTTCCTCCGTGCTGTTCTTGTGATAGTGAGTGAGTTCTCACAAGAGCTGACGGTTTCATAAGGGGCTCTTTCCCCTTCCATTCTCTCTCTCCTGCCGCCTTATGAAGAAGGTTCCTGGTTCCCCTTCACGTTCTACCATGGTTGTTAAGTTTCCTGAGGCCTCCCCAGCCATGCATAACTGTGAATCAATTAATCCTCTTTCCTTTATGAATTATCCAGTCTCAGGTATGTATGTGTATGAATTACCCAGTCTCGGGTATGTACATACGTATATGTGTGAGTGTATATACACACATACGTATATGTGATATATATATGTGATGTGAGATATATATATTTTTATATATCTCCATTTTCTTTATTCCATTCATCAGTTCATGGACACTGGCTGATTCCATATCTTTGCATATTGTGAATTGTGCTGCAGTAAACATATGTGTGCGGGTGTCTTTGTGAGAGTACGATTTCTTTTATTTTGTGTAGCTATCCAGAAATGAGAATGCTGGATAAAATGGTAGGATCTATTTTTAGTTCTTTGAGAACTCTCCATACTGTTGTCCATAGATTTGTATGAATTTGCATTCCCACCAGCAGTGTATCACTGTTCTCCTTTCACCACATCCACACCAACATCTGTTGTTTTTTGTTTTCTAATAGTGGCCATTCTGGCTGCAGCGAGGTGATATCTCACTGTCATTTTATTGTGCATTTTCCTGATGATTCGAGATATTTCGCATGTTTTTATATGCTTGTTTACCGTTTGTACATCTTCTTTTGAGAAATGGCTATTCATGTAATTTGGCCACATTCTAATGGAAATATTTGTGTTTTTCCTGTTGATTTGTTTGAGTTTCTTGTAGGTTATAGATACTAGTCCTTTGTTAGATTCATAATTTTCAAATTTTCTTCCCATTGTATAGGTTGTTGGTTTACTCTGATGATTATTTCTTTTGTTGTGCTGAAGGTTTTTAGTTTAATTAGGTCTTATTTATTTTCATTTTTGTTGCATTGGCTTTAAGGTCTTCATCATAAATTCTTTGCCTAGGCCAATGTTTTCAGGTCTTAGGTTTGGGCCTTTCATCCATCTTGAATTAATTTTTGTATATGTTGAGAGATAGAGATCCAGTTTCATTCCTCCACATGTGGCTCTCTTTTTTTCCCAGCACTATTTACTGAATAACCTGTACTTTCTCCAGTGTATGTTTTTGTATGCTTGCTCAGAGATCACTTGGTTGTAGCGGCTTTATTTCTGAGTTGTCTGTTCTGTTCCGTTGATCTATGTATCTGTTTTTATACCAGTACCACGCTGTTTCTGTTACTGTGGCCTTAGAGTATAATTTGAAGTCAGGTAACGTGATGCCAACATATTTGTTCCTTTTGCTTGGTATGTCTGTTGCTATTCAGGCTCTTTTGTGGTCCTACATGAATGTCAGCATTTTAAAATAATTCTGTGAAGAATGACATTGGTACTTTGGTAGGAATTGTATCGACTATGTAGACTGCTTTGGGCACTGTGGTCATTTTCACTATATCAGTTCTTTCAGTCCATGAACATAGGATGTATTTTCATTTGTTTGTGTCATCTGTTATTTTCTTTGGTGGTGTTTTCCAGTTATCTTTATATAGATCACTCACCTTTTTCATTGAGCATATTCCTAGGTATTTCACACTTTTTTGCAGCCACTGTAAAAGGGATTGGATTGTTGATATGAACTCTCAGCTTGGTCGTAGTTGGTGTGTAGTGGTGCTACTGATTGGTATTCATTCATTTTGTAACCTCTGAGACTTTACTGAATTCATTTATCAAATCTAGGAGTGTTTTGTAGGAGTCTTCAGGGTTTTCTAGGTATAAGGTAATATCATTGGTGAAGAGATAGTTTGACTTCCTCTTTTCCAATTTGGATGCCCTTTATTTCTCTTGCCCAACTGCTTTGCCTAGGACTTCCCAGTTTTATTCTTAATATGCATGAAATAAAAGTAAAATGGAAAATGCTTAATGATGAGTTTATTTCACATCTCTCTCTCATACACAGATAAAATTAATTCAAAGTCCTATGTTAAAAACATAATATTAGACCCTGTCTTGTTCTAAAAGGAATTTCTAAGTTGTTTATAAAATACATAGGAATCAAGAATATAAGTGGAAAATGTTTCCAAAAAATAAACACAAAAAGTATGAGTTATAGGCCATAGACCAGTACCAGTCCCTGGCCTGTTAGGACCTGGGCCACACAGCAGGAAGTTAGAGGCAGGTGAGCAAGCAAAGCTTCATCTGTTTGCAGCCACTCTCTGTCGCTCGCATTACCACCCGAGCTGCTCCTCCTGTCAGATCAGCGGTGGCATTAGATCGTCCTAAGAGTGTGACCTGAACCCTGTTGTAAGTTGCTCATGCAGGGGATATAGGTTGTTCACTCCTTATGTGAATCAAATGCCTTTATGATCTGTCACCATCTCCCATCACCCCCAGATGGGACCATCTAGTCGCAGGAAAGCAAGCTCAGGGCTCCCACGGATTCTACATTTTGGTGAGTTATATAATTATTTCATTATATATTAATAATAATAGAAATAAAGTGCACAATGAATGTAATGTACTTGAATCATCCTGGAACCATCCCAAACCTCAGGTTCCTGGAAAAATTATCTTCCGCAAAACCAGTCCCTGGTGCCAGCATGGTTGGGGATACTTGGTTAACAGATGTGAGACCCCTTTGCCTTGTCTTGGAATAATGTGCAGATATACATTGTGTGAATGACATCTGATGGCGCCATCTTGCCCTGTAGATCATTTTGGGGACACCTCCAGTATTTCATGAAAATTAATTTTTTTTCTAGTGATGAACAAAATGATACTCAGAAGCAACTTTCTGAAGAACAGAACACTGGAATATTACAAGATGAGATTCTGATTCATGAAGAAAAGCAGATAGAAGTGGCTGAAAATGAATTCTGAGGTATTTAGTTATTTTCAAATGTTTTTATATGTGTATATATTTTTTAAAAACTATGTATTTTGGATATACAAAGGATTTTTAAGTCATATATATGTGTGTATATATTCTATATATCCTTTGTCATGTATCTATATCTGTACATATAGGAGAAAGCCATGTTCTTAATTCAACTCCATTTGCCTGCAACAGTCGAGTAGTGACCTTCACAATGGCCTCAATCCAAAGGAGAAGCATTTGATATTTTTCATAAGAATTGATGATCTTTCCATATCAAAACTAAGTTTTGCTACTAAAAACAAATTTTCTAGTTTTTGGACATTAGTTTTGTTAAAAAATGTTAATAGAGAAGTCAATTGATGGTTTTCACTGATAGGAAAGTAGGAAATGTATAGTTGGGTCAGAGGCCACATTGTGGATGTCATCATCCTTACTTTTGTGGAGAGGAACACTTTGCTCCAAGTAATTTCTCATTTCAATGTAAAGAGGTTTGAAAACAATGACATGCCATGATATACATTTAGTGATAATTTATTGATAAGTATTTTGTTCCTAGAGAAATAGTTGAGTATATTTCCCCTATTTCACAGTTACTACTGTTTCAAACATTATAAAGAGGAAATAAAAGTTATCACAATGACAAATAATCTCATGATTTCTAAGAAAATCTCTATAAGTTGCATCTTACTTACCATTCATATTTTGAAACAAAAGGCTTCTTTTGTATTTATATATTTACACCACAGAAGTAACTGTGGTTTTGTGGAGGATCACTAGAAGTAGCATCAGCAGACCTGGGGAAAATCCTGCATCTTGTATATATTTTTTGACTTCTCCTTTTAAGAATCACGATCTTAAATGAGTTCAGTGTTGTATGTAGGAGTGCAATGCTTAGATACAGATGTGTACAGTGTAGAAGGGTACAGTGCTTAGATTTAAGTTATGAATAAATATAATTCTTATAACTGAGTATAAAAATATTAGAAATGTAGAATATCGGTAAAACGTTCTTCAGTAAAAGAAACTTAAAGAACTTTGAGAAATTGCTTCTGTCCAAATATATGCATAGCTAAGGCTCTTAGGATGGTGTGGTTGATAGGTTAGATATCAGAGTATAAACCTAATCTTAAAAATATAGTCAAATGTATTAATCTTATATTTTATGCCTCTGGGTTTTTTGTAACTCAGAGAAAGGCTTTTTTAATTCTGAGATTCTTAAAAATCCTCTAGTGATTTATTTTTCATAGTCTTTAAATAAATATTTAAACTTTTAGGAATTCAGGAGCAGATTCCTAAAAGTTTAAATCTTTATTTAAAGACTATGAAAAATAAATCACTAGAGGAATTTACACTCTGCTAGGTTTGGAGTTTTGTCCAGTTTTTTCCAGTTAAATATCCACTATGGGGATTCTTTCATTATACAAATACAGATGTTATTTTTTAATTTCAGAAGAAATCATGGTATATCAATCTATTGAGTGCTAACTAAAAGTTCCCTTTGTTTACTTAGCTTTCTCTTAGTTATAAGAAAGAAAAAGACCTCTTGCATGAAAATAGTACGTTGCAGGAAGAAATTGTCATGCTAAGACTGGAACTAGACGTAATGAAACATCAGAGCCAGCTAAGAGAAAAGAAATATTTGGAGGAAATTGAAAGTGTGGAAAAAAAGAATGATAATCTTTTAAAGGGTCTACAACTGAATGAGCTCACCATGGATGATGATACTGCCGTGCTCGTCATTGACAACGGCTCTGGCATGTGCAAGGCCGGCTTTGCAGGTGACGATGCCCCCCGGGCTGTCTTCCCTTCCATCGTGGGGTGCCCCAGGCACCAGAACATGATGGGGGGCATGCGTCAGATGGAGTCCTATGTGGGCAATGAGGCCCAGAGCAAGAGAGGCATCCTGACCCTGAAGTACCCCATGGAGCACGGCATCATCACCAACTGGGACGACATGGAGAAGATCTGGCACCACACCTTCTACAATGAGCTGCGTGTGGCTCCCGAGGAGCACCCCATCCTGCTGACCGAGGCACCCCTGAACCCCAAGGCCAACCGTGAGAAGATGACCCGGATCATGTTTGAGACCTTCAACACCCCAGCCATGTACGTGGCCATCCAAGCCGTGCTGTCCTTGTACACCTCTGGCCGTACTACTGGCATTGTGATGGACTCTGGTGACGGGGTCACCCACACTGTGCCCATCTATGAGGGGAATGCCCTCCCCCATGCCACCCTGCGCCTAGACCTGGCTGGCCGGGAACTGACTGACTACCTCATGAAGATCCTCACCGAGCGTGGCTATAGGTTCACCACCATGGCCGAGCGGGAAATCGTGCGTGACATCACAGAGAAGCTGTGCTATGTTGCCCTGGACTTCGAGCAGGAGATGGCCACAGCGGCCTCCAGCTCCTCCCTAGAGAACAGCTATGAGCTGCCCAACGGCCAGGTCATCACCATTAGCAACGAGCGGTTCCGCTGCCCCGAGGTGCTCTTCCAGCCTTGCTTCCTGGGCATGGAATCCTGTGGCATCCACGAAACTACCTTCAACTCTATCATGAAGTCTGATGTGGACATCCACAAAGACCTGTACACCAACACAGTGCTATCTGGTGGCACCACCATGTACCCTGGCATTGCCCACAGGATGCAGAAGGAGATCGCTGCCCTGGCGCCTAGCACGATGAAGATCAAGATTGTTGCTCCTCCCAAGCGCAAGTACTCCGTGTGGGTCGGTGGCTCCATCCTGGCCTCGCTGTCCACCTTCCAGCAGATGTGGATCAGCAAGCAGGAGTATGATGAGTCAGGCCCCTCCATTGTCCACCGCAAATGCTTCTAGGTGGACGCTGACTTAGTTGCATTACACCCTTTCTTGACAAAACCAAACTTCGCAGAAAGCCACATGAGATTGGTATGGCTTTAATTGTTTTCTTATTTCATTTTTTGTTTTGTTTTTTATTGGCTTGACTCAGGATTTAAAAACTGGAATGGTGAAGGCGAGAGCAGTTGGTTGGAGTGAGCTTCCCCCAAAGTTCTACAATGTGGCTGAGGACTTTGATCGTACATTGTTTTTCTTTTCAATAGTCATTCCAAATATTGTGAGATGCATTGTTTCAGGAAGCCCCTTGCCCTTCTAAAAGCCACCCCACTTCTCTCTAAGGAGAATGGCCCAGTCCTCTCCCTAATTCACACAGGGGAGGTGATGGCATTGCTTTCATGCAAATTACGTAATGCAAAATTTTTTGAATCTTTGCCTAAATACTTTTTAATTTTGTTTTATTTAGAATGATCAGCCTTCGCGGCCCCCCTTTTTTGTACCCCAACTTGGGGTGTATGAAGGCTTTTGGTCTCCCTGAGAGTGGCTGGAGGCAGCCAGGGCTTACCTGTACTCTGACTTAAGGAGAGTTGGAAAAAAGTGCACACCTTAAAAAAAATTCAATGAGGAAGCATTAACAAAAACAGTATTTCTGTACAGTGGACAGCTTAGCATGTTGACAACTGAGAATAAAATGCTCAGTTCTGAACTGGACAATGTAAGACACAACGACGAAACACTGGAAATGGAAATTCAATTACATCATTGTAGACTGGCTACTGCTCTACATGATTGTGACCAAAGTCAGAGAGCTGAAAGAGACTTCTTTCCAGAGAACAAGACATGAACAGGTTTATTTACAGAAGACAATGAATTCTCATTTGTCTAACCTAAAAGATTACAGAATCTTTCTCAACAAGTCTAATGTAGACAGTAAAATCAACAGGCTAAAAATTAAGTTCCATGAAACAAGATAAAACTCTGAGAGAAAAGATGGGGCAGGCCGCCATCTTTCCCGTTCGGGCAACTTAGTCATTCCAGCCTGAGGGCTTTGGAGAGTACAAACTGACCAGGGAAAGAAGAGATCCCAGAGCACAGCATAGCTGCTTTACCAAATCATGGCCAGACTGCTTCTGTAAGCAGGCCCCTGATCCTGTTCCACCTCACTGGACAGGACCTCCCAACTGGGGCCTCCAGCTACCCCCACCAGCATCCCTTGGCCAATGGAAATTTGAAATGTTCCTGGGACAGAGCTCCTGGAGAGAGGGGCAGGCCACCACCTTTGCTGTTTGGGTGACTAGCCGTTCTGGCCTGCAGGCTTTGGAGAGCCCAAGCTGACAAGGGGTAGAAGAGGTGCCTCAGCACAGCACAGCCACGCTACGAAAACATGGCCAGACTCTTGTTTAAGTCAGTCCCCGAACACATTTCTAGTCAGTGGGTGAAGTCTTTCAACCAGGGTCTCTGGCTACCTTGACTGCTGTTCTCTGGCCGACAGAGGTCTCAGGCCTCCCTGAGTCAGAGCTCCCGGGGGGAGGACCAGATTGTCATCTTTGCTGTTTGGGTGACCCAGCCATTTCAGCCTTAGGGCTTCAGAGTGTCTGAGGTAGCCAGGGGCTGAAGTGAACCCCCAGCACAGCACAGCTGCTCTATAAAAACGTGGCCAGACTTTTTCTTTAAGCAAGTCCCTGTTCTTATTCCTCCTGACTAGGTAAGACTTCTTAACTTGCCTCCAGCCACATCTTATTGGTGTGTTCAGATTGGCAACGGGTTCGTACCTCAGTGGTACAGAGCTCCCAGAGGAAGGGGTAGGCTATCATCTTCCCTGGAAAATACGAGTCAATTAGGGACTTGAGGGGACCCCCAGCATTCCACAGCAGCCCTTCAGAAAAGTGGCCAGACTCTGTACTTGATGGGCAGATCCTCCTGGCCTGTGTCTCTAGCCAGCCCACCACTGGAGCTATCAAGCCAGTAGCAACTCAGCAGTTCCTTGGACAGAGCTTCCAGGAGCAAATGAAATCCTTTCTGCCACTGCCTTTGCAGTGAACTGCCCTTGCTATCCTCAGAAGATATATCACGGGAGCAAAGACCCTAAGTGCCATATCAACACCTCCAATAAGCTGCAGTTGACCCGAAGAACAAGGCAATCCATCTCCCACAGGTACCACACACACTCCACTACTCATCACCAGACAGGGAACCCTGGCTTGGGCCCACAGCACAGACCCTCCATCCTGGGCCGATTACACTGAGTGATTGCTAACTCACATGTCTCTGGGATGGAGCACCCAGGAGACAAGCAAAGTGGTGGAGCAGCAAGTCAGGTGATGTGGAGCCCAGAGGGCAGGGACAGCTATCTCTCTAGGCTCCACTTGCCCTTGTGAGACACTTTGTCCCAGCACTTTAGGAATGCTGAGGTCAGACCAGCCACATCTCATGTGCAAGATTGCCCAGCAGACATCAGGTCTGAGAGTTCCCCTTTTAAAAAAGGGGACTTGCTTAAAAAAGAAGTCTAGCCACGATTGTGTAGAGCAGCTGTGCTGTGCTGGAGATTCACTTTTGAGAGAGTTCTCCTCTGAGACCTGATCTTTAGAGGCTGGGCAGTCTTGCACATGAGATGGGGCTGGTCTGATCTCAGCACTCCTTAGTCTGCTTGCCTCTCCCAGGGCCCCAGCCTGGCCACACCTGCTTACAGGGCACTCTCAGGTGCCCATACCATAGTTTCTGTGCTAGTGGACCGTACCATATCAGTGGAGAGCTGCAGCAAGGTGGCCCCTACGGCCACGCACCAGCCTGCACATTACTTCTCCATACTGCAGCCCTTTATATGGAAACTTCCTACATCACTTTGCTGTGTGTGTTTACACAGGTGGATTTTGCTTTACTTGCACTGACAGCACACAGGAGTGCAGCACACACCCCAACCCACATCAACTGCCATTAAAGAAAAGAAATTTCAGCCCATAATTTCATGTCCAGCAAAATTAGGCATCATAAGTGAAGGAGAAATAAGATCCTTTTCAGACAAGCAAATGCTGAGGGAATTCAATATCACCAGATCTACCTTACAAGAGCTCCTGAAGGAAGCACTAAATATGGAAAGAAAAAACCATCACCAGCCACTACAAAAATGCAGTGAAGAACGCAGTGAATTACGCAGTCCAGTGATGCTAAAAACCAACCACATACGTTAAGTCTGCAAAATAACCAGCTGACAGCATGACGACAGGATAAAATCCACACATACCATTACTAACCTTAAATGAAAATGGGCTAAATGCTCCCATTGAAAGACACGGGGCAAGCTGGATAAAGAACCAAGACCCACTGGAGTATGCTGTCTTCAAGAAACCCATCTCACATGCGGTGGCATACATAGGCTCAAAATAAAGGAATGGAGAAAAATATTTCAAGCAAATGGAAAACAGAAAAAAGCAGGTGTTGCACTCCTACTTTCTGACAAAACAGACTATGCGAATAAAGATAAAAAAGAGAAGGACATTACAAAGGTGGTCCTGACCTTTGATAAATCTCATTGCTTGATACCAACCTGGGCTGTTTTAATTGCCCAAACCAAAAGGATAATTTGCTGAGGTTGTGGAGCTTCTCCCCTGCAGAGAGTCCCTGATCTCCCAAAATTTGGTTGAGATGTAAGGTTGATTTTGCTGTACAACTCCTTTTCTGAAGTTTTACTCATTTCCAAAAAGGAAGGCAAGTTTTCCTGCTTCCATGACGATGGAGAGCAGGCATCTCCTTTCCTGAGTTTCAGCTTGCTTCTGACAGGGAAGGTGAGTGTAAGTTTTTTCCAGCTTCTAAGATGGCAGAGAACGATCACCAGCCTGAGCCTTATTTCCAGGTAAGTAGCTGAATTAGAGTTTTGTCTTAAAATTTTTCCTTAATGATTAAAATGTAAGATTACCCACCAGCTGCTTTTAATTTCTCCTTAGCATTAGAACACTCAGTAATCATATGAATTGTGCATTTGTTTGTTTTGCTTAACTCTTTCTGTTTGTTTATGTTTGGGGTTTTATTGTTGTTGTTTCACTTTTCTCCCATCTCTTCCTGACTTGGTCAAATCCAAAGGAATGTTCCAAATTGTGGGGAGCAAGGCATCTGAAATGGCTAAAACTCCTGTGGCTGCAAAAAATAAAAATAAAAAAAAAATATAAAAAAATAAACACACACAAAAAATGAAAAACAAAAACAAAAAACACAAAAAAGCCAAAAGAAAAAACCCCAAAAAAAACAAAAAAAGGCAAAACAACAACAACAACAACAACAACAACAACAAAAAACCCAAAAAACAAACAAACAAAAAAAAAACACAGAAAATCCAGTTGGAAATTTTTTAAAACTTTTTTTTTATATAAGTGGTCTCATCTACATAACAAGGCCATCTTTTGCTAGCAAAGGCCAAACTGAAGGAGTAATGGTGGGGACCGAATGTTAAGATTCTGCCCTGTTCACTACAGAAACCTGAGTTTGGTTCCTAAGTCTAGTTCTTTCTGTTTGATATTTGTGTTGCTTTTAAAATATCAGCAGTTTGTCCCAGCTATGATGTGGTAGTAAGAGACTCAAAACGATTTTCTTTACAAGTTCTATGATAAAAGCTTAATTAAAAGAAAATTTGTTTTTTTAAAATTATACTTTAAGTTCTGGGGTACATGTGCAGAACATACAGGTTTGTTACGTAGGTATAATATACACATGCCATGGTGGCTTGCTGCATCCATCAACCCATGATCTGCATTAGGTATTTCTCCTAATGCCATCCCTCTCCTAGCCCCCCACGCTGACAGGCCCTGGTGTGTGATATTCCCCTTCCTGTGTCTATGTGTTCTCATTTTTCAACTCCCACTTATGAGTGAGAACATGTGTTTCTGTTCTTGTGTTAGTTTGCTGAGAATGATGGTTTCCAGCTTCATCCATGTCCCTGCAAAGGACATGAACTCATCCTTTTTTATAGCTTCATAGTATTCCGTAGTATATATATACCACATTATCCAGTCTGTCACTGATGGGCATTTGGGTTGGTTCCAAGTCTTTGCTGTTGTGAACTGTGCCGCAGTAAACATACGTGTGCATGTGTCTTTATATTAGAATGATTTATTATTTTTTCAGTATATACCCAGTAATGGGATTGCTGGGTCAAATGTATTTCTAGTTGTAGATCCTTGAGGAATCAGCACACTGTCTTCCACAATGGTTGAAATAATTTATACTCCCAGCAAGAGTGTAAAAGCATTCTTATTTCTCCACGTCCTCTCCAGCATGTGTTGTTTCCTGATCTTTTAATGATGGCCATTCTAAGTGGTGTGAGATTGTATCTCATTGTGGTTTTGATTTCCATTTCTCTAATGACCAGTGATGATGTGCTTTGCTTCACGTGTTCTTTGGCTGCATAAATGTCTTCTTTGGGAAGTGTCTGTTCATATCATTTGCCCGCTTTTTCATGGGGTTGTTTATTTTCTTGTAAATTTGTTTAAGTGCTTTGTAGATTCTGCATATTAGCCCTTTGTCAGATGGATAGATTGCAAAAATTTTCTCCCATTCTGTGTGTTGCCTGTTCACTCTGATGATAGTTTGTTTTGCTCTGCAGACACTCTTTAGCTTAATTAGATCCCATTTGTCAATTTTGGCTTTTGTTGCCATTGCTTTTGGTGTTCTAGTGATGAGGTCTCTGCCCATGCCTGTGTCCTGAATGGTATTGCCTAACACAAGGACATTTCTGTGCCTGAATGCCATACCACCCAAAGTCATTTATAGATTCAGTGCTATCCCCATCAAGATACCACTGACTTTTTTCAAAAAATTAGAAAAACTACCTTAAATTTCATATGGAATCAAAAAAGAGTCCGCATAGCCAAGACAATCCTAAGCAAAAAGAACAAAGCTGGAGGCATCACAGTACCTGACTTCAAACTACTCTACAAGGCCACAGTAACGTAAACAGCATGGTACTGGTACAAAACCAAGTATATAGACCAATGGAACAGAACAGAGGCCTCAGAAATGACACCACACTTGTAAAACCACAAGATCTTTGACAAAACTGACAAAAGTAAGCACTGGGGAAAGGATTCCCCATTTTATAAATAAATGGTGTTAGAAAAACTGGCTAGCCATATGCAGAAAACCGAAACTGGGCCACTTCCTTACACTTTATATACAAAAATTAACTTAAGAAGGATAAAAGAGTTAAATGTAAGACCTAAAAGCAAAAAACCTAGAAGAAAACATAGGCCACCAACCTCAGGGGAAATATACTTGTAGTGAAATGCATGGTACAAACCCGCATTCCCTGCTTCCTTGAGTGGGTGAGGTTGGTGGCTGGTCCATCTGCTCCAAGCGTACCCTTACAGAGGTGGCTGGTTGCTCTTTGAGGCAGCTTGGCCTTGCCTGGCATGCACAAGCTTCAGTGCAACAACTGTGCTATAAATGGAGCCACATAGGGGAAATGAGCAGCAGGCTTAGGACCAGGGTGTACACTGCCTTTGGGGCTCCAGTCCGTGCCTCAGGGATGGTATGGCACTGCGAGCTTCTTGGTTGCCAAGAGGCAGATCACAGGCCGTTTTGAGAAGGACTTCATGTTCAACTGCAGAAAGCAGCCAGGATTACCATCTAGGGTACTTGTCCTTCTGTGGCCCTGGCCAGACTTAGAATTTGGGCCAATGCAGGACAAGCTCACTCGGAGCTGTGTGGCAGTCGCTCGGGCGTGTGCATGCCAGGCAAGGGCAAGCTGGCTCAAAAAGCAACAAGCCACCTATTCGAGGGTGGACCTGCAGCAGGTAGACCAACCACAAACCTCACTTAACCAAGGAAATACATGGCCTGGTTCCCACAGCCCGAGTGGCTGCCACGTGATGGCTGATAGAGCAGAGGACTTCAGAAAAGCAGATGGCCCTTTGGTCCTACCTTTAGGGTAGAAGAACTGATGTGCCATTTGCGGGAGCGAGTGAGGTTGGTGGCTGGAGAACCGGTGCCTGGCACACCG
The DNA here is from genome assembly GCF_000001405.40 of Homo sapiens. NCBI lineage: Eukaryota > Metazoa > Chordata > Mammalia > Primates > Hominidae > Homo > Homo sapiens. The sequence continues at coordinate 19,394,813 of NC_000014.9, read as the reverse complement.
TGGCAGAGTTGACTGGTTGCTCTTTGAGCCAGCTTGGCCTTGCTCGGCCTGCACAAGCCTCAGTGCAACAACTGTGCTATGAATGGAGCCACAGAGAGGAAACAAGCAGCAAGATCAGGAGCAGGGTGTACGCTGCCTTTCAGGCTCCAGTCCATGACTCAGGGGTCATATGGCACTGCAGGCTTCTTGGTTGCCAAGAGGCAGACCACAGGCCGTCTTGAGGAGGACTTTACATTCAAGTGCAGAAAGCAGCCAAGATTACCGTCCGGGGGACTCGGCCTTCTGTGGCCCTGGCCAGACTGAGAATTTGTGCCAAGGCAGGACAAGCTCACTCGGAGCAGCGTGCCAGTCGCTGGGGCCTATGCATGCTAGGCAAGGCCAAGCTGGCTCAAAGAGCAACCAGCCACCTGTTCAAGGGTGCGCCTAGAGCAGGCAGAGCATCCACCACCTCACCCACTGAAGGAAGTGGGGATGGCCAGCTTCCCACAGCTTGATTGGCTGCCACCTAATTGCTGATGGAGCAGAGGCCTTAGGAAAAGCAGATGGCACTGTGGCCCTACCTTTAGGGTAGAAGAAGTGAAGCACATGTCTGGCTGCTAGTTGGTGACTGGTGCACCTGCTCAAGGCACACCCTTGCAGAGGCGGCTGGTTGCTCTTTGAGGCAGCTTGGCCTTGGCCGGCATGCCCAAGCTTCAGTGCAACAACTGTGCTACAAATGGCGCCATATAAAAACGAGCAGCAGGCTCAGGAGCAGGGTGTGCACTGCCTTTGGGGCTCCAGTCCATGCCTCAGGCGTCATATGGCACTGTGGGCTTCTTGGTTGCCAAGAGGCAGACCACAGGCTGTCTAGAGGAGGACTTTATGTTCAAGTGTAGAAAGCAGCCAGGATTGCCACCCAGGGCACTCGGCCTTCTGTGGCCCTGGCCAGACTTAGAATTTGTTCCAAGGCAGGACAAACTCACTTGGACCAGCGTGTTAGTACCTGGGGCCTGTGCATGGCAGGCAAGGCCAAGCTGGCTCAAAGAGCCACCAGCCACCTGTGCAAGGGTGTGCCTGGACCAGTTGGACCAGCCACCAAGCTCACCCACTCAAGGAAGCAGGGATGGCGAGATTACAACAGCCTGAGTGGCTGCCACCTGATGGCTGATGGAGCAGAGGCCTGAGGTAAATCAGATGGCACGTTTAACTCTTTAATGGATCTTAAGTTAATATTTCTATAAAGCACATGGCACCAGTCCATGCCTCAGAGTTCGTACGGCACTGGGGACCACAGCAGGCCGAGTACCCTGGGTGGCAATCCTGCCTGCTTTCTGCACTTGAACATAAAGTCCTGCTCAAGACGGCCTGTGGTCTGCCTCTTGGCCCTACATTTAGGGTAGAGGAAAGGATGTACCATGTCTGGCAGGGAGTGAGGTTGGTGGCTGGTCCGCCTGCTCCTGGCCCAGCCTTGCAGAGGTGGCTGGTTGCTCTTTGAGCCAGCCTGGCTTTGCCTGGCGTGCACACAGCTCAGTGCAACTACTCTGCTACAAATGTAGCCACAGAGAAGAAATGAGCAGCAGGCTCAGGAGCAGGTTGTGCATTGCCTTTGGGGCTCTAGTCCATGCCTCAGGGGTCGTGTAGCACTGCGGGCTTCTTGGTTGCCTAGAGGCAGACCACAGGTCATCTTGAGGAGGACTTTATGTTCAGGTGCAGAACGCAGCCAGGATTACCATCCAGGGGGGCCTTCTGTAGCCCTGGCCAGACCTTGCAGAGGTGGCTGGTTGCTCTTTGAGCGAGCTCGGCCTCCCTGGCATGCACAGGCCCCAGGTACTAACACGCTGCTCTGAGTGAGCTTGTCCTGCCTTGGCTGCCACCTAACTGCTGATGGAGCAGTGGCCTTAGGAAAAGCAGATGGTGCTGTAGCCCACCTTTAGGGTAGAAGAAGTGATGTACCATGTCCGGCCGCTAGATGGTGACTGGTGCACCTGCTCCAGGCATACCCTTGCAGAGGTGGGTGGTTGCTCTTTGAGCCAGCTTGGCCTTGCCCGGCATGCACAAGCTTCAGTGCAACAACTGTCCTACAAATGGAGCCACAGAGAGGAAACAAGCAGCAAGCTCAGGAGCAGGGTGTGCACTGCCTTTGGGGCTCCAGTCCATGCCTCGGGTCGTATGGTACTGCAGGCTTCTTGGTTGCCAAGAGGCGGACCACAGGCCTTCTTGAGGAGGACTTTACGTTCAAGTGCAGAAAGCAGCCAAAATTACCATCCATGGGACTGAGCCTTCTGTGGCCCTGGCGAGACTTAAAATCTGTGCCAAGGCAGGACAAGCTCACTCGGAGCAGCGTGTCAGTAGCTGGGGCCTATGCATGCCAGGCAAGGCCAAGCTGGCCCAAAGAGCAACCAGCCACCTCTGCAAGGGTGCGCCTAGTGCAGGCGGAGCATCCACCACCTCACCCGCTCGAGGAAGTGGGGATGGCCAGGTTCCCACAGCCTGAGTGTCTGCCACCTTATTGCTGATGGAGCAGAGGCCTTAAGAAAAGCAGATGGCACTGTGGCCCTACCTTTAGGGTAGGACGCTAATTGGTGACTGGTACACCGGCTCCTGCTACACCTTTGCAGAGGTGGCTGCTTGCTCTTTGAGCCAGCTTGTCCTTGCCCGGCATGCACAAGTTTCAGTGCAACAACTTTGCCACAAATGGAGCCATATAGAGGAAACAAGAAGCAGGTTCAGGAGAAGCGTGTACCCTGCCTTTGGGGCTCCAGTCCATGCCTCAGGTGTCACATGGCACTGCGGGCTTCTTGGTTGCCAAGAGGCAGACCACAGGCCATCTTGGGGAGGACTTTATATTCAAGTGCAGAAAGCAGCCAGGATTACCATCCAGGGGGACCTTCTATAGCCCTGGCCAGACCTTGCAGAGGTGTCTGGTTGCTCTTTGAGCCAGCTTGGCCTCCCTGGCATGCACAGGCCCCAGGTGCTAACACACTGCTCCGAGTGTGCTTGTCCTGCCTTGGCTGCCACCTAATTCCTGATGGAGCAGTGGCCTTAGGAAAAGCAGATGGCACTGTGGCCCACCTTTAGGGTAGAAGTGATGTAACCATGTCTGGCCGTTAGTTGGTGACTGGTGCACCTGCTCCTGGCACACCCTTGCAGAGGTGGCTGGTTGCTCTTTGAGCCAGCTTGGCCTTGCCCAGCATGCACAAGCTTCAGTGCAACAACTGTGCTACAAATGGAGCCACAGAGAGGAAACAAGCAGCAGGCTCAGGAACCAGGTGTGCGCTGCCTTTGGGGCTCCAGTCCATGCCTCAGGGGTCGTATGGCACTGCAGGCTTCTTGGTTGCCAAGAGGCAGACCACAGGCCGTCTTGATGAGGACTTTACGTTCAAGTACAGAAAGCAGCCAGGATTACCATCCAGGGGACTCGGCTTTCTGTGGCCCTGGCCAGACATAGAATTTGTGCCAAGGCAGGACAAGCTCACTCGGAGCAGCGTGTCAGTCGCTGGGGCCTATGCATGCCAGGCAAGGCCGAGCTGGCTCAAAGAGCAACCAGCCACCTCTGCAAGGGTGCGCCTAGAGCAGGCAGAGCATCCAGCACCTCAGCCACACAAGGAAGTGGGGATGGCCAGCTTCCCACAGCTTGATTGGCTGCCACCTAATTGCTGATGGAACAGAGGCCTTAGGAAAAGCAGATGGCACTGTGGCCCTACCTTTAGGGTAGAAGAAGTGATGTACATGTCCGGCTGCTAGTTGGTAGCTCGTGCCCTTGCTCCTGGCACACCCTTGCAGAGGTGACCGGTTGCTTTTTGAGCCAGCTTGGCCTTGGCCGGCATGCCCAAGCTTCAGTGCAACAACTGTGCTACAAATGGAGCCATATAGAAACGAGCAGCAGGCTCAGGAGCAGGGTGTGCACTGCCTTTGGGGCTCCAGTCCATGCCTCGGGTCGTACGGTACTGCAGGCTTCTTGGTTGCCAAGAGGCAGACCACAGGCCTTCTTGAGGAGGACTTTACGTTCAAGTGCAGAAAGCAGCCAAAATTCCCATCCATGGGACTGAGCCTTCTGTGGCCCTGGCGAGACTTAAAATTTGTGCCAAGGCAGGACAAGCTCACTCGGAGCAGCGTGTCAGTAGCTGGGGCCTGTGCATGCCAGGCAAGTCCAAGCTGGCTCAAAGAGCAACCAGCCACCTCTGCAAGGGTGCGCCTAGTGCAGGCGGAGCATCCACCACCTGAACCGCTCGAGGAAGTGGGGATGGCCAGGTTCCCACAGCCTGAGTGTCTGCCACCTTATTGCTGATGGAGCAGAGGCCTTAAGAAAAGCAGATGGCACTGTGGCCCTACCTTTAGGGTGGAAGAAGTGATGTACATGTCCGGACGCTAATTGGTGACTGGTACACCGGCTCCTGCCACACCCTTGCAGAGGTGGCTGGTTGCTCTTTGAGCCAGCTTGTCCTTGCCCGGCATGCACAAGCATCAGCGCAACAACTTTGCCACAAATGGAGCCATATAGAGGAAACAAGAAGCAGGTTCAGGAGAAGCGTGTACCCTGCCTTTGGGGCTCCAGTCCATGCCTCAGGTGTCACATGGCACTGCGGGCTTCTTGGTTGCCAAGAGGCAGACCACAGGTCATCTTGGGGAGGACTTTATATTCAAGTGCAGAAAGCAGCCAGGATTACCATCCAGGGGGGCCTTCTGTAGCCCTGGCCAGACCTTGCAGAGGTGGCTGGTTGCTCTTTGAGCGAGCTCGGCCTCCCTGGCATGCACAGGCCCCAGGTACTAACACGCTGCTCTGAGTGAGCTTGTCCTGCCTTGGCTGCCACCTAACTGCTGATGGAGCAGTGGCCTTAGGAAAAGCAGATGGTGCTGTAGCCCACCTTTAGGGTAGAAGAAGTGATGTACCATGTCCGGCCGCTAGATGGTGACTGGTGCACCTGCTCCAGGCATACCCTTGCAGAGGTGGGTGGTTGCTCTTTGAGCCAGCTTGGCCTTGCCCGGCATGCACAAGCTTCAGTGCAACAACTGTCCTACAAATGGAGCCACAGAGAGGAAACAAGCAGCAAGCTCAGGAGCAGGGTGTGCACTGCCTTTGGGGCTCCAGTCCATGCCTCGGGTCGTATGGTACTGCAGGCTTCTTGGTTGCCAAGAGGCGGACCACAGGCCTTCTTGAGGAGGACTTTACGTTCAAGTGCAGAAAGCAGCCAAAATTACCATCCATGGGACTGAGCCTTCTGTGGCCCTGGCGAGACTTAAAATCTGTGCCAAGGCAGGACAAGCTCACTCGGAGCAGCGTGTCAGTAGCTGGGGCCTATGCATGCCAGGCAAGGCCAAGCTGGCTCAAAGAGCAACCAGCCACCTCTGCAAGGGTGCGCCTAGTGCAGGGGGAGCATCCACCACCTCACCCGCTCGAGGAAGTGGGGATGGCCAGGTTCCCACAGCCTGAGTGTCTGCCACCTTATTGCTGATGGAGCAGAGGCCTTAAGAAAAGCAGATGGCACTGTGGCCCTACCTTTAGGGTAGGACGCTAATTGGTGACTGGTACACCGGCTCCTGCTACACCTTTGCAGAGGTGGCTGGTTGCTCTTTGAGCCAGCTTGTCCTTGCCCGGCATGCACAAGTTTCAGTGCAACAACTTTGCCACAAATGGAGCCATATAGAGGAAACAAGAAGCAGGTTCAGGAGAAGCGTGTACCCTGCCTTTGGGGCTCCAGTCCATGCCTCAGGTGTCACATGGCACTGCGGGCTTCTTGGTTGCCAAGAGGCAGACCACAGGCCATCTTGGGGAGGACTTTATATTCAAGTGCAGAAAGCAGCCAGGATTACCATCCAGGGGAACCTTCTATAGCCCTGGCCAGACCTTGCAGAGGTGTCTGGTTGCTCTTTGAGCCAGCTTGGCCTCCCTGGCATGCACAGGCGCCAGGTGCTAACACACTGCTCCGAGTGTGCTTGTCCTGCCTTGGCTGCCACCTAATTCCTGATGGAGCAGAGGCCTTAGGAAAAGCAGATGGCACTGTGGCCCACCTTTAGGGTAGAAGTGATGTACCATGTCTGGCCGTTAGTTGGTGACTGGTGCACCTGCTCCTGGCACACCCTTGCAGAGGTGGCTGGTTGCTCTTTGAGCCAGCTTGGCCTTGCCCAGCATGCACAAGCTTCAGTGCAACAACTGTGCTACAAATGGAGCCACAGAGAGGAAACAAGCAGCAGGCTCAGGAACCAGGTGTGCGCTGCCTTTGGGGCTCCAGTCCATGCCTCAGGGGTCGTATGGCACTGCAGGCTTCTTGGTTGCCAAGAGGCAGACCACAGGCCGTCTTGATGAGGACTTTACGTTCAAGTACAGAAAGCAGCCAGGATTACCATCCAGGGGACTCGGCCTTCTGTGGCCCTGGCCAGACATAGAATTTGTGCCAAGGCAGGACAAGCTCACTCGGAGCAGCGTGTCAGTCACTGGGGCCTATGCATGCCAGGCAAGGCCGAGCTGGCTCAAAGAGCAACCAGCCACCTCTGCAAGGGTGCGCCTAGAGCAGGCAGAGCATCCAGCACCTCAGCCACACAAGGAAGTGGGGATGGCCAGCTTCCCACAGCTTGATTGGCTGCCACCTAATTGCTGATGGAACAGAGGCCTTAGGAAAAGCAGATGGCACTGTGGCCCTACCTTTAGGGTAGAAAAAGTGATGTACATGTCCGGCTGCTAGTTGGTAGCTCGTGCCCTTGCTCCTGGCACACCCTTGCAGAGGTGACTGGTTGCTTTTTGAGCCAGCTTGGCCTTGGCCGGCATGCCCAAGCTTCAGTGCAACAACTGTGCTACAAATGGAGCCATATAGAAACGAGCAACAGGCTCAGGAGCAGGGTGTGCACTGCCTTTGGGGCTCCAGTCCATGCCTCGGGTCGTACGGTACTGCAGGCTTCTTGGTTGCCAAGAGGCAGACCACAGGCCTTCTTGAGGAGGACTTTACGTTCAAGTGCAGAAAGCAGCCAAAATTACCATCCATGGGACTGAGCCTTCTGTGGCCCTGGCGAGACTTAAAATTTGTGCCAAGGCAGGACAAGCTCACTCGGAGCAGCGTGTCAGTCACTGGGGCCTATGCATGCCAGGCAAGGCCGAGCTGGCTCAAAGAGCAACCAGCCACCTCTGCAAGGGTGCGCCTAGAGCAGGCAGAGCATCCAGCACCTCAGCCACACAAGGAAGTGGGGATGGCCAGCTTCCCACAGCTTGATTGGCTGCCACCTAATTGCTGATGGAACAGAGGCCTTAGGAAAAGCAGATGGCACTGTGGCCCTACCTTTAGGGTAGAAGAAGTGATGTACATGTCCGGCTGCTAGTTGGTAGCTCGTGCCCTTGCTCCTGGCACACCCTTGCAGAGGTGACTGGTTGCTTTTTGAGCCAGCTTGGCCTTGGCCGGCATGCCCAAGCTTCAGTGCAACAACTGTGCTACAAATGGAGCCATATAGAAACGAGCAACAGGCTCAGGAGCAGGGTGTGCACTGCCTTTGGGGCTCCAGTCCATGCCTCAGGCATCATATGTCACTGCGGGCTTCTTTGTTGCCACGAGGCAGATCACAGGTCCTCTTGTGGAGGACTTTACGTTCAGGTGCAGAAAGCAGCCAGGATTGCCACCCAGGGCACTCGGCCTTCTGTGGCCCTGGCCAGACTTAGAATTTGTGCCAAGGCAGGACAAACTCACTGGGAGCAGCGTGTTATTACCTGAGGCGTGCGCATGCCACGGAAGCCCAAGCTGGCTCAAAGAGCCACCAGCCACCTGTGCAAGGGTGGGCCTGGACCAGTTGGACCAGCCACCAAGCTCACCTACTCAAGGAAGCAGGGATGGCCAGGTTGCAACAGCCTGAGTGGCTGCCACCTGATAGCTGATGGAGCAGAGGCCTGAGGAAAATCAGATGGCACATTTAGCTCTTTAATGGATCTTAAGTTAATTTTTCTATAAAGCACATGGCACCAGTCCATGCCTCAGAGCTCGTATGGCACTGCGGACCACAGCAGGCCGAGTTCCCAGGGTGGCAATCCTGGCTGCTTTCTGCACTTGAACATAAAGTCCTCCTCAAGATGACCTGTGGTCTGCCTCTTGGACCTACCTTTAGAGTAGAAGAACGGATGTACCATGTCCTGAAGCAAGTGAGGTTGGTGACTGGTCCACCTTCTCCTGGCCCAGCCTTGCAGAGGTGGCTGGTTGCTCTTTGAGCCAGCTTGGCCTTGCCCAGCATGCGCAAAGCTCAGTGCAACTACTCTGCTACAAATGTAGCCACAGAGAGGAAACGAGCAGCAGGCTCAGGAGCAGGTTGTGCATTGCCTTTGGGGCTCTAGTCCATGCCTCAGGGGTCGGGTAGCACTGCGGGCTTCTTGGTTGCCTAGAGGCAGCCCACAGGCCATCTTGAGGAGGACTTTATGTTCAAGTGCAGAAAGCAGCCAGGATTACCATCCAGGGGGGCCTTCTGTAGCCCTGGCCAGACCTTGCAGAGGTGGCTGGGTGCTCTTTGAGCGAGCTCGGCCTCCCTGGCATGCACAGGCCCCAGGTACTAACACGCTGCTCTGAGTGAGCTTGTCCTGCCTTGGCTGCCACCTAACTGCTGTTGGAGCAGCGGCCTTAGGAAAAGCAAATGGCGCTGTAGCCCAACTTTAGGGTAGAAGAAGATGTACCATGTCCGGCCGCTAGTTGGTGACTGGTGCACCTGCTCCTGGCATACCCTTGCAGAGGTGGGTGGTTGCTCTTTGAGCCAGCTTGGCCTTGCCCGGCATGCACAAGCCTCAGTGCAACAACTGTCCTACAAATGGAGACACAGGAAACAAGCAGCAGGCTCAGGAGCAGGGTGTGCGCTGCCTTTGGGGCTCCAGTCCATGCCTCGGGTCGTATGGTACTGCAGGCTTCTTGGTTGCCAAGAGGCGGACCACAGGCCTTCTTGAGGAGGACTTTACGTTCAAGTGCAGAAAGCAGCCAAAATTACCATCCATGGGACTAAGCCTTCTGTGGCCCTGGCGAGACTTAAAATTTGTGCCAAGGCAGGACATGAGCTCACTCGGAGCAGCGTGTCAGTAGCTGGGGCCTATGCATGCCAGGCAAGGCCAAGCTGGCTCAAAGAGCAACCAGCCACCTCTGCAAGGGTGCGCCTAGTGCAGGCGGAGCATCCACCACCTCACCCGCTCGAGGAAGTGGGGATGGCCAGGTTCCCACAGCCTGAGTGTCTGCCACCTTATTGCTGATGGAGCAGAGGCCTTAAGAAAAGCAGATGGCACTGTGGCCCTACCTTTAGGGTGGAAGAAGTGATGTACATGTCCGGACGCTAATTGGTGACTGGTACACCGGCTGCTGCTTACACCTTTGCAGAGGTGGCTGGTTGCTGTTTGAGCCAGCTTGTCCTTGCCCGGCATGCACAAGCTTCAGTGCAACAACTTTGCCACAAATGGAGCCATATAGAGGAAACAAGAAGCAGGTTCAGGAGAAGGGTGTACCCTGCCTTTGGGGCTCCAGTCCATGCCTCAGGTGTCACATGGCACTGCGGGCTTCTTGGTTGCCAAGAGGCAGACCACAGGCCATCTTGGGGAGGACTTTATATTCAAGTGCAGAAAGCAGCCAGGATTACCATCCAGGGGGACCTTCTATAGCCCTGGCCAAACCTTGCAGAGGTGTCTGGTTGCTCTTTGAGCCAGCTTGGCCTCCCTGGCATGCACAGGCCCCAGGTACTAACACACTGCTCCGAGTGTGCTTGTCCTGCCTTGGCTGCCACCTAATTCCTGATGGAGCAGTGGCCTTAGGAAAAGCAGATGGCACTGTGGCCCAACTTTAGGGTTGAAGAACTGATGTACCATGTCCGACCTGTAGTTCGTAACTGGTGCACCTGCTCTTCCTTGCAGAGGTGGCTGGTTGCTCTTTGAGCCAGCTTGGCCTTGCCGGGCATGTACAAGCTTCAGTGCAACAACTGTGCTACAAATGGAGCCACAGAGAGGAAACAAGCAGCAGGCTCAGGAGCAGGGTATGCGCTGCCTTCGGCTCTCCAATCCATACCTCAGGGCTCCTATGCCACTGCACGATTCTTGGTTGCCAAGAGGCCAACCACAGGCCATCTTGAGAAGGAGTTTATGTTCCACTGCAGAAAGCAGCCAGGATCACCATCCAGGGGACTTGGTCTTCTGTGGCCCTGGCCAGACATAGAATTTGTGCCAAGGCAGGACAAGCTCACTCAGAGCAGCGTGTTAGTACCTCAAATCTGTGCATGCCAGACAAGGCCAAACTGGCTCAATGAGCAACCAGCCACCTCTGCAGGGGTGCGTCTGGAGGAGGTGGACCAGCCACCAACCTTACCCAGTCAAGGAAGTGGATGGCCATGTTCCCACAGCCTGAGTGGCTGCCACCTGATGGCTGATGGAGCAAAGGCCTTAGGAAAAGCAGATGGCCCTTGGCCCTACCTTTTTGTTAGAAGAACTGATGTTCCATGTCCTGCAGCGAGTGAGGTTGGTGGCTGTGCCCCCAGCTCCTGGCACACCCTCGCAGAGGTGACTGGTTGCTCTTTGAGCCCTCTTAGCCTTGCCCAGCATGCACAAGCCTCAGTGCTACTACTGTGCTACAAGTGGAGCCATATAGGGGAAACGAGCAGCCATCTCAGGAGCAAGGTGTATGCTGCCTTTGGGGGCTCCAGTCCTTGCCTCAAGGGTCTTATGTCACTGTGGGCTTCTTGGTTGCCAAGAGGCAGACCATAGGCCGTCTTGAGAAGGACTTTATGTTCAAGTGCAGAAAGCAGCCAGGATTACCACCCTCGGGACTCTGCCTTCTGTGGCCCTGGCCAAACTTAGAATTTGGCCGTAGACAGGACAAGCTCACTTGGAGTAGCGTGTCTGTAGCTGGGGTCTGTGCATGCCAGGCAAGGCCAAGCTGGCTCAAAGAGCAACCAGCCACCTCTGCAAGGGTGCACCTAGAGCAGGTGGAGCAGCCACCAGCTCACCCACTCCAGGAAGCCGGGGTAGCCAGGTTCCCAAAGCCTGAGTGGGTGCCACCTAATGGCTGAAGAAACAGAGGCCTTAGGAAAACCAGATGGCACTGTGGCCCTACCTTTATGGTAGAAGAGCTGATTTAGCCTGACTGGCAGCGTGTGAGGTTGATGGCTGGTCTGCCTGCTGCTGGCACATCCGTGCAAAGATAGCTGGTTGCCCTTTGAGCCAGCTTGCCCTTGCCCAGCATGCACAAGCCTCAGTGCAACAACTGTGCTGCAAATGGGGCCATATAGAGGAAAGGAGCAGCTGGCTCTGGAACATGGTGTGCACTCCCTTTGGGCCTTCAGTCCATGTCTCATGGGTCGTATGACACTGCGGGCTTGTTGGTTGCCAAGAGGCAGACCACAGGTCATCTTGAGGAGGACTTTATGTTCCAGTCCAGAAAGCAGCCAGTGGTACCACCCAGGGGACTTGTGCTTCTGTGGCCCAGGCCAGACGTAGAATTTGACAAAGTCAGGACGGTCTCAGTCAGAGCAGCATGTCGGTCCCCGGGGCCTGTGCATGCCAGGCAAGGCCAAGCTGGCTTAAAGAGCAAGCAGCCACCTCTGTTAAGGGTGTGCCTGGAGCAGGTGGAGCAGCCACCAACCTCACCCACTGAAAGAAGCAGGGATGGCCAGGTTCCAACATCCTGGGTGGCTGCCAGCTGATGGAGCAGAGGCCTGAGGAAAAGCAGATGGCACTGCTTTGTGGTGCTCTTCTTTGTCTCTCTTGATCTTTTTCAGTTAATGTCTGTTTTATCAGAGACTAGGATTGCAAACCCTGCTCTTTTTTGCTTTCCATTTGCTTGGTAAATATTCCTCCATCCCTTTATTTTAAGCCTATGTGTGTCTTTGCACATGAGATGGGTCTCCTGAATACAGGACAACAATGGGTCTTTACTCTTTATCCAACTTGCCAGTCTGTGTCTTTTAACTGGGGCATTTAGCCCATTTACATTTAAGTTTAGTATTGCTACAGGTGAAATTTATCCTGTCATGATGTTGCTAGCTTTTTATTTTTCCCATTAGTTTGCAGTTTCTTTATAGTGTCAATGGTCTTTACAATTCGATATGTTTTTGTAGTGGCTGGTACTGGTTTTTCCTTTCTACGTTTAGTGTCTCCTTCAGGAGCTCTTGTAACACAAGAATGTGGATTTATTTCTTGTAAGGTAAATATGTGGATTTATTTCTTGGGACTGTATTCTATGGCCTTTACCCCAAGAATCATTACTTTTTAAAATGCAATTCAAATTAGCATAAAACATTTACAGCCTATGGAAAGGCTTGTGGCATTAGAATCCTTATTTATAGGATTATTTTGTGTTTTTTTGAGATATGGTCTTTGTCATCGAGGCAGAAGTGCCGTGGTTTGATCATAATTCACCACAGCCCTGAACTCTTGAGTGCAAGCCATCCTTTTGCCTTAATCTCCCAACCAGTTGGATCTACAAGCATAAGGCATCATGCGTGGCTAATTTTTTCACGTTTTTTTTTTTTTTTTTTTTTTTTTGTCGAGATTATGGTATCACTATGTTGCTCTGGCTGATCTCAAATGTTTGACCTCAAGGGATCTTTCTGCCACAGCCTCCTTAAGTGCTAGGATTATATGCATGATACACCATGCCTATTGTAGAGTATTACATTATTTTCAAAGTCTTATTGTAAGAGCCATTTATTGCCTTTGGCCTAAATAACTCAATATAATATCTCTGAAACTTTTTTTTGACAAATTTTGGGGCATGATGATGAGAGAAGGGGGTTTGAAACTTTCTAATAAGAGTTAACTTAGAGCCATTTAAGAAAGGAAAAAACACAAATTATCAGAAAAACAAAAGTAAGATCAAGTGCAAAAGTTCTGTGGCAAAGATGATGAGAGTAAAGAATATATGTTTGTGACTCATGGTGGCTTTTACTTTGTTCTTGCATTTCTGAGTACGGGTTAACATTTAAAGAATCTACATTATAGATAACATTTTATTGCAAGTAAATGTATTTCAAAATTTGTTATTGGTTTTGTATGAGATTATTCTCAGCCTACTTCATTATCAAGCTATATTATTTTATTAATGTAGTTCGATGATCTTACAGCAAAGCTGAAAGCTGTATCTTCAAAATATGTCTATTTGACTAAAAAGAAGTTATTCAACAGGAGTTATTATCTATGAAAAAAATACAACAGGAATATAAAAAACTTGAAGAGGATAAGAAGATGTTGGAAAAAGTAATATTAAATCTTAAAAAACATATGGAAAGTACACATTGGTGAAGACACATTGGTGAAGTACAAAAATATAAATTGGATCTAGAAGAAAGGGCAATTCAGGCAATAGAAAAATTAGTAGAAATCCCTTTAAAGGTTAGTTTGTAAAATCAGGTAAGTTTATTTATAATTTGCTTTCATTTATTTCACTGCAAATTATATTTTGGATATATATATATATTGTGCTTCCTCTGCCTGTCTTACAGCAATTTGCCTTGCAGAGTTCTAGGAAAAAGGTGGCATGTGTTTTTACTTTCAAATATTTAAATTTCCATCATTCTAACAAAATCAATTTTTCAGAGTAATGATTCTCACTGTGGAGTCATTTGATTATTAAGACCCGTTGGCATAAGATTACATCCTCTGACTATAAAAATCCTGGAAGAAAACCTAGGAAATATTCGTCTGGACTTTGCACTTGGCAATGAATTTATGGGTAAGTCCTCAAAAGCAATTGCCAGAAAAATGAAAATTGACAAGTGTGATTTAATTAAACTAAAGAGCTGCTTCTGCACAGCATGAGAAACTCTCAAGGGGGATTGAACAGACAGCCTACAGAGTGGAAGAAAATATTCACACACTATGCATACAGCAAAGGCCTATTATCCAGAATCTATAAGAGACTTAGACAAATCAAGAAGCAAAAAATAACCCCATTAAAAAATGGGCAAAGAACATGAACAGACAGTTTTCAAAAGAACACATACGTGGCCAACAAACATATTAACACATGCATACCATCACTAATCATTAGAGAATGCAAAACAAAACATCAATTAGATACCATCTCACACCAGTTAGAATGACTTCTGTTAAAAAGTAAAAATAATAAAAATATTTAAATATTCAATAATAAAATGTTATTTAGGTTGAGATAAATTAATTTGTCATTATTCTCAAAACGTGGATATTCAAGATTAACCTTACTTCACATGTAATAACACAACAACTACCTTAAAAAATAAAAGCTGGGGCCTAGCACAGTGTCTCAAGTCTGTAATCCCAGCACTTTGGGAAGCTGAGGTGGGCCTATCACGAGGTCAGGAGTTTGAAACAAGCCAGGCCAACGTGGTGAAACCCCATGTCCACTAAAAATACAAAAATTAACTAGGCATGGTGGTGGGCACCTGTAATCCCAGCTATTTGGGAGGCTGAGGCAGGAGAATCATTGGAACCTGGGAGGTGGAGGTTGCAGTGAGCTGAGATCAGGTCACTGCACTCCAGCCTGGGCAACAGGGCGAGACTCCATCTCAAAAATAAATAAATAAATAAATAAATAAATAAATAAATAAAATTAAATGAAGAAAAACAAAAGCTGGAAGTTCTATGAAAATATTAATGCACATACCATCTTTTGGAAATGTTCATGGTTTCTCTAGAGATTTCAATACCTAAATACCTATTCTAGCTTATTATAGTAACCTATAATTTGTATTATACCAACTATGGTATAAGAACCTTAAAATGTATATTTTTGTTTCCTCTCTCCTTTATACTATTTATATCATGCATTATAGTCTCAAATATTATGAATTCCATAATATAAAGTTACTCTTTTTTAAAAAAAATAAGACAATTATCTTTAGAGCAATGTAAAATAATTGGGCTATATATCTTTATATCTTCTCTGGCACTCTTTATTTCTTTGTGTAGTTTCAACTTTCATCTGCTTCCATATTCCTTTTGCCTCAAGAAATGATTTTGACATTTATTTTAGTGCAGACCTGTTAGCAAGGGACTCTTGCAGTGTTAATCTGAAAATGTCTTCATTTCATTGTTATTTTCACTATATAGTTAATGGATGTAAGATTGGGGGTTGACTTTTTTTAAGTTATTTAAAAATTTTGTATCATTGGTTTCTGACTTGTAGAGTTGCTGACACGCAGTTCACTGTAATGTCTATTTCTGTTTATCTCTCTACACAGTGTTCCTATTTTTCTGTGACTGAATTCAAGATTTTTGCTAATCGTTGGTTTTCAGCAGTTTGGCTAGTGTGATTATTCTAGCATTCTTTAAATTTTGTATTTATCTTTCTTGGATCTTTTTGAGTTTATTTGGTCTCCTTAGTCATCTTTTTCAAATTTTCCTTCCCTTACATTCTGTTTTTACTCTCCTGGAATTCCAATTAATTGTATTTTACTTAATTTCATGTTACCAGAGAATTCTTGGATTCACTGGAGTATTTTATTTGCTTGGCTCATTGGTTTATTTTGTTTTTCTCTTTCCTCCCTTTGTGCTACCATTCAAATAATTTGTATTGACCTAGCATAAAATTTACTGCTTCTTTCTTTAGCTCTGATGACCAGTCTGCTAATCAGCTTGCTGTTGTAATTCTTCATTTCTGTTCTCATGCTTTCACTTATTTCTAGCTTTTGCCTTTTACTGTTCCCATCTCTGCTGAAATTCCTCATTTTTCCATACATGTTGTCTTTTTTTAAGTAGATTCTTTAACATTTTGATCATTATTATTTTAAATTAGTTGCGTTTAGTTCCAACATCTGAATTATCTCTGAATTTGATTCTGTTGACTTTTTATCTTTTGAAAATATTATAACTCATAACCCAAATTTCTAACTTGATTTTATGTGTCTCCCAATTTCTAAAAAGTGCAGATCATCAGATGTAGAAAATCAGTAGATCATGAGATAATTGTTTATGTTGAGATTGTTTTATATTTATGTTTCATTTTGGTTTGTGTCATGCTATTAGTGTGGGCAGGAACAAAGGTTGGTTTTTGCCACGGTGTCTGAAACATTCAGTGAACCACGTAACTCAGATTTCTCCAGCAGCAGGCTGCTATATCATGTGCCTTGTGTGGGGCCTTAGGCTCTGGAGGGCATATTCCAGTGCTCCTGTTCCAGTTATCTTTCCGTAGTCCTTACCACATATGTCATAGGAGGGTCTCTCTCCACTTTCTTGTTCCTCTCTAACTGTAGAACATCATTTTGTATGTGTGTGTGTGTGTGTGTGTGTGTGTGTGTGTGTGTGTGTGTGTGTGTGTGTGTGACTAGGCAGAAAATTCAGGTTGGGGGCAGAGGGATGATTCATGTTATTTTTGAGCCAGTTTCATCATTGGACACTCAGAGAAGGGGTATTTTTAGCACTTCCTGACTCTTATTCTAGTGGGAATCAAACTGTCTCTTATCTGTGTTGTTTTTTGAGGAAGAAATGATACCTTGCCCTCCTCCCACCTCAGTGGTAGAAAACCTTTGATTTATATCATTGCAAGTTTTCAACCCCACACTAAGGACATACTATTTTATTTCTTCTTCCATAGGAACAATGTACCTTTGTCTGTGTCACTGGATGGAGATTTTCCAACCCTTTACCACAGTAGCACAACTCTGCATTAGTGCAAAATCCTGGGCCCCAAAACAATCCTTGTTCCTCTCCTGATGGAGAAGTATTTTTCTTGCATCCCTCCCCCAGAAGCAGTGATCCTTTGCCTGGTCTCAGGTGGGATAGGGTAGGGTATGAGAGGTTTCTTAACCTTCTCGGAAAGCTGATGTGTTTTGCTGCTTCTTATCTCCCAGAAACAGTAGACTTTTGCGTGGGTTCATGGACACAGATGCTTTTTTTGCCACAGAAAACGAAGGGTTTTGATTCTTAGGAGAGAAGCAAATGTTCATGTAGTCAATTTTTTTCTTATTTATTTTTTGCTTTGTTTTATTATTTCAGTAGTGATGAGTATGATCATTATTTTCCACTTATGCCACTTGCAACTCTAATATTTTGTTTTTATTAGCCCCCCTTTGACAGTTCAGCACTAAATCAAATGCAGATGATCATCAGTTGTGTGAATAAAGTGTTTTTATTGAGAACAAAATTGTTGATATAGACAGAAATTAGGATATTATCCTACTTAGCACAATATGTCACTGGCTCAAAATGTAAAATCCTCTTTAGGCTGAACAAAGAATGGTTCTTAAAACTATTGTCCCTTTTTGACAAATAAAAAAAAAACCCAATGCTTTTTATCTCATGGATAGATTATTAAAATAATTACATACCTGATCTTCATTTTATGTTCTCTCTCTTCAAAATATTTCCTTCAAAACTACTTTGACTGATTAGTCTCTTTTGAATTACGTTAGACTTTGTATTTTCTCCACAAGCTCATCAGGGTAAATCCTGCCTTTACATTTTTTATAAAAATTCTCTTTTTTTTTTTCAAATCTTAGTTGAGCTGAAAGATTTCCACCAAATGTCTCCTATGCCACAAAGCCTTATTTTACTTATCTCCCCATCCTCCTTGCTCAAGCTCATTTAGGAATGTTTTATTAAAACATTAATGCAATACTGTTTTTTAAAAAATCTGAACATATAGTATTTTCAATTTGAACACAAAATAGTGCTCTAACTTGAAAACAAGTTTTAGAAACAAATGTTTCTAGAAGGAGGATCAACAGTGTCATAAATATCATAATCCAATTCTCCTGTTTGTACTAAAACATTAGCAAATATTTATTGAGAAATTGCTGTCTGCCTGAAAGTATAATGCTTTTTGATACACATTATATCATATAAACTATGTACTATTATTTGTAGTATCTTAAGAGTAAAAATATCGAGTCTTAGAGATGTTAAGCAATGTGCTCAAATAGCATAGGGAAAGTTGGAATTCTGAAATTCCGACTATGCCATAGGTATGATAGGAGAATCAATGTTTGTCAAATGTAAGTGTCAAGTCATTGTGGGGATTCAGATGCCTCTGATTGCTAGGGTCAATAAACTTAAGTAGATCATGTCACTACTTAGTTAAATCTATTTCATTAAAGCAAAATTCCACAAAGATTATTGGCACCAAAACCATTATTTTTCTTCCTCCCTTCCTTCTTTCCTTCTTTGCTTCCTTCCTTCCTCGCTCTCTCGCCTGCCTTTCTTTCTTTCTTTCTTTCTTTCTTTCTTTCTTTCTTTCTTTCTTTCTTTCTCTTTTTCTTTCTCTTTCTTTCTTTCTTTTTCTTTCTTTTCTTTCTTTCTTTCTTCTTTCGAGACGGGGTCTCAGTCTGTTGCCCAAGCTGGAGTACAGTGGCACAATCATGGCTTACTGCAGCCCCAGCTTCCCCAGGCTCAGGTGATCCTCCCATCTCATCCTCCTGAGTAGCTGGGACTACAGGCAAGCCACTATGCCTGGCTAATTTTTTTTTTTTTTTTTGGTAAAGATTGGGTTTCACCATGTTGCCGAGCCTGGTCTGCAACTCCTCAGCTCAAGCAATCCACCTGCCTTTGCCTCCCAAACTATTGGGATTCCAGGTGTAAGCCTCACGCCTGGACAAAAATATTATTTAACAAGTTCAATTTAAGTATTAGATTTTGGACAATGAGGGATAGAATTTTCTACATCATAATTCATCTTGTGTTCTTTATTTAAAGTAATACATAAGGATTTCAATTCAATTCAAATATATTTATTAGCAAATTAAATGGCTTTTTCAGGATTCCAAACTTTTGTTGAAGACATAAATGTTAAATGATGTCACTAATTTTAATTAGATTAACAAAAAGGTATTCTGGTGTGTAATAACAGTGACAGAATGGGCTATTAATTTTATTTTCTTCCTCTTTCTCTCTTTCCCCTTTTTAAAATATTTTACTTTTTAGGCGCTTTGGAATCCTGCAGATATAATAATGATAATTAAACAAAACACTCAGAGAAACTGCCAACCCTAGGATGAAGTATATTGTTACTGTGCTTTGGGATTAAAATAAGTAACTACAGTTTATAGAACTTTTATACTGATACACAGACACTAAAAAGGGAAAGGGTTTAGATGAGAAGCTCTGCTGTGCAATCAAGAATCTCAGCCACTCATTTCTGTAGGGGCTGCAGGAGCTCCCTGTAAAGAGAGGTTATGGAGTCTGTAGCTTCAGGTAAGATACTTAAAACCCTTCAGAGTTTCCCCATTTTTTCCCATAGTTTCCCCAAAAAGGTTATGACACTTTATAAGAATGCTTCACTTGTGAAAAACAAATATCAAAGTCTTCTTGTAGATTATATTTAAGGACAAATCTTTATTCCATGTTTAATTTATTTAGCTTCCCCTGTAGCTAATATTTCATGCTGAACACATTTTAAATGCTGTAAATGTAGATAATATAATTTATGGATCATTAATGCCTCTTTAGTAGTTTAGAGAAAACGTCAAAAGAAATGGCCCCAGAATAAGCTTCTTGATTTGTAAAATTCTATGTCATTGGCTCAAATTTGTATAGTATCTCAAAATATAAATATATAGACATCTCAGATAATATATTTGAAATAGCAAATTCCTGTTAGAAAATAATAGTACTTAACTAGATGAGAATAACAGGTCGCCATTATTTGAATTGTCTCCTATTCGTTTTTCATTTGTTGTGTTACTCATGTTTTACTTATGAGGGATATATATAACTTCCGCTGTTTTCAGAATTATTGTATGCAGTCAGTATGAGAATGCAATTTAAGTTTCCTTGATGCTTTTTCACACTTCTATTACTAGAAATAAGAATACAGTAATATTGGCAAAGAAAATTGACCAGTTCAATAAAATTTTTTAGTAAATCTGATTGAAAATAAACATTGCTTATGGCTTTCTTACATCAATATTGTTATGTCCTAGACACCTTATCTGAAATTACGGCTTCAAAATTCTAATTATGTGCAAATGTGTAAAATATCAATACTTTATGTTCAAGCTGGGGCCTCTTCAGGCGTCCTGGGCTGAGAGAGAAAGATGCTAGCTCCGCAAGCCGGAGAGGGAACACCGCCACATTGTTACACGGACACACCGCCACGTGGACACATGACCAGACTCACATGTACAGACACACGGAGACATTACCACATGGAGACACCGTCACACAGTCACACGGACACACTGGCATAGTCACATGGACGGACACACAGACATATGGAGAAATCACATGGACACACCACCACACTATCACAGGGACACAGACACACGGAGACATCACCACATGGACACACTGTCACACTACCACAGGGACACGAGACATCACCACACTGTCACATGGACACACCATCACACACATGAACACACCGACACACTGCCATATGGACACTGGCACACACACTGCCACACTGTCACATGGACACACCTCCACACCATCACACCACCACACACACTGCCATGTGGACACAAGGACACACAGACACTGTCACACAGATACACAAAACACTGTCACACGGAGACATCACCATGCAGATACACCACCACATGGACATAGCACCAGACACTCTGCCACACAGATACACCACCACACAGAAATGCAGACACACTGCCACACAGACACCACCACATCGTTGCCACACTTTCATGTGTCAGCTGGCGGTGTGGGCCCCACGACTCTGGGCTCTAATCGAGAAATTACTTGGACATATAGTGAAGGCAAAATTTTTTTTTTTATTTTCTGAGACGTAGTGTCGCTCTGTTGCCCAGGCTGGAGTGCAGTGGCGTGATCTCCGCTCACTGCAAGCTCTGCCTCCCGGGTTCACGCCACTCTCCCGCCTCAGCCTCCCGAGTAGCTGGGACTACAGGCGCCCGCCAACTTTTTGTGTGTTCTTAGTAAAGACGGGGTTTCACCTTGCTAGCCAGGATGGTCTCGATCTCCTGACCTCGTGATCCGCCTGCCTTGGCCTCCCAAAGTGTTGTGACTACAGGCGTGAGCCAGCGCGCCAGGCCAAGAATTTCTTTCCATCTCCTGTGTCATTGCTTTGGCAGTGGAAACGCACGTGGCCTCTAAAGAGTGGGTCCCAAGGTCATGAAGGCCTGTGGGGTGGAGGGCATGGTCTCTCCTTCCAGGCTGGAATGGCGGAAGATGCGGCGGCAGAGGGGCTGCATGTCCTCCTCACAGCAGGCCCCTGAGGACCTTTATCCTCCTGAGCCATGAATGTCCCTCAGGAGTGTCTAAAGCACCCGGTGGGGCAGGGGGACCCCTATAGGCCTTAGGAGCTCTGGCCAATTAGTGGTCAGTAAAACGCAGAGGTGAACACCATAGAACCACAGGTCCAGGAGAATTTTGTAAAAGCTCTGAGGATGCCCTTTTTTGTTCTCCCACTGCAAAATTGTTTTAAAAAGGAAAAAAATCCAGCAATGTCTGGGGAAAGTCAATACTGAGTGTCAGGGCGGGATGCTGCCGCTGATAAGATCCCGGCGTCCTGGCCGAAAGTGGCCTCGGGGACCGCATCTCCGCGCACCATGGCAGCAAAGGCCAGCGGTTTGTGGGCGGATGGTGTCCCTGTGGCCATCCCCGCTCCTGAGTGCGGAAGGACAGACAGGAGCGGGGACTTCTGGGTGTTCCTGGTGTCAGCCAGCTTGACGCCGTTGCTGCTCCTTGAAGTCCGGGATTTGGAGAAGCACCTGGTTCTTGATGGAGGCCGTGGGCCTCTTGGTCCCCGCTTACCAGGCAGCGGCGCCAGCCTAGTTCTTAGCCCCGCCCTGGATGGGCGCCGCCTTCCATCACGCCAAAGACTTTCCAAAACAGCCCTTCTTGGGCCTGGGAAGCAGATCCTGGGCGTCCCTGGGGCCTGTGGCGCTGGCAGCAGCTCCACGTTGAGGTGGCCTGCAGCCCGCACTGCGGAGTGCTGGAGGTCCTTGAGCCGGGCGTGGGGAGGCCAATCCGCAGGTGCTGGGCGCCCGGTGCCGGTCGCAGTTTCAAAAGCGCCTGGAGGTGACATCCAGGAGCACCACCGCGCCGCCTGCAGGGAGACCCATGGCGAGGCGCGCCCCCTAAGGCGGCCAAGGAAAAAGCAGAAGGACGGGAAGGTGCCCCAGAGCTCGATCTCAGGCCGCAAGCACCGACCAAGTTCCTGGTCTCCGGGAGGTCTTTTTTTTTTTTATTTCTTCCATATTTCATCATTATTATTATTAACTTTTCAAGATGGATTAAAGACTTAAATGTTAGACCTAAAACCATAAAACCCTAGAAGAAAACCTAGGCAATACCACTCAGGACATAGGCATGGGCAAGGACTTCATGTCTAAAACACCAAAAGCAATGGCAACAAAAGCCAAAATTGACAAATGGGATCTAATTAAACTAAAGAGCTTCTGCACAGCAAAAAAAAAAAAAAAAAAAAACTACCATTAGAGTGAACAGGCAACTTACAGAATGGGAGAAAATTTTTGCAATCTACCCATCTGACAAAGGGCTAATATCCAGAATCTACAAAGAACTTAAACAAATGTACAAGAAAAAATCAAACAATCACATCAAAAAGTGGGCGAAGGATATGAACAGACACTTATCAAAAGAAGACATTTATGCAGCCAACAGACACATGAAAAAATGTTCATCATCACTGGTCATCAGAGAAATGCAAATCAAAACCACAATCCGGGAGGTCTTGCCAAAGACCACCTGGGCTTTCCGGGCAACGTGCTAGAGCTTCTGGGAAGCAGTCGTGGCCCTTTGGAGATTCCACGGCTTCGGATTCCTACTGCAGGATGCTCCACTGTGTCTGCCGGCCTCTGGCGTTTTGCTGAGGGGTAACCTCGGAATGGCTAGAAACAAGAACACTGAGATGGCCCAGTCGTGCCCCAGGCATTCCCGCACACGTGGTGGCAAAGAAAGGCGCGCAGACAGAGTGCCCAGTCAGCTTGGTCAGAGTTCTTTACAGGTTAGTGACAGACTTGGTCCCGCGCTTGTGTCCTCTCATGTTTTCAGTTAACCTGCGGACCCCCAGGGGCTCCTCCATCTCCACCGTGTTCTCCTCGGGCTGAAGCCCAAAGTCCCCCATTTTCTCCTCAAACAGCTCTCAGAGCCACTTCTGCAGGCAGGCGGACAGCGCGTGGACTCAGTGTCTGACTTGGGAAGCCACCTCTGAAGGAACTGCTGGGTGACTATGGTCGTAAGTCAATCAAAGCAGACTTTCCCTGGCTTGCTGCGCTACATTGATTTTGTTTTCGTATTTTAAAAGAAGCAGAAGGGAGGTCCTAGGAAATTTGCCCAGTGCAGATGCTGACAAGAGTGGTGACATGAAAAAGATTACCCAGAAGGAAAACAAGAGCTATTTTCTAAACATCTGAAATCTGTGTAGGCTTTTGGAAAAGTGAAACTAGATGCAAAGCACAATGATGTAATTCTGGCAATTTCCACTGACACAGAACTCAGTCAATCTGAATTAATCTAAGGGTTACAAGGAAAATGGCACTCCAAGAAGTACCTATTAACATCACTCAGCTGCTGTGAAATAGGCTTACAGGCAACATGGAGTGTCAATGATCCAGTGTTTAAAGTCAGTGATACAGATTGGACTAACATATCTAAGGCTCATAAAGTCTTCTTTAAAGGATTGACAGATGGTTTATCTGATATGTAGACCATGATTCTCAGCAGTTAACTAGCACAACTTGCTAATATCAATTGCTTGAGAAAATCAGATAATTGCTTGAGAAAATTAGGACATTGCTTTGAGGAAGTTAGGTAATTAAATAAATTACTTTTTTTAAGAATAGTTTAACATTTTGGCAAGTAGACTTTAAAGTAGATTGGTAATATTTTAAAGGCTACTTTTAAAGAAATAGCAATATAACATTTAATTATAAAAATAATGTTGGAAACAATTCAACTTTCTATCACAGATAATTTCACAAATATAGAAATACCATCTCAATAATTAGAAGAAGTAGCAGCAATTTCTGTCATTTTTATGCAAGTTACTCCTAGTCCATTTATTTGGTTTTAAATAGTGTTTTTAAAATTTGTTTTCCAACAGGGCTAATCATAAATAATAGAATATATTTTACAATAGTTGAAGGTAACAAAAAGTAAGTGCCATTTAAAAAATTGTATTAGATTGTTTAAAAATGTTGTGGGTACATAGTATGTGTATGTATCTGTGGGGTCCATGAGATGTTTTGATACAGGCATGCAATGTGAAATAAGCACATCATGGGGAATAGGGTATCCCTCCCCTCAAGCATTTATCCTTCAAGTTATAAAAAATTCAATTGCAGTCTTAGTTATTTCAAAATGTACAATTACATTATTATTGAATATAGTCACCCTATTGTGCTATCAAATAGTAGGTCTTATTAACTCTCTATTTTTATACCCATTAGCCATCCCCACCTTCCCACAACACCCCCTGCCGCTACCTTTCCCAGCCTCTGATAACCATCCTTATACTCTCTGTGTCCATGAGTTTGTTTTGATTTTAGATTCCACAAATTAGTGAGAACATGTGACATTTGTCTTTCTGTGCCTGGTTTATTTCACTTAACATAATGATCCATAATGTTCCATCAATGTTACTGACCATGACTGGATCTTATTCTTTGTTATGGCTGAATAGTCGTCCGTTGTGTATATGTACCACATTTTCTTTATCCATTCATCTGTTGATGGACACTAAGGTTTCTTCCAAATCTTAGCGTTGTAAACAGTGCTGCAACAAATACGGGAGTGCAGATATGTATTTGACATACTGATTTCCTTTATTTTTGGTATACACCCAGCAGTAAGATTGCTAGATCATATGGTAGCTCCACTTTTAGTTTATTGAGAAACATCCAAACTGTTCACCTTAGTGGTTTTACTAATTTGCATTCCCAGGAGCAGTGTACAAGAGTTCCCTTTTCTCTGCATCCCTGCTAGCATTTGTTATTGCCTGTCTTTTGCATACAAGTCATATAAACTGTGGTGAGATGATATCTTGTTGTAGTTTTGATTTAAATTTCTCTGATGATCGGTGATATTGAGCACTTTTCTTATACCTGTTTGCCATTTGTAGGTCTTCTTTTGAGAAATACCTATTCAAATCTTTTGCCCCCCTTTTTTTAGCTAGGTTATTAGATTGTTTCCTAAAGAGTTGTTTGAGTTTTCTATATATTCTGATTATTAATCCTTGTCAGATGAGTAGTTTGCAAATATTTTCTCCCATTCTGTGGATTGTCTCTTAACTTTGTTGATTGTATCATTTTCTGTGCAGAAGCTTTTTAACTTAATGTGATCCATTTGTCCATTTTTGCTTTGGTTGCCTGTGCTTGTGGGGTATTGCTCAAGATATTTTTGCCCAGACCAATGTCCTGGAGGTGTTCCCCAAAGTTTTTCTGTACTAGTTTTATAGTTCGAGGTCTTGGCTTTACATCTTTAAACAACTTTGATTTTACTTTTGTATTTGGTGATAGATACTAGTCTGTTTTCATTCTTCTGCATATGGATATCCAGTTTTTTCAATACCATTTCCCACCAGTGTATGTTCTTGGCACCTTTGTCAAAAATGAGTTCACTGTAGGTACATTTGTACATTTGTTACTGGGTTCTCTATTCTGTTCCATTGATCTATGAGTCTATTTTTATGCCAGTACCATACTCTTTTGGTTGCTATAATTCTGTGGTATAATATGAAGTCAGAAAATATAATTCCTCCAGTTTTATTTATTTATTTTTGCTTAGGATAGTATTATTTCTTATAGTGAAAGCATTCTATGTTATTTATTATTAGTCTAATTTTGTAGTTTTACAATGCTATCCTCTTTTACAAAGCTATGATCAACTCAGTGTGTCCAGATCAGGATCATTTGTAGCTATTTGCAAAAGTAGCAATATTCTGGCTGGGCATGGTGGCTCATGCTTATATTCCCAGCACTTTGGGAGGCCAAGACAGGCAGATCACCTGAGGTCAGAGGTTCAAGACCAGCCTGGTCAACATGGTGAAACCCTGTCTCCAATAAAAATACAAAAATTAGCCGGGGATGATGGCAGATGCCTGTAATCCCAGCTACTCAGGAGGCTGAGGCAGGAAACTCACTTGAACCCGGGAGGTGGAGGTTGCAGTGAGCCCAGAATGTGTCATTGCATTCCAGCCTGGGTAACCAAGCGCGACTCTGTCTCAAAAAAGAAAAAAAAAGCAATATACTGTGTAATCGTTGACAGCATAATTCACTATTATGTAGATCGGAGAGCAGAGGATTCTGAATGCATGAACATATCATTAACATTTCAACACATTACTCATAATTACTGATGAACTAAAGAGAAACCAAGAAATCATGGTGATAGTTATATTGACCTGGAGAAATGTAGACACAAAAGAACCGTAAGATGAGAAATGTGTTAACACAGTCTATAAGGGCATGCAAGAATAAAAATAGGGGAGAAAACAGGAGAGTTTTTCAAGAGCTTTCTGGTCATGTAAGTCAACTTGTATCGGTTAATTTTTAAAAGGTTTATTTACATGCAATAAACTGCACATACTTCAATTGTACATTTTGGTAATTCTTGGCATTTGTAGCTCTATAAAACCAGCAACATATTAAAATAGCAAACATATCCATTACCTTTACCACCAAAGTTTTCTTGTGTTTTTTCTACTCACTTTTTCCTGCCTATCCCCCCATCTCTTCCACAGGTAACCACTGATCCACTTCCAGTCACTATCCATGAGTTTTTATTTCCAAATACATGAAATCATATGGTATGTATACTTTCTGATCACTCAGCATCACTATTTTTGTGATTAATTCATGTTGCTACATCTATCAGTTGTTCTGTTCTTACTAGGGAGTGTTATTTCATTATATACGTATACCATAGTAAGTTTATAAGTCACAAATTCACCTGCCATGGACATTTGGAATGTTTTCAGGTTTTGGCTGTTGCAAGTAAAGCTGCTATGAAGATTCATGTAAAATCCTCTGAATGGGCATATGCTCTTAGTTTTCATCTCTAATAGAAGTGGAATAGACAGCTATCATGTCTGTAATATGCAAACACAAAGGCTGACAAAACTGATTTCTAAAGTGGAAACTCCACTGGATAACCTTGACTCCAGCCTGGCTTTTGAGATTATCTCCTATGTTTGTGCAATGATTGGTCCTGGGGTAGCCACATGACCCAAGGAGGACCATGTTTAAACTTCTGAGTTTTCATCGAGATTAACATGCATTTGTTGAAAGAGAAAGCCCTTTTCTTCTAATCCCCCAACTGCAAATGCTTTCAGGGATCACATCATGTTGGCACATTTGGTTACAGTGTTTCCTAAACTTCGAGGGTAAAAATTGTTCAAGTAGGTAAAAATGGAGCAAATACAGAGAAAAAAGGAGTCCAGAAACATCAAATAAAAAAGAAAGGGCCTCCATAAAATCATTTGAACTTATGATTAATTCATTAGTCATTAAAACAAGTTTAATGTACAAAGAGTCATCCCCCCAACCACCCTTTATTCCTTCACCAAGTTTAAGTTACATTTTTTTAACTTGCAAACAAAAGATTTGTCATTAACTTAGACATCAAAACTCCTTGTCTCCAAGAGCAGTCATTCAACTCTGTCCCTCTCATTGTTACAATAATATGTTCACTTCATTCTGCATACACCTGCTCTTTGCCCTTGTCTCCCTATTCTATTCTATTAAAGTTACATCCAGACATTTATTTCATTTTGTATCAAAGAAACTGTATACATGTTTTTAATCTTAGAAAAATTTCTGAGTAATTTTTTGTCTCATATTTGATTTTAAGCCACCCAAGAAGCATTATTTTTTCATTTAGTATTTTAACTTTTCTAACCCAGGACTTTTATAGTAGATATTATGTCTTTTTCTAAATGCTCTGCTTCAATTTACATTTTAAATCTAAATTTTAAAAAGTGTACGTTTTCAATATTTGCATCATGTATCTCAGGCCTAAATATCCCTTGATAACCAATCCTGCCTTTTTTTCTCTGCATTTTTCACATATTTCAATAGGGAGCTATATCGCCTGACACAATAAAAGTTTTTGCCAATATAACATAACACATAGGCAAAATTTTGTTTCCAAGTGATTGATGATGTGGTGCCTTCAGTCTAGTCCCAATCCCTCAATGTAATCATCATCCCTATCTAATGAAATATGAAATAAATATTTCACTTTGTTTCTAAAATTCAGCAGACAAATATATAGCCTGTCACATACAGCCTGTAACACCAACATATAAAAATGAAAGCAGTTCCTTCTCCACTCCCACTGCTTCACTTGACTAGCCTTGAAAAATAATAACAATAATAAAAAATGAAAGCAAAATTGTTCCTTTATTTATCTTTGCAATTTAATGGATATACTGTCAGAAAAGCTCTTCTATATATATGGAGGGCCTCTATAAAATATAGACTCTTAACTAGAAAAGTAGACTTACATGATGGTTAAATTAAAAACACAATTATATATAGTACCTTCACAAATGCACCAGTACTTATTTCAGAATGCATGATGTAATTGACTAAACCATTTAGGGCTAGACCTCTGAAATAAAAGGCATTCACACTTTGTGATTCTAAGGGGAAAATATTATTCAAAATAGAAGCATGCAGAACCTTTACCTGATCATGATAAAAAAATTTTCCTACTTGTTGTGAATATGCCACAGCTTTTCAAGGTCAGCAAAAAGAGATTATCCCACAATATAAGCTGATGGCCAAAATTATCTGCCTTACTTTAGTTACCATAATATCTATTAAGTGTAAATTTCTTCTGAAAGAAAACAGATACATTTTTCTCAGAAATGTCTTTAGATGAAGATCTAGCACATCTGTTTTTCTAACTTTTGAAAATTTTGTTTTTATCGATAAATATATATGGGGTACAATGTGGTACAATACATGTAAATATTGTGAAGTGGACAAATTAGGCTAAATAACATATCCTTCACCTCAGATATTTATTACATTATGGTGAAACATTTAAAATGTACTATTTTAGCGCTTTTAAGATATGCACTATATTATGAGTAACTGCAGTCACTTTGCTGTGTACCATATCACCAGAATGTATTTCTCCTAACTGAAGCATTATCCCATTGAATATTTCCCCTTTTTCCACCCCCGCCACCCGACCTGCTCAGCCTCTGATAAACCACCATTCTACTCTTAACTTCTATGAGTGCACATTTTTGGATTTCACATGTAAGTGGTATCATGAGATATTTGTCTTTCTGTGTCTGGCTTATTTTACTTAGTATAATGTCCTCTAAATTCATCCACGTTTTTGCAAATGACAGAATTTCATTCATTTATAAAGATAAGTAGTATTTTTGTATGCATCCTACATATGCTTTTAATTTTCCACAGCTTTATTGAGATATAATTCATACATTATGTAATTCACTCATTTAAAGTACAAACTTCAAATTCTTTTAGTATATTAACTGGGTGGACAAATAATCTTCATAAGATAATTTTAGAACATTTTAATGCCCTTAAAAGAGACTTGCACCCATTAGCAATCTTTCCCTATTTTTTCCAGCCTTTTTAAAACCCCTCCTAGTCTAGGTGACCACTCATCTAATTTCTGACTATGAATTTGCCTATTCTGGACATTTCACATAAACGGAATCATAATAACACATAGTCATTTCTTACTCACTTCTTTCGCTTAACATATTTTTAATGTTCATCCATTTTGGAGCATGCATTAACACTTTTTTCCCTTTTGTTAAGAAATAAGATTCTATTTTATAGACACACCACATTTTATTCATCCACTCCTCAGTTGATGAACATTTCTGTTCTTTTCTACTTTTTGTTGCTATAAACATTTGTGTACTACTTTTTGTGTAGCATTTGTTTTCTTTTCTTTTTGGTAAATACATAGGAGTGGAATTGCTGGGTCATATGATAACTCTATGTTTAACCATTTGAAGAACTGCCAGACTGTTTTACATTTTAAGGTCTCACCAGTGGTGTAGAAGGGTTCCAATTTTTCCACATATTTTTATCCATTCTTCAGTTGATAGGCACTTAGGTTGTTTGTAATTCACGGCTATTATGAATATTGCTGCAATGAACATGAAATTGCAGATGTCTCTTTTTGACATATTGATTGAAATTCCTTTGGACACATATCCAGAAGTGGGATTGATGGATCATAGGGTAAATATATTTATAATTTCTTGAGAAAGCTTCGTACTGTTTTCCAAGATGGCTGTACTAATTTCCATTCCTACCAACAGTGTACAGGGTTTCTTTTTCTCCACATCCTCACCAACACTTATCTTCCATCTTTTTTTATAATAGCCCTAGTAAAATGTGTGAGGTGATATCTCATTGTGGCTTTGATTTGCACTTCTCTGATAATTAGGAATGTTTATGATTTTTTCATGTACCTGGTTGGCCTTTTGTATGACGTAGGAAATGTCTATTCTGATTCTTTGCTTATTTTTTAATAAGCATAGTTTTTTTCTTATTTTTGAGTAGGTTGAGTTGCTTATATATTATTATATGAGCCCCTTATCTGATGTATGGTTTAAAAATATTATCCCATTTGTGGGTTCTCTTAATTCTATCATTGCTTCTTTTCCTGTGGAAAAGTTTTAAGTTTTATGCAGTCTCATTTGTGTGTTTTGCTTTTGTTGCCTTTTGGAATAATCTACAGAAAATCATAGCTCAGGCCAATGTCATACAGTCTCCTTCTATATTTCCTTGTAGTAGTTTTACATTTAAACTTTAATTTTGATTTGATGCTTGTATAAAGAGCAAAATAAAAGTGAAATTTTATTCTTCTGTATGTGGATAGTCAGTTTTGTCTACACCATTTATTGAAAATAATTTTCTTTCTTCACTGTGTATTTTTAGTTATTTTATCAAAAAATCAATTGACCACAGACACACGGATTTATTTACAGGTTCTATATCCCTTTGTACTGTTTTACGTGTCTGTTTTTATGCCATTGCTATGCTGTTTTAATTCCTATAGCTTTGTAATAGAGTTTGGAGTCAGGTAGTCTGATGCCTCCAGCTTTGTTCTTTTTGTTCAAGATTGCTTTGGTTGGTCCAGGTCTTTTGTGGTTCCATACAAATTTTAGCAGTAATTTTTCTATTTCTGTGAAGAATGACATTGGAATTTGATAGTGGTTGCATTTAATCTGTAGATTGCTTTGGGTAGCATTGACACTTTTACAATACTAATTTTTGAATCCATCAATAAAGGATGTTTCTCCATTTATTTATGCCATTTTAATTTTTTTCATCAATGTGCTATAGTTTTCAGTATGTAAATCTCTTATGGTTTTGATTAAATTTACTCCTGTCTTTTATATGTTTATATATCTGTTTTGATTCTATTATAAATTGAATTGCCTTTATTTTTCAGGTAATAGTTTGTCATTAGTTAATAGAAACAATAATGATATTTGTATGTTGATTTTGTAACTATTAACTTTATTGAATTTCTTCATCAGCTATAACCATTTATTTTGGTGGAGTCTTTAAGATTTTCTCTATCTTAAGATTATATTTTCAAAAAACAGAAACAATCTTACCTCTTCCTTCCCTATGTGGATTTCTTTTACGTCTTTGTCTTGTGTAACTGTTCTGGCTAGGCAATTACACATAATGTTTTCATCATTTATAATTTTACATCGCATCCATCTATTGTGGCACATTGATTGCTACTTTTCAAGTTGTAAACCTGGACATTTATCACTACTCTTCCTCCAATACAGGAGTCCATGGCGTGGTGTGGGCCCTACTGTGCCACAGTCCAGGGCACGGCTGGGCTGAGGTTCTCTTGTGCAAGAGTCCGTGGCTCTGCGGAGCAAGAGTTCTCCAGTGCCTTAGTCCAGGGTTAGGCAGGGGTGGGGCTCCTTCAGTAGCTTAGTCCAGTGCGCCGCCCTGCGAGGGTCCTCCTGAGCAGGAGTACACGATGAGGCAGGGTCCTACTGTGCCTTAGCCCAGGAAGCGGGGGGCTGGGTCCTCTGGTGCCATAGTCCAGGCTGCCGGGAGCTGGGTCCTCTGGTGCCATAGCTCAGGCCGGCGGGAGCTGGGTCCTCTGGTGCCGTAGTCCAGGGTGCAGCAGAACAGGAGTCCTGCGGAGCAGTAGTCCAGGGCGCGCTGGGGCGTGGATCCTCAGGTGCCACAGTCCAGAGCGCGACAGGGCAGGATTCCTGCCTTGCTATATCCAGGGTGCAGCGGGGCGGGGGTTCTCTTCTGCAGGAGTCCAGGACGTGGCAGAACGGGAGTCCTCCGTGTAGGAGTCCTCCGGTGCTGGAGTCCAGAGCACAGTGAGGCTGGGTCCTCCCGTGCCATAGTGTAGGGCATGGCGGGACAGGGATCCTGCCCTGCGATAGTCCAGTGCCTGAGTCCGCAGTAAGGCAGTGGTCCTCCAATGCTGGAGTTCACGGCGTGGTGGGGTCACGGTCCTTCAGTGTCTTAGTCCATGGGTACCAGGGCGGGGGTCCACAGTTGCCATAGTGAGGACCTGGGAGGAGTGTGGTTCCTGCCTCGCTGTAGTCCGGGGAGCAGGGGGCAGGGGTCCTCTCTTGTCAGAGTCTCTGGCGCGGGGTGGGGGTGGGGTGGGGGTTTTCCTATGCGATAGCCCACGGGGCGGTGAGGCCAGGTCCTCGCTTGCCTTTGTCGTGGGCGCAGGGGGACGAGGGTCTTCGGTGGTGGGGTCCTCGGAGCGGCAGGGCAGGGGTCCTCCAGTGCCATATTCCAGGGTGCGGCGGAGTGGGCGACCTGTCCTGCAGTGGTCCAGGGCATGCGGGAGTGGTGGTCCTCCTGTGCCATAGTCCAACGCGCGGCGGGGAGGGGGTCACCTCGGCCTGCAGTCCACCACGCACGAGACCCCGGTCCTGCTGTGCCCCAGTCCAGTGCGCGGAGGGACGGCAGTCCTTCTGTGCTGTAGTGCAGGACGCGGTGGGGCAGCCGTAACCCAGAGAGCGCCGTGGCAGGGGGTCCTCCAGTGCTGGAATCCAGTTCATGGCGGGTCAGGGGCCTTATTGTTCCGAAGTCGGTGGCAAGGATCCTCCCGGGCCATAGTCTAGGGGGCGACGGGGCAGGGTTCTCTAGTGCAGGTGTCCAGGGTGCGGTGGGGCAGGAGTCCTCTGGTGCAGAAGTCCAGGACGTAATGGAGTGGGAGTACTCCAACGCCAGAGTCCAGGGCTCTGCGGGGCGGGGTTCCCCCATGCCAGAGGGTAGGGCGCTTTCAGGCGAGGGTCTTGGCGTGCAGTAGTTCAGGGTGCGGTGGGGCAAGGATAGTCCAGATCTCCATGGCGGGGGTTCCTCTGTGCAGGAGCCCAGTGCCCGGCGGATCGGGGTCCCTCCGTGCTGTAGTCCAGGGCACGGCAAGATGTGGGTCCTCTGGTGCCCTATCCAGGGGGCGGTGGGTCAGAGGTTCTCCCCTGTCTTGGTCTAGGGCCCGGCGGGACTGAGGTCCTGGAGTCCACGCGGTAGCCCAAGTTGCCTCAGGACCAGGTCCTCTGGATCCACAGTCCAGAGCACAGAGGGGCAGGAATAGCTCAGGGCGAGCCAGGGCCGAGGTCCTCGGGAGCCACAGTCCAGGGTGTGGAGGGGTGGGGGTTCTGCAGTGGCACAGCCAGGACACAGCGGGGCGGGGCGGGGATCCTCTGGTACCTTAGTCCAGGGCGGAGCCGGGGGAGAGGTCCTTCAGTAGCATAGTCTAGCGCATGGCGTTGCAGGGGTCCTCCAGTGCCTGAGGCCAGGGCGGGTCGCGGGTCCCACTGTACTCTCGTTCAGGGCGGAGCAGGTCTGGGGTCTTCTGCTTCAGTCTAGGGCGCTGGAGAGTGGGGGTCCTCTGGTGCCAGAGTCCATGGAGCCATGGGTCGGCGTCCTGCCATGTCTTAGCCCAGAACGGGGAGAGGCGGAGATCCTCCTTTGCCCTAGTCCAAGGCATTGTGAGGCCCCGCTCCTGCACAGAGGCGGTCTGTTCCTCTACCGCCGTGGGGAAAAACTGCACCATCTCTGGCAAGCCTAACCCAGCAGCTGTCCTTAAAAGATTCCCAGTTGAGTGTGGTTCAGAGCAGCCCTGAGAAGTGTGCCCTTAGATGGCTTCAAGGGCTCTGGGCAGTGTTTAAGGAATCCAGCTGACCTCAGTTACTCCAAGCCCTTTTCCACTCAGCAGAACTTCTGGCCACCCGGGTCCTCTATCTGTGGAGCCCTTCTATCATCCCAGATCCCCACAGGGTGGACTCCCTCTCATCCTCACAATCTCAGCTCAGGCCTTATTCATCACCGCATTCCTGGCACCAGGCCTGGCCCATGAGAAATGGGTCAGATTAAGAGCTAAATGTGTTTTCATGGTCACTTGTTTTCTTCAGGCCTCCTTTCTTTGTGCCAACATCTTTGGGTTTCTGGTTAAAGTTTTCAGCAGCTGCATGCGGTTCCATTTTTCTTACCAGGTAAGAGACATAGCTTCATGAAAACAAAGGCAGAACGCTTGTGACCAGAGAACTCCCAGTCCTCTCCCTGCATAGGAAAACTGGACTTCTCCGGAAGGCTCCAGCTCCTGGGCAAATCTCTAGGGCCACTTAATTGGGCTATCCCCCACCTTTGTTTCTGGTTTTGAAGGGACCAAAGTTGGGAATCCTTTTTCAGTCTCTACACACGGAGCCCTTCTTTGGTGGGAAAGTCTTAACATATACCAGGATTCTCACTGACCTTTCAGAGCCTTCAAGAATCCTGAGCTGCTTTGGCTTCTGTTCCTGGAAGAGAGGCCACTGAACTGCTCTGGAGCTGGATTTCAAGTTCAGATATTCATCACTGTTACTAAGCCTTTACATAGCATGTGATTTCTTTCTGGCAGGCTCATGGTCACCTAGGTTTGCTTATATGTAGATGGAGGGTCTGCATCCTCATTCAGGTAACACCCTCAGTCTTTCATGCTGAGATTGGCCATTTTATTTGTAACTCACTGTACAATCCATTTGCTCTTCGAGTGTCCCTTAGAAGGATGCAGAGTGTTCTGTAGAATGCCATAGAGACCTGGGTTTAGGGAAAATATTTGACCAAATGTCCACCAACTCACATGAGTATCTCCCCACAACTTGTACAGTGCTAGTCTCTGGGTATATAGTAAATGAAACCGTGCCTGAGCAGATGTTACAAACACCCTCCACTGTGAGACTGCAGGGCTGCTTTATTCAAGCAACAGTGTGCTCTAATAAGGTCAGAGTTGAGAGAAACAAGTTTTCATTCCAGCTTTCTCAAAAACTCCCTTTGTGACTTTAGACATCATAATAACACTACCTAAGTAGTGAACACCTCTGTGCCAAGAAATATCATGGTCATTGCCTGAGTTGTAATTCTCACAGTAGTCCTACAGGATAGCTGCTATTACTGCTTATTACGCAGATGGACAACCTGAGGCTCAGATGGAGTTAAGTGGCTTAATTGGTAGCAATCGAGCCAGGATTTGAACCCAGGGCTGCCTGATCACCAAATAAAATTGTATTCAACATGATGCACTTAACTTTTCTGGCCTCATTTCTCTCACCTGTAAAAATGCAGGTTTCAGATGTTTGTAATATTTTACCTGTGGTTTAAAGAGTTACCAGCCCTTCCTCGATGACCCATGGTAAGACCCATGAGCCTTTGAATATAATTATAGAAAACATTTGAAGAGGGATAGAGAAAGACGAGATCATGGCTCCTTTGATAACGTCAAATTTTCAGTGCACTAAGCCATACATAGTGCAGTTTTCTAGCTTCCCTTTCACAAACGGTGTTGAAGAAAGTAAATTAAGCAACTCAGCTATCACTGGGAATGCAGTAGAAGTAATCAAGTCCAGTGCTGGGAGATAGTTGCCATGATATTCCAACATGGACACCAGGATCACAGTCGATGACTATGCCCTCCCTTGAAGATGGTGGCTTGCCTCTCTTTCTGTAAGCAAATGTCATGTCATAACAGTATTAAACAATTACAAGTAATGTCCCCATCTGCTTCTGCACTGCCTTTGAAATACTATTTCAGATCTGCCAAAATAAATGGCAAACTCGTTAACAAGAAAGCAGGGTGGGGGGTGCATTCATCCCTGCCTTCCTGAGTAGTCTATTCACCCAAAGACAAAAGGATGACCAGCTTCCATCAGGGATATTCAAAGACACAGTCAACCTGCCATGCAGCCAGAGGCTGGCAAAGGTCCAATCCCCTTTTTAAGAAGCTTGTTGGATGAGCTCT
Source organism: Homo sapiens (assembly GCF_000001405.40). NCBI lineage: Eukaryota > Metazoa > Chordata > Mammalia > Primates > Hominidae > Homo > Homo sapiens. The sequence continues at coordinate 19,358,716 of NC_000014.9, read as the reverse complement.
TTAAACATACAACCACAAAGGAAAGGCACAGCCAGTGTGAGGGAGGCTGATAAGATGGGCATTTTGTTTGCTTCAAGGTTAGAATGCAACTTGTCTATCAAAATGTGGTTATCTGACCTCCACAATGCTGCAGTCCAGTTAAATACTGCAAATATTCATCCACCATTTACTATGGATAAAACAATAATGTGCTGTGGGGAATCCAATTACACAGACACACACACACCCAAGAAAGTGCACACACACGTGGGCACACACACTGCTCCTGCTGCCTCAGAGCTTCCAGGCCGGCAAGGAGTAAGTGCAAACATTAGTAGGTAAGTCTGCTACCAGGAAGAATATGATAAGTAGATCCAACAGGGTACAACGCAGTATGATAGAAGCAAACGAGGTTGAGATGAGTTCTGACTCCCTTTCACTTATAAAACTGATTATGGAATAGTTTATGAAAGACTCGCCTGGATGAATCTCATATTTTCCAAGTGTTTTCTATCCCAGTGATTGGAACTTTTATTCCTCTATACCATTGTCCAAAAAGAAAGAACAGGAGATTTTCCTAAGACCATCCTCTGTCTTATCCCTCATATCCCAAACATCACCAAGCCCTGTCCACTTTTACCTACTCAGTTTCTCTCCACTTGCTCTATTTTCTCCATAAGCACTAGCAATACCTTGGTTACATGACATTCTGAGAAACTTCTTTGTGATGTGTGCTTTCATCTCACAGAGTTGAATATTTCTTTTCATTGAGCAGTTTGTAAACAGTCGTTTAGTAGAATCTGCAAAGGGACATTTGTGAGACCATTGTGGCCAATGGGGCAATAGGAAATATCTTCACATAAAAACTAGACAGAAACTTTCTGGGAAACTTCTTTGTGATATGTGCTTTCATCTCACAGAGTTGAACCTTTCTTTTGATTGAGCAGTTTGGAAACAGTCTTTTTGTAGTATCTGCAAATGGATATTTGGAGCACTTTGAGGCCTATGGTGAAAAAGGAAATATCTTTACTTAAAAACTAGACAGAAGCATTCTGAGAAACTTCGTTGTGATGTGTGCATTCATCTCACAGAGTTGAAGCTTTCTTTTGATTGAGCAGTTTTGAAACACTCTTTTTGTAGAATCTGCAAGTGGATAATTGGAGTGCTTTGAGGCCTATGGTGGAAAAGGAAATAACTTCACGTAAAAACTAGACAGAAGCATTCTGAGAAACTTCTTTGTGATGTGTGCATTCATCTCACAGAGTTGAACCTTTCTTTTGATTGAGAAGTTTTGAAACACTCTTTTTGCAGAAACCGCGAGTGGATATTTGGAGCGCTTTGAGGCCTGTGGTGGAAAAGGGAATATCTTCACATAAAAACTAGACAGAAGCATTCTGAGAAACTTCTTTGTGATGTGTGCATTCATCTCACAGAATTGAACATTTCTTTTGATTGAGCAGTTTGGAAACCGTCGTTTTGTAGAATCTGCAAAGGGATATTTGTTAGCCCATTGAGGCCTAAGGGGAAAGAGGAAATATCTTCACATGAAAACTAGACAGAAACTTTCTGAGAAACTTCTTTGTGATGTGTGCTTTCTTCTCACAGAGTTGAAACTTTCTTTTGATTGAGCAGTTTGGAAACCGTCTTTTTGTAGAATCTGCAAGTGGATATTTGGAACCCTTTGAGGCCTATGCTGAAAAAAGAAATATCTTCACTACATGATGACCACCAGCAGCAGCTGGGGAAACCAGCACCCTGTGGAATTCCATACGGTGCATAGAATACATCCTCCCTTCAGTCGGCTTGGGTCAACTTAGGTCATGGGCCACCTGGCTGATAGCAGTTTCCACAGAAATGCTTCAAGATGGTATAATAATCCAAATCTCTTTGCATGGGGCATGGTGTGGCTATCTGAGAAAAACCTGGCTTTTATAGGAAGGAGAAAGAAGAATGCTTCTTGAGGGGAAGAAACCAACAGCAATGTGCCTCAGGGAAATGTCACCAGAGGAGAGTGAGCTGTAATGACTATTTTGGCAGATTATTTCTTGTGGTTCTTGGGTTCCTTGGCCCTGCACAGAGCTACCATTTACTCATTTGACAAATATTTGAGTGGTAGACTCCAGGGTTCAATAGTGATCAAAAATGCACAGAATTTCTTCCCTAGTGGAGCTTAGAATCTAACAGAAAGAGCTGACATTAGTCACAAAATTATGTAATAAGGGAAAGTGCAGCAGACCCAGGTGTGCTGCAAGAGCCTGCGAAGGCAGACTGACCCCAAGACAGAGGCAGGAAAGGATGCCTCCAGGAAGCAGCAATTGAGCCAAAATCAGGGAGAAAACTAGGCAAAGACACAGTATTCAGGAGGAGGTAGAAGCTGGCCCATGAGGACGGTGGTGTGGAGAGGTGAACCAATACCCAGGTCCTTGGATTTATTGTTGAGCTGCTGAATGAACCAGGGCTGGCTCTTGCCCAACCTCTGCACTTCTTGTTTTGCAAGGTTATAAATTTTTTTATTTAAAAGCTAGTATGAGTTGGGATCTGTTGCTTTTCTGAGACCCCGTCCTGTGAGGTAGACAGGGGGCCTCACTGTACTCTGGGGAACTAAAGATGGAGAAGGGTTTTAGAGTGCCTGGAGAAGAGGCCCTTTAACGGATCATTTTAGAAGAGGGTGCTACTGCTAGACTGCCCAGATTCCCTTTCTGTCTTTGTGACCTTGGACTCTCTGTGTCTGTTTTCCAATCTGAAAAACAGAATAATGATAGTATCTGCCTCTGCCTGCAAGACCCTGACCTATCAGACCAACTACCTTTTCACTAGAACTCTCTTCTTGCACTGTACCCCAACTGGACCACTCATTAAAACTTAAAATGGGCATATTTTCCTTTTCTAGATTTTGCTCAAGACATTTCCCTCATCAAAATTAAATTTGGTCCATCTCCCCCTATTGGAATTAAACCCATTCTCCAGAAATCAGTTCAAATTTTATCAGCAGAAAGCCTCTCTCAATTACCCCCACCTTCTTTTATTCTTTGGGCCATTTCTGCTATCATTTCTGTTTTTCTTTTTTGCTACATATTGGTGTAGGTACATACGATCTCCACTTCCACTCAAATGTGAGGTTACTGCGGGCAGTCCCTATGGATATAGTCATATCCCAAGAGTCCTGGGCAGAGGGTTTCCCTCTTTCACCCAGGCTGGAGTGCAGTGGTGCAACCAGAGCTTACTGCAGCCTCAACCTCCTGGGGTCAAATGATCGTCTCAGCCTTTCCAGTAGCTGGTACTAAAAGCGGGCACCACCATGCTTGGCTAATTTTCATATTTTTCATAGAGACGGGGTTCCACCATGTGGCCTTGCTTGGTCTGAAAGTTCTGAGCTCAAGCAACCCACCTGCCTTAGCCTCTCAACGTCCTGGAATGACAGCATGAGTTGCCACACCTGGCTGCATGCCGAATACTTTAGAGTTGTTTATGCCTGACACTTCCAGGGCATGCAGAACTATGGTGGCATTAACCGACACATTAACCAACTGCCTCACTTACTTTTCTTTTGACTCAGTTTATAAATTTTCTTAATTTAAATTTTAATTTCAACATGTATATATCTTTGAAATAAATAAAATAAGCTCTTTGAATGTTTGACATAACGTAGAAGAAATTGACAAATGGACATCTTTACTTCATTTTCTGTCTCAAAATGTGGTACAAATAGCCTCCCCTAAAGTGATCCCAATTATTACATAGCCATCTTGCTGTGGCTAATGTAGAATGTTTTTGCAGTATCACATGCACGAAGGGCATATCCAAAAAACATTTGAGTGAAGATAATACTAGATTCTAGAAAGTATCTAGACACTTAAGAGCAGGTGGTGATGATGTTAATTAATAATAACAATGTTGAGGGGCTGGCTTCTGCCCTTCCCTAATAAGCATAAAGAGCATATAAACTCAGCAAATTTGCTCTTATTTTCTTCATTATTTGGTTTTTGAATCAGTAAATGCTTTCCACAGGGGTCATCTTGTTAGTCATCTTGTCATTTTGCTGTGTCCCATCTTCGTCCTTGCAATTTTTCCTTTTTCCCATTTTGGCATGTATTGAGAGGAGTGTTATGCTGATGAAATGCCCTGTCCTGAATTGCTATCTGATTAGAACTTCCCTCAATTTTTAAAATGCTTCTTGACATGGTTTGGATTTGTGCACCCCCCACCCCCAATCTCATATGGAATTGTAATTGTCAGTGTTGGAGGAGGGGCTTGCTGGAAGGTGACTGGATCATAGAGGTGGTTTCTAATGGTTTAGCCTCATCCACCTCGTGCTGTCTGATGATAAAGTTCTCCTGAGATCTGCTTGTTTAAAAAGTGTGTAGCACCTCCCCTGACTCTTTTCAGCCATGTGAATATGTGCTTGCCTCCTTTTCACCTTCTGCCATGATTGTAAGTTTCCTGAGGCCTCCCTATAAGCATAAGTCTGTACAGCCCACAGAACTGTGAGCCAATTCAATCCCTTTTCTTTTTCAATTACCCACTCTCATGTATATCTTTATAGCAGTGTGAGAACAGATTAATACACTCCTCCTCAGAAAGCATTCAATTTAGCTGTGTCTAAAGTATGCCAGGTGTTCTAGGGTGTTATCTTAGCCAATAATTCTTCCTCTTCAGCAAGATCTATTTGCCTATGACAGCTTGACCTACATTTCCTACCATACTTGTCAGTAACAAGTAGCCCATAACATCTGAATGGACTTCATTGAAATCACAGAGGTTCTTTAGTTCTCTACTTTATTAGCAGGCATTCGGGAAACACATCAACTTTCTAATTTAATAAGGTGCCTGTTGCTTTGAAAAACTGCTCAAAAGAAGATAGGAGAGGCTTACTTAAAGATATCACTATAGGCATGGCATGCTGGTTCACACCTGTAATCCTAGCACTTTGGGAGGCTGAGGAGAGAGGATCACTTGAGTCCAGAAGGTCAATACCAGCCTAGGTGACATGGCAAAGCCCCATCTCTACAAAAGAAAACAAAATCCAAAAAATATTTAGGCATGGTGGCATGTGTTGCATTCCCAGTTACTCAGGAGACTGAGGTGGGAGAATCACTGAGCCCAGGGAGGTTGAGGCTGCAGTGAGCCATGATCATGCTGCTGCATTCCAATCTGGGGACAGAGCAAGAGCCTGTCTCAAAAAAAATGTTATCACTGTACTATCTATAACTATTCTTAATTAGAATAACTAGGTTTTTTTCAACAGTGGAAACTCAAAACAGACAAAATTGTTGTACCTCAAGGTGTGTTGTCGTAGTCATATAATTCCTTTGCTTGTAACTGCCCAATAAATGGATGAGGACTCACTTCACCCATAAATAAGAAAGGTGAACAGCACATGGGGCCTGTAGATGCCTTTTGCAGGGCCCTCTTTTTCTCTTCCTAAAGTTGCAATTTGAGTATTTCTCTAGATGGGCACATCATAGAAACTGTCGTCCTAGATCAGAGCCTGGGGAGAGAGATACAGGTGTCATGCTTACATCTGCAGAGTGGGAACAAGCCCAGAAAAATCAAGATGATTAAGCAGAGAGCTTCCATACTGGAGATAAACCAGCTGTGTAAAAAATCATTGCACCAAAAAAGCATTGCACCATCGACATAACTGCTTTAACTAAGAAGTAAAGGAACTGATGCCCCAGCAGAGCACAGAGAGCCACAGAGACAGGAGCTGCATTTCAAACAAGGTCATTGCTGTTGTCCCCACCCTGAGTTAAGTATCTCTGCTTCACCCTTCCTTACCAAAGTTCTGCTTGATCATCCTTTTGTTTTGTTTTCTTTTTTCTGTACTTCACTTCTTTGAGAAAATATAAACCAAAACCTTACATAAAACAGGAATTGAGCTTTTGACAATGTTAGCTCTTGAAACAACCGAACAAAAAGGTTTCTATTATTTCTCATCTCTGTGCTACCCAGTACAGTATCCAATAGCCACAGATGACTATTAAAATTAAAATTAATTCAAAGAAAACAAAATTTACAATTTAGTTGGTCAGTTGTACTAGCCACATTTCAGTTACTCAATAGCCACATGTGGCTAGTGGCTACTGAACTGGCCAGCACAAATGTAGAACATTTTCATCATCATAGTTCTCTAGGCCATGGAAAAATTACTGAACTCAATTTCCAGTGTGCACATTTATTTGCGTACCTAGGAGCTTTTTGACCCTGTGTTGAGATGCCTAAACAGCTTCCTGATTGACCTCCTGATATTTCTGCAAATGTGGACTAAGAGGCCAGGATTCCTCAAGGCCCAGGTGACTCAGGTTATTCCAAAATTATATTTGGACTACCAGTCCTCTGCTTGATTTGGGATGCAAAAGGGGACTTCTCTCCCTAATCACTAAAGTAGCTTTTCAATGTCCCCCTCTCATCATGGTAAGAGTCTCATTTCTTGAGACTCATTTCTTTCCATGACTTATGTTATGTTTTGGAGAGAGTGGATTCAGACAGAAGAGCTGGCTCTGTGCTGGTTTTCCAGGGGTCAGCCCTTTTGTCAGCGACGAGTCTGCCTCTCTACATGATGTACATTGTGTCCCACTACTGGTAATAGAATCTCAGCAATTGATTGACTGTTAGGTTATTTTCAAAGCTCAATATTCACAATAATCTAAAAGACATCCACATAACCACGAGGACAGACAGGGCTCTCATAACCTGCAAAGGACAAGGTGCAAATTTCTTCTTTCCATCCCAGCAACAAATCGACAACTCAGCCAGCACTAAAAGTTGGGGTAAAAATTAATTAAAAGAAAAATGTATCAAGGATAGATAAAAGAACAAAAAAGCTATTGCAGCTGTCTTCTCCATGACAGAGGGCTGTGATCTGAATTTTAATGTTTTCATCTACTTTCTACTTTTGTGTTTCTTTTATTATTTTTTTCACTGTCTCTTATTTGTAGATACAAATTTTTAATATTTGAAAGCTATTTTAAATATAATCTTTAAAAGGAGAAACATTCTTTTTTTTTGCACAAAATACTGAAGGTGAGATCCACTGATTGCAATGCAACGGGACAATATATCTGGAAGCAATTTTATCCAGAAAAATCAATAGCTTTAAAACAATTCACAACCTTGGACCTAATACCTCTACTTCTAGGAAGCTAGCCTATGAAGGTTTCTGCTGAAGGATGTTTATCACAGTATTATTTATAATGTGAAAAAGCCAAAGAGGAGACCTAAAATGTTTCAAAGATGAAAATGGTTTGATAAAATTATTTTTTTTTTGAGACAAGGTCTCACTCTTGCCCAGGCTGGGGTGCAGTGGTGCAATCTCGGCTTACCACAACCTCCACCTTCCAGATTCAAGCACTTCTCCTGCCTCAGCCTCCCAAGTAGCTGGGAATACAGGCACACCCCACCATGCCTGGCTATTTTTTTGTATTTTAGTAGAGATGGGGTTTCACCGTGTTGGCTAGGCTGGTGTCAAACTCCTGAGCTCAGGCAATCCACCTTCCTCAGATTCCCAAAATGCTGGGATTACAGGTGTGAGACACCGTGCCTGGCGATAAACAACATATTTAAACTCTAAAATGTTATGCAAGCATTCCAGGCATGCTTTGGAAAAACTATTAATCCCACAAAAGATGCTTATGTAATTATATAGACTAACAGACCAAGATTCTCCAGGACACTTACTTTGTTAAGTGTCTGAAGTAAAATGCAATGCTGTATATAAAATGTGACCTGAAGTCAGGTCCCAGTCTTTTCATCTGGAAAATTCTGTTAATTATACTGCCCTTCCCCTTTATAGGTTTTCTGTAGGAGTTAAAATACACTTTTTCAATTGCTTGACATAATGCTCAACACTGGTAGGGGAGCTAAAAATGTCAGCTATTGTCCTATGTGCCAAAAAAAAAACCACACAGACAGACACACACACACACACAAAGACACACATGGAGGGAGAGGAAGTAAAGATTAGAAAGCAGCACATAGTGTATCGGTAGGCAATGGGACCACTAGTGATTTTCATATTCTTTTTTATTTTCTTCTTTATACTGCTTACATTTTCAGTGTTATATAATGAGCATGTATTACTTCTGTAATCAGAAGAAGGTGGTATAAACCTGACCTTAATATAATAAAACAAAATTACTGGCCAGGCACAGTGTCTCATGCCTGTAATCCTAGCACTTTGGAAGGCTGAGACTGGTAAATCTCTTGAGCTCAAGAATTTGAGACCAGCCTGAGCTCAGTGAGACAGTGAGACCTCGTCTCTGGAAAAAATACAAAAATTAGCCAATGATAGTGGTATACACCTGTAGTCCTAAGTTACCTGGGAAGCTGAGGTGGGAGGGTGGCTTGAGCCCAGGAAGTGGCTGCAGTGAGCTGTGACTGCACCACTGCACTTCAGCCTGGGTGAAAAAGCCAGACCCAGTCTCATACAAAAATAAAAACAAACAAACAAACAAAAAAGTTATTACTTAAATCTCACATGCTATCTTGGAGCCGTCTCAGTGTTGAGGGAGTCAAGAGACTGGAGAGACCAATGGGTGAGACAGGAGGATTTTATTAAAGTGACCACTTGCCCAGTGGATTTGCATCCAAAAGGCTGAGCCCGGAAAAAAGATGGGGCCTGTTTTTTAAGCATGCAGCTTTGCAAAACTTACAGGGCAGGCTTAGCAAGCTTACAGAAGCAGAACAAAGGCAGTTAATCAAACAGTGACAAGTGTATGACTCAAACATGTCTGGTGACCTCTGCTGGGCCACCCAGCAGGCTCTCAGCAGATGGCAACTGTTTTAGGCTTGCACAGGCATGTCTTGTGACCTTCTCAGGGTCACACCGATGGAAAACAGGAACTTAAAAAATCCTTACAAACTTACAGAAATAGTTACAAAAATAGTTATGAGAGCAGAGCAAAGAAATATTGGCCTGGGAAAGAATCTCAAAGGGGGAAGCTGATAAGAACTTGTTTTTCTCATCCCTGTTCCTGGAGTCCATTCCTTCTGGGCTCTTCTGGCCTTGTATATAAAGTTATCTTAGTCCTAGCAGGGCCTTGGACTGAGTCAGCCTGGAACAGGCCAGAACTTAGGTTTTTCTCTTTTTAATTTCTGCTTTAGTAGGCCAAGGTTCTGATTGTCACTGCTGAGAAAGTAAGGTGTGTTCAGGCTGCCCATGGTTCTGGGCTCCCCCACGTCTCTGAGGAGGGCTGTCCCCTCCATCACAGAGAATATCAGGACACTAGCCTGTTCCTAGTTATACTTATACACTCCTCTCATGTTGTCTGTGGAGTGGATGCTGCAGGGAGGGTGACATCCCAGTTAGTCCTAAGAGCCAGACTGCCTGAAGCTCACTGTAACAAGTCCTGCCTTGAGGAAGAAGGAAGTTTGCCTCTGTGAACCTCCCACCTGGGCCGAAGGGAAGCCACTCTCTCTGCTGCCTCTCCCCAACCTTTTCCTTCTGTGGTCCTAGTGAACCTCTCACCCCCTGCCTACAGGCCTGGAATCTCAAGACCATGATGACCTCTCATCACTCCTGAATCCAGAGCTTTCCCTTTACAAAGGGGAAACTGAGACCTGGAGCAGGGCTGATGTTCAGCCAGCGCACAAGGGAATGGCTGAATTGGTGGTAAAATACTGAAATAGTTCCAGTGTGGATGGAAAGGGGCCACTGCCCTGAGCATCTCTACTGCCCACCTCATCCCTTCCTCCAGGACCCTGGGTCAGCACCAGGAGTGTCAAAGTGGCCAGGATTGGCCGGAGCCCATGCTAATGGCTCTGCCAGCCCTTCTCCCCACCAGAGAGGGCAGGGGGATTCAGGCCCTCTAGAGGTAGCATTGTGACCGTGTCTGCAGTAGTCAATCCTTGTGTGCCACAGTCCCTGACTTTGTTGATAAGGGCATCAGCCTACATCCCTCTGGTACTCAGTGATAAGCATCTAAAATCTTCTTAAAGAAAAAATTTAAAAAGCTTTCAAAATATACGACTTAACATATGAGGCTGCATAAATATCTTTTTAGCAGTTGTCCAACTGGTGCTTCTGGTTCTGCCTCCCCAGAAAGTGGATGACCGGGCCACCCTCCACCACTGCCCTGTAAGACCATGGGACACACAGGCCACCAGTTCTTTTCATGTGGTCATCCCCTGTTAGATGGGAGAAAATACACCTGCCTCATTTTTGTACCTTCTGTGTGAACATTCCACGGCAGAGCTTCACTAAATGTGTGATGAAGAATTGAATGAATGAATGAATATGAGAGAAAATGAATAAATGGTTCAGATCCTGGGCTGGAAGGCTGTGTATGAGGATGGTGGGTAGAGGAGGGTCTGTTTTTCTTGCCTTTAAGTCACTAATTGTCACTTTGGGGCAGGAGCACAGGCTTTGAATGCAGACCGACTGGACTTTAATTCTGGCTTTACTAGTTGTGATTGTGTGACCTTGTGCAAGTTACTTAAACCCTCTGTGCCTGTTTCTTTATCTGTAAAATGGAGATAATAAGATGTCAAAGGACTGTGGTAAGAATTAAATGCTTTAAAAAAATCGCAGTTTGTATTAAGTCCTCAATAGATTGGGTTTAGCATCATGAGTGCATGTGTTTCTGGAGCAATGCTCATCTTGGGCTGCATGGTGCCTACACAGAGAAAGACTCTGGCCTCTTCTCATCCACATGTATCTGTCTTATGCCTGGTTCCCATTCCCAGATCCTTGGAAGATCCATATTGCTGAAACGGTGAAGGGTGATGGGCACCTCAGGACAACTAAGCTGCTCCCCAAACATCTTCCCCCTCCCAAACTCTCCTGTGGTCTTTCGCATTTAACAGGAATCTCTGGACACTCCAAGGGTTGATCCTCTCATGGAAGACCAGTGGGGAGGAGGCTGCGGGAAAGGTCAGGCACTGTGCACTTCCCTGACAGCTGCAAATGGTTGTTTCCAAGCCCACTGGTCACTACAAATAAGGCAAGTTATATGACATCATAATGTGATTCTTTGGTGCCTCAGTCCACACTGGCACTTTAATATTCCTAGAGTGGATTGCATGGTGGTCTATCAAAAGATATGTCTACCTGGAACATGTGAATGTGCCTTTATTTGGAAAACAATCTGCAGATGTAATTAAATCCAGCACCTTGAGATGATTAGGATGGGCCCTAAATCCAATGACAAGTATCCTTATAAGAAAAGCGGCAGGTAGGGCACAGTGGCTCACACATATAATCCCACCACTGAGAGAGGTCAAGGTGAGAGGATCATTTGAACTGCAGGCTTTCAAGATCTGCCTGGGCAACATGGTGAGACCCTGTCTCTCCAAAATGTATGTAAAATATAATAGCCAGGCATGATGGCACCCGCCTGTAGTCCCAGCTACCAGCTACTTGGGAGGCTGAGATGAGAGGGTAGCTTGAATCTGGGAGGTTGAGGCTTCAGTAAGCTGTGTTCATGACGCTGCTCTCCAGCCTGGGGGAGCCTCTCCAGCCTGGGGGGCCCCTGGCCCCTCCACAACCTGCGCTAGAAGAGCTGGGCCCTGGCTCTGGCACCATGCAGCCTCTGAGGTGAGGCTGAGAGCCAGTTTCTGCCCTCCTGCGGCTGGGGACCAACACCCCTGACTTAGGCGTCGTGGAGGCTTCTGGCCCAAGGGTCCGCGCTGCTGGTGGCGCTGGCAGGGTCAGAATTTGCCACAGCTGCTGCTGCGCGCCTTGTGCAGGTTACCACTGCAGCTGAATCTACAGCAGAGGCAGGCAGGGCTGGTCCCAGACAGCCTGGGGGTCGCTGAGTGGACGGCCCTTTCACCCTAGAGTCAGCTCTTTCTTGTAGGTGCCCAGATCAGGGTGTGCAGGGGCTGGGCACAGGGCAGCCGCCAGGAAATGGCTGAGCTGCCGGTTCCCGCCCTCCTGAAGCTGGGGCCGGACCACCTGAATTGGCCGCTGGGCGGCGCCTGGCCCTGGAGTCCGCCTGGCTGGCGTGAAAGCGTGGTCTGGGTTTGCCATCAAGGCTGCTCCCCCGCCATGTGCAGGTGGCTGCTGCAGCTGAGCCCATGACGGAGGCTGGCAAGGCGTTTCCCAGGCAGCCTCAGGGTCATTGAGTGGACCACTATCCCACCCTAGGGTTCTCTGTTCCTTTGCCTGAGCCCAGAGTTCCGGGTCGCGGGCACTGGGAACTGTGCAGCCAAGGAGACTGGGCCGAGGGCAAAGGTTTCTGCCCTGCTGCAGCTGCGGGGCTGACTGCCTGAATTAGGCGCTGAGGCTGCGTTGTCCCCGGTGTCAGGGCTCTGGTGCAGGCAAAGTGCCGGGTTGCTCTGCTGCTGTCGTGCCCTTGTACAGGTGGCAGCTGCAGCTGAGCTCTCAGTAGAGGTCGGCAGGGTTTGTCCCAGAAAGCCTGAGGATCGCGGTGTGCACCACCCTCCCAGCCTAGGGTGCACTCTTCCTTGGCACGCGCCCAGAGCTCGGGGTTTCGGGCGCTGGGCCCTGTGCAGCTGTCCAGAATAGGCTGTGCGGCTGGTTCCCGCCCTGGCAAGGCATCCAGCCATGGAATCTGCACTGCTGTTGGGGGCAGGCAAGGTCGGGGGATGGGGGTGTGGTTTCCACCATTGCTAACGGGCGCCACCTGGCGATGGTAGCTGCAGCTGAGAGCATGGCAGAGGCTGGCAGGGCTGGTCCCAGACACCCTGAGGGTCGCTGAGTGCACCGCCCTACCACCCTAGAGTCTCCTGTTCCTTAGACTGCTCCCAGGACGTGGTGTGCGAGCGCTAGACACTGAGCAGCCTCCAGGATGGGGCTGAGCGGCCGATTCCCGCCTTGCCGCAGCTACAGTCTGAATTAGGCGCCACCGCATTATCTGGCCCTGGGGTTCGTGCTACTGGTGGCATGGACAGAGATGGGGGCTGCCACAGCTGCTATGGGGCTGAGCAGCCGATTCCCGCCCTCTTGCAGCTATGGGACCGGCCACCTGACTTAGGTGCCTTGGAGGCGTCCGGCCCTGGGGTCTTTGCTGCTTGTGTCTGAGGGCAGGGTCAGGGCTGCCACTGCTACTGCCGTGCACCATGCACAGGCGCCAGCTGCAGCTGAGCCCAAGGCAGATGCTGGCAGGGCTGGCCTGAGGCTGCCCAAGGGTGGGTGAGTGCACCGCCTTTCCACCCTAGGGTCCGTTATTCCTAGACCAGCGCCCAGATTGCGGGGTCGTGGGCGTTGGACACTGTGCAGCCATGAGGATCTGGTTGGGCGGAGATTCCTGCCCTCCTGCTGCTGAGAGGCCAACCTCCTAACACGCGCTGCAGTGACTTCTGGCTCTACAGTCTGCGCTCCTGCTGGAGCTGGCAGAGACCAGAGCTGCCACCGCTGCTGCTTCCAGGAGTGTGCAGGTGGCAGCTGCCGCTGAGCCCGCGGCGGAGGATGGCAGGGCTTGTTCCAGAAGGCTTGAGGGTCCCCGAGTGCACCGCCCTCCCACCGTAAGGTCCAGTCTTCCTCGTCCGCGCCCAGAGAGTGGGATTACAGGCGCTGAGCACAGTGCAAGCGCTGGGATGGGGCTGAGCTGCAGGTTTCCTCCCTCTGGCTGCTGGGGGGCCGACCGTCTGAGTTAGGGGACGCGGCGGCTTTTGGTCATGGGGTCTGCACTGCCGGTGGCTTGCACAGGGTCGGGGGCTGCCACAGCTGCTATAGTTCACCGTGTGCACGTGGCAGCCGTCTCTGAGCCCACCGCTGAGGCTGCAGGGCTGGCCCGGTCCCAGACGGCCTGAGGGTCATTTGCCCGCGCCCAGAGCACCGGGTGGCGGGAGCTGGGCACTGTGCAGCCTCCAGGAATCCGCTGAAGGGCGGGTTGCAGCTCTCCTGCAGCTGTGGGCCGACTGCCTGACTTTGGCCACTAGGTGGCCTCTGGCTCTAGGGTTTCGGGGCCGCTGGTGTCGGCGGGCAGAGTCCGGGTTTGCCACCGCTGCCCACAGGCTCACCATGGCCTGACTAAATGCTCGCACTGCTCATACATCCACTTTTAAAAATTGGGTTGAACATGAGAACATAATCATTCATATTTTATCCATTTGCATGTATTCAATAACATCCTTTCGCTGTTCTTGTCTCTGCAGCCTTTTTCTTTAAAGAATGAATGTTTCCATGTTTTACATCCACAGAATTTCTGGTTTTTCCTGTTGGAGCCCAAGGAGCAAGGGCAGAATGAGGAACATGATGTTTCTTACCGACAGTTACTCATGACGTCTCCATCCAGGACTGAGGGGGGCATCCTTCTCCATCTAGGACTGGGGGCATCCTTCTCCATCCAGTATTGGGGGTCTTCCTCCTCCATCCAGGACTTGGGGGTCATCCTCCTCCATCCAGGACCTGAGGGGTGTCCTTTTCTGCGCTTCCTTGGATGGCAGTCTTTCCCTTCATGTTTATAGTGACTTACCATTAAATCACTGTGCCGTTTTTTCCTAAAATATATGGGGTGTGTTTTTTGTTCTCACTTCTGTTAGTCCTTTGGTCCCTAGCTCCAGTTTTTTTGTAATTTCTTTTGCAACCTAATATGAGTCCCATTTAGTAAGTATTACATATACTAGGAAATGATGTATATTCAGCATTTGTTGTGATTTTAAAATCTTTTATAAACACATAACATTTTTGTCTATTTCCCATTTAAATTCAGAAGTATGAGTTCCCGCGTCCCTCTCTAGACCTGCTCTTCCTGTTAGTTTCTTTGTATGTCCTGGAGGCGAGGCCAGCATTGGACTTGACGTTGCTTCACCTACTCGGTTCTATGGTCCCTCCATGTGCAGTGTCTATCCTGTTGTTCATTATTTCTTCCTTAAATTTTACTTGAACTAAAATTAATTTTGTGGTAGCAGCTTGCTTTCTGTGAATATTTACTTAAAATTTTTATTCCCATTATTTTTCTTTCTTGAATTTGAAAGTGCTGCTTTGTTACTGATATTTTGTATTTTAATATATGAGGTTAATCCTTCTATGTTTGGTAGGAAAAAGTGATATATTTGAACTTATTTCTAGCATTTGATTTTGGATTTTGTATCCCAAAGCTTTATCCTCAATTCTCTTTTCCTTTCTTCAGATTTCTTTTCTTTTCTTTTTTTGGGGGGGTGGGGGATGGAGTTTTGCTCTTATTGCCTAGGCTGGAGTGCAATGGGGTGATCTCGGCTCACCACAACCTCTGCCTCTCAGGTTCACGCGATTCTTCTGCCATAGCCTCCGAGTAGCTGGGATTACAAGCATGTGCCGCCACACCTGGCTAATTTTGTATTTTTGGTACAGACAGAATTTCTCGAACTCCCGACCTCAGGTGATCCACCCACCTTGGTCTCCCAAAGTGCTGGGATTACAGGCATAAGCCACCGCGCCCGGACTTCCAGATTTATTTTCAATCAGCATTTCATTTTCCACTTCCTTCCTATGCTGGCTTTTAGGTTTTCCAGGCTATTTACCTTTAGTGTCAAAAATTATTTTGGGAACTTTTGAGTTGTCAACCAATATTGTAAGCATATTGGATATTGCTGTTTTTCTCCCAGTGCTCTGGTTATAATCTCTCCTATTAATACCTTGTAGCCTTATTGTCGTAGTTATTTTTTTCTATTAATTTCTGAGATATAAGAATTAGAATTGTCAAATTGTGGATTTATGCATTTATCCTTTTAATTCAATAACTTTTGCTTCGTGTATTTTGTTATTTTTCTTAGGTGCATACATGCTTATGCTTATTAGGTTTTCTAAGCAAATGGACTTATTGCATAAAACATCCTTCTTTATCCCTGTTGATGCTTGTCTTTCTTGTAGTCTGTCTTATCTGCCATTAATACACTGGCTGCAGTTTTTGATAACAAAGATTTGCATGGTGTATATTTGTCCATCTTTTCAGTTTGAATCTATTTGTATCTTTACCTCATAAGTGTATATCGTTTTAAAAGCTGATATTGAGGTTTCCTTTTTACCTACTTTGACAGTCTCTGTTCTGCCTTCCTGGTCTTCTTCTGGATTATTGTAGTTTTCATTTGTTTGTTTGTTTGTTTTATGGGGTTTTCTTTTTTTTTTTAGTATGGATTTTGTATCTTGTGTTTTTCTTAACTATGACTCTTTGTTTCATTTATTTATTTTTAGTGAGTTCTTTAGAAATTAAAATAAAAATACTTAAAGTATATTAAATATCATAACACTGTATATAAAATATAAAAACCTTACCTTACCCTCCTCCCTTCTCTCATCTTTTGTGCCATGTTGTCATAGATTTTTCTTCTGCACATGTTGTAATTCCTGGAGGATGTCATTAAAACAGCAGTTTCCCCTCCACATGTTTACTATTTTTGGCACACTTTCATCTTTTCTGAGAACTAGAATTTCCAATTGTTATCATTTTTCTTCAAGCTGAACAGCTTTCTTTTGCATTTATTGTGGTTTGGGTGTGATGGCAACACATTCTCTCAGACTTTCTTTAATTGAAAATGTACTTTTCTCAACTTCAGTTCTGAATGCTGCTTCAGCAGGTTCAGAATTCTAGGGACACCTTCGACTTTGAACAGCATGAAGTCTCTGCTCAGCAGTGCTCTAGTCACCATCTAACATATTATTATATCCAGTTGTGTCAAATCTGTCATCGGCCATAGAACCCTTTAACAGGTGCTTCTTGTTGCTTCAGTTCTAAGTATTTCATAGTCTTCAGAGATATGGAGAAGTAGCAGTGCTAGTAACACTACCAGTAAAACCAGGATAAGCCCTAAAATAATTAAGCCATCGCATGCACACACATGAACGTTTGACTTCAGCTAAAATGCTTTCAAGTGTACTATTTTATCTTTACACAAGGTTATAATACAAATTAAAATTTTAAAAATATTTCCACTTTATATATGTGAAAACTGCAGCTCAAAGAATTTAAAAGACATGATTGAAATCCCATAACTAGGTAAAGATGGTCAAGTCTGGAGCCCACATGTCGCGGTCCCCCCACACCCTGTTACGGAGAGTGCGAGGCTTCACCAGGAAGCTCTTTTGGCTCAAGGATTAGCTCTGGGGAAGTGCAGCAGGCAGGCCTGCTTTGCATCCTTTTACCAGCAGAAATCCTACGTTTGTTTCAAGTTTCTAGTTCTTTTTGTTTTGTTTTGTTTCTTACCAGCATGGCTCTGGGAGTTATTTACACAATTTAATTTTAAAAGAGACAGTCCCCATCACTAAGGTTCCTTGGAAACTTATCATGCAAAAAAAATAATAATAATAAATGCTGGTAGATGGGAAACTTCTGCAAAATTGTTTTTTATATATATAATTGTAACTAAATAAATATGTGTATTATAGTAATAATTTATTACTGTAATTTTCTTGCCAGATTTGAAGGCAATTTTTTAAAGCTCTCCACATGTGGTTTACTGTGGACCAAACACTGGCAGCTTCAGGCTTACAATCTGCTGACAAACTCTTCTTAGTTCCTTCAATTGAAGAATG
Source organism: Homo sapiens (assembly GCF_000001405.40). Classification (NCBI taxonomy): domain Eukaryota; kingdom Metazoa; phylum Chordata; class Mammalia; order Primates; family Hominidae; genus Homo; species Homo sapiens. The sequence goes on along the minus strand of NC_000014.9, from coordinate 19,341,324 downwards.
TGAGCATGCACTGCTCATGTGCCTGGCAAGCAGGCAAACCACTCAGGAGAAGGACAGTGGCCACTCAGGTCATCAGGTGAACTTGTGACGGGGCCATCAAGAGGCTGCACGTGAGCTCCAGAAAATGAAATTCCCACTATCAACCTATTTTCCATTTCCGCCCAATGCCCCGCCCCTGCTCCAAATCAAGGTCTCCGCCTCTTAGAAATGCTTGATTTTCAGTATTGCTAAACAGGGATCGAAGAAAACAAACTGAACAAAGAAACAAATAAAGCCTTTAACACAGTGAGCAAAGACACAGCACCTACGCCTTCCCCGGGCCCCGCAACAGCTCCAGAGCTGCACAGCTGCTCCCAGAGCCTGAGCATGGACCTGAGCTCTGGCTCATGGATCTCACCAATGCATTTCTTCCCTCTGTGTCAAAAAAGCATCCAGAAATTGGATTCATTTACTTGGGACATAAAATAATGTATACCTACAGTTTTGTCCCAGAACTGTGTAAACCAGCATGCTGTCTGCCATAATACAGTCCTCCCCCTGCATCAGGAGCACAGATGGGGGAAACCGGCGGGGCTGGAGGGGAGAGAAAAGCACCACAGAGAGCCAGGCCCTGCCTACAAATCCCATTTTTAGGGGTCTAGTGGTCTGTGCAGGCTGGGAGATGATCTCTAAAGGAAAGGCAAGAAATATTGCCCCACATCTCCCACCACCAAACAGAAAGTGCAGGTGGTCAGCCCCAGGGCTCACCTGCCCTTTGCCAGGGTCATGAGCTAGGCCCAGGCTGCGCACTCCACAAAACCATCAAGGGGACGACTGCCTGCCAGGCTGGGACAACTGCACCAGGCCCTGACATCCTGGGAAGAACAGGGTTGCATTTAACAGAAACAACTAAACCTGCAGGGATGAGCTTGCCTTTCCCCGGGGCCACGGGATGGTTTATAGAAAGTTCTGCCCATCAGGACGAGACCTCACATGACACCATCAGAGGAACTGATACCATGCCACAGAGGGAGGAAGACGGCACATGCCATAGGTCCGCTGGTCACAGCACACACACGCTCCTGGGAACTTCAGAGCCAGCAGTGTGGCTCAGGTGCCAGGTCAGGATGTGGGAGGACACAGTGTCTGGGTGAATCTGTCACCTTTGCTAGCTGCCTGGTCCCACCAGGTAGAAGATGTGGCAATGGGAGCACAGCAGTAGGAAGCCCAGTGTCCCCCAACCTTCCACCTCACACCCAGGACCTCTGAGGTGCATCTATGTCCTGCACATCTAGGCTCTGAAAAGCAGGAGGTCCTGGTTTCCACAGCTGTGGGGCTTCTAGACAGGACAGAGCCAGGTTCTCTAAAAAAAACAAGCTCTGGGTGCTGCTTTGTTCTCAGGCTGCTCCTCCATGGGACCTGCGGGCAGAAAGATGTGTACCACCTGGACCATGGTGTCAGCAGGAGCAGGGCTGTGCTGCCTGGGGAAGAAGGGGCTCTACGCAAGCGCCTCTCAGTACACAGCATTTGATGGTACCTGGACAAGTGCGGGAGCCCTAGACCAAGGACTCAGTGGTGAGCAAGACTCAGGACCCCTTAGGGGCGAGGGCCTGGGTTACACCACCAGGGGGTCACCTGGACCCTCAGCAGAAGGTGAAGGGGTGATCATTACCTTTGCGACCCTGAAATGGGTGGCAGCCACAGGACACAGGGTTCATTGAACCCACCTTGTGTAACTATTGCCCAGGAAAAGGCCCAGAATTTAATAAAGACAAGGCCCCTGGCAGTGCAGTGTTGGATGGGGCGCACCCCCTGGGGCACCCCTGACCCTCCCCCAGGGCCTTGGCTCTGAGCTTTGATTATAGACACACGTATGCCATGGCCCCTTCAGACTGCTCCCTTCACCTTTGAAAAACCAGACAGGATGCTTCTGTTCCTGGAAACACGAATGCCCTTCATGTGTTTTTTTCTTTGACTAGAAACTCAACTTCAACCAAAATATAGACTCCCACACAATAATAATGGGAGTCTTTAACATCCCACTGTGAACATTAGGCAGATCAATGAGTCAGAAAGTTAACAAGGATATCCAGGAATTGAACTCAGCTCTGCACCAAGCAGACCTAATAGACATCTACAGAACTCTCCACCAAAATCAACAGAATATACATTTTTTTCAGCACCACACCACACCTATTCCAAAACTGACCACATAGTTGGAAGTAAAGCACTCCTCAGCAAATGTAAAAGAACAGAAATTATAACAAACTGTCTCTCAGACCACAGTGCACTCAAATTAGAACTCAGGATTAAGAAACTCACTCAAAACCGCTCAACTACATGGAAACCGAACAACCTGCTCCTCAATGACTACTGGGTACATAACGAAACGAAGACAGAAATAAAGATGTTCTTTGAAACCAATGAGAACAAAGACACAACATACCAGAATCTCTGGGACACATTTAAAGCAGTGTGGAGAGGGAAATTTATAGCACTAGATGCCCACAAGAGAAAGCAGGAAAGATCTAAAATTGACACCCTAACATCACAATTAAAAGAACTAGAGAAGCAAGAGCAAACACATTCAAAAGCTAGCAGAAGGCAAGAAATAAGTAAGATCAGAGCAGAACTGAAGGAAATAGAGACACAAAAAACCCTTCAAAAAAATCAATGAATCCAGGAGCTGGTTTTTTGAAAAGGTCAACAATATTGATAGACCGCTAGCAAGACTAATAAAGAAGAAAAGAGAGAAGAATCAAATAGATGCAATAAAAATAGATAAAGGGGATATCACCACCGATCCCACAGAAATACCAGCTATCATCAGAGAATACTATAAGCACCTCTACGCAAATAAACTAGAAAATCTGGAAGAAATGGATAAATTCCTTGACACATACACCCTCCCAAGACTAAACCAGGAAGAAGCTGAATCTCTGAAGAGACCGATAACAGGCTCTGAAATTGAGGCAATAATTAATAGCCTCTCCCTGGGAATGGGCGGGCCTGGGTCCAGTCCACAGGGCCCCTCGCGGGCCCTGACGCAGGATGGAGTTGAGGTGGGGGCAGCGCTGGACCCCAGGGCCCCTGCCTGCCTCCTGGGGAGCCCGGTGACCCAGGCAGCCCTGGTGAGGCTGTGGGTGTCTGGGCCATAGCGAGGCCCCCGGGCTCCCACAGGACAGATGCGGACAGTGAGGCCGGGGAGGCCCTGCTGCCCTCCGGACTGTCCCTCCAGCCCCCAGCTTTCTGTGGTTCTCTGGACCCCCTCTGCAGAGGGGCAGGGGAGCACACCCTGGATCCTGAGACGCCAAGCTTGAGGAACCCCAGAGCTCTAGCGAGGCTGCTTGCTTTGCGGATGGTGGAACTGAGGTCCAGAGGAGGGCAGGGGCAGGTCCCGGGTGCTCCCTAGGCAAAGGGAGCCGATCTCGGGGAGGGGGTCACAGGGAGCGTCCCTGCGACTTCTAGGGCCCGAAAGCTGGGGAGGATGAGAGACCAGGGGTCTTTCGTCGCCCCCTGGGGCTGGGCAGAGGCTCAGCCTGTGTTGCCACCCAAAGCTGCTTCTGGCAAGTCCGAGCCGCGTCCCTTTAAGAGGGGGTGGAGCTTCAACCTGGCACGAGGGATGCTGCCAGCGTGCGTGTCCCTACGGAAGCTGAGACTGCACTTCCTGCGAGGCCCCTGCAGCAGCAGCGGCGTGGTCAGAGCGAGCTTCGGAGAAGCAGTGGTGGGTTCCATGTGATGGTGGAGTAGGAGGCAGGTCTCCGCGGTAAGTGGCGGGGGCGTGGACCCCACCGGGAACCCTCCCGGCTCCTTCCCTGCCTCTCCCTGTTTTCGTGCTTTCACTTCTTCGTGGGCATCTGGGCCCGAGTCCTCCGCGTGGGGGCGGTTGTGGGGTCCTGGCTACTGCAGCGTCCGCACCCCGGCCGGGAAGGCTATGCCAATGTCCGACCCGCGTCCAGCGTATAGGAGCGCCCTGGCCCAGAGCTGGCGGTGAAACGCCGGACCTGGGTCCCTCCGAGCCTCAGGGGCCTCTGAGCTGGAGTCTAGGATTATTTTTGATGCCTCAGCACCTTTAAAAAGAGACCTCGCTAGAGCAGGGGACATCTGTAGTTTCAGTTCTTTGAGGAGTCTCCAGCTATTTAGCTGTTTTCCATGGTGTGTATCCTAATTTTCATTTCCACCTACAGTGTATGAGTTTCCCTTTCTCCAAAACCATACCCGCATTCCTATTATTTTTGGTTTGGGGTTTGTTTTGTTTTTGTTTTGAGATGGAGTCTTGCTCTGTCTTCCAGGCTGGAGTGCAGTGGCGCCATCTCGGCAGACTGCAGCCTCTGCCTGGTTTTAAACAAGTCTCCTGTCTCGGCCTCCGGAGTAGCTGGGACTACAGGGGCCGCCACCATGCCCAGCTAATTTTTGTATTTTTAGTAGAGATGGGGTTTCACGATATTGGTCAGGCTGGTCTCAAACTCCTGACCTCAGGTGATCCACCTGCCTCGGCCTCGCAAAGTGCAGAGATTACAGGCATGAGACACCATTCCCAGCCCCTCTTATTTTTTAAATAAAAAATCTAGGAATATTCAATAAGTGTGAGATTATCTGTGTGTGGTTTTGAATTACAGTTTTCTAATGAATAGTTTATTTTGAGGACCTTATCTCTTATTTGTTGTTCGATTTTATGGCTGTGCAGAATTGTCTGTTCAGGTTCTTTGCAAAATATTAGATTGGATGCTTTTGCTACTTTGTAGTGTTTTTTGTGTACATGTTAGATGACAACTCCTCGTGAATTACATGATTGCCTGAAATTTTTGCCTAATCTATAGGATGCTTTTTAATTTGGAAAGTAGTTTTCTTTGATGTGCAGAAACTTTTCATGTTGACATAGTCCCATATATTTATTTTTGCGTTTCATGCATGTAATTTTTGTCACCCATATAAGAAAATATATATCAGTGACAAAGCATTTAATTGTCAATGAGGTTTTTCTTCTAGGGTGTTTGTTTATTTTCCTCTTTGCAAAGGTGAGCAGAGATTCAAGTGACCCAAAATATATGCTCATCCTGTGTTTTAGTTAAAAACATTTTGTGGTTTATGGTCTTTTGTTTTGCCTTCAATTTGGGGGAGGGGGTGTTCATTTTCATACATCGTGTAAAATAAGGTCCTATTTCTCACTTCTGCATCTGAATATCATTTTTCTCAAAGGTACTCATTCTCTGCCTTCCACATTGCAGTGTTCTTTATCAAAGTCAGTTGACTGTGTCCATATTTGTGTTGATCATGTTTTTGTTCTCCCTGTTTTTGTCCATAGTTTATGCAAGTATCATATATCAGCTGTATAACTACAACTTGGCAGTGTAATTTGATATTGAGGATTGTGGGTCTTCACTTTGTATTTCTGAGGATTCCTTTAGATATTCATTGCTTTTGTGGTTCCCTGTGATTTTTAGCAATACCTATTTATTTCTATTAACTTTTTTTCACAACATAAAGGTCCATAATTAGGGGTACATTTTCATACATATAGGTTGGGTAATGATCAAATCAGGGTACTTAGGATCTCTATTTGCTCGTCCAGGCATTTTTTTTTTTTTTTTTTTTTGTGGGGAGAACATTCAAAATTCTCCCTTCTTGCTCTAGAAAAATATGATATTGTTTACTCCAGTCACCAGGCTGAGGAGGAGAACTTCAGATTTATTCCTTTAATGTTAAGATAACTTTGTTTCCATAATCAATCCTTCCCCATTCCCCCTCTATCTCCCAAACTCTGGTAACCAATATTGTGCTTTCTACTTCATTAAGATAAACATCTTAAGATTTCACGAGTGGTATCATGCAGTGTTTGTCTTTCTAGGCCTAGCTCATTACATTTAACATAATGTGTTCCAGGTTCATCTGTGTTGCTCTAAATGACACTGTTTCATTATTTTGATGGCTGGAGAATATTTCCTAGTGTATGTATATGAGAGTTTCTTGATCTCTTTATCTGTGGATGAACAGGTAGGTTGAATTTATACCCAGTAATGGGACTGCTAGATGATATGGTATTTCTTTTTTTCCTATTCTTTGCAAGACCTCCAACTGTTTTTTATAGTGTTAATACTAATTTATGTTTCCACAAACAGTTCCCCTTTCTGGAAATTCATACCAGGAATTGTCTTTTTAAATATTTTGATCTTTTTGTAATGTTCATTCTATTGGAGTGAGATAAGATCTGAGTGTGGTTTTGATCTGCATTTTTCTCGTGAGTAGTAATGTTAACCACGTTTTTGTAGACATTGGGTCAGTTTCCTGTCTTCTTTAGAAAAATATCTAATCCGGTTATTTGCCCAGTTTTTGTCTGGCAATTGTTCTGTTTTTTTTTTTTTTTTTTTTTTTTTTTTTTTTTGCCAGCTGGTAGTATGACTCGCTTGTACCTTTTCAAAAATAATCCCTTATCCCAAACTTGTAATTTTTAGTGTGACTTTTTATTTTCTTTATTGTTTCCTTTGTTGGGCACAAACGCTTCAGCTTGACGTGGTCCCACATGTGCATAATTTCTTGGTGGCTGTGCTGTTGGTTACTAATCAAGAAAAAACAAAATCACAAATCACTACCAAAGCAGTTCATTGTCAATAATTTTTTTCCCTTGTATTTTTGTTTACTTTTTGCGAACCCTAAGCATACATCCAAGTTGCCCTAAATATACGCACACCTGAGGTTGTCTTTATAGGAGCTTTATGGTTGCAAGTTTTGTGTATAATCTTTAATCATTTTGAGTTGATTATTGTGTATCTAGTACCATAAGAGTCCTGTATTATTCTTTTGCATATGGATATCTAGTTTTGGAAATCTTCCCCGTTGTGTCATTTTGGTGGTGTTTTGAAAAATGTGTTCATTCCATATAAATTTTTGTTTATTATCGAGCACATTCATTTTGCTCACTGGTCTGTGTTTCTCTGTGTATGCCAGTAACGTATGGGTTTGTTAACTACAGATTTTCATTTAATTAGAACTCAGGGAATGTGACACATCCCATATGGTTTGTATTTCTCAGAATAACTTTGGAAATTCAGGGTGTTTCACATTTCCACATAAATTTTGGCATTGTTTCTTTATATTTCTTAAAACACTATTTGTCATATACTAAATGTATACAATTAAAAGGTACAAGGAAGATTTTGATACGTGTATATGTTGAGTAATGATAAAATCAGGTTATTTAGCATCTCTTCATCTCATATAGTTATTATTTTTGAGTGGTAACAACATTCAGAATCTTTCCTTCTAGCTACTTTGAAACATATGGTACATTTGTGTTAAGGCTAGTCACCCTGCTGTGGAATAGAAGGCCAGAATTGATCAGTCTCATCTGAGAGTAACTTTGTACCCATCACTGATTCCTTCTGAGACTGCCTCCACTTCCCCAGCAGCCTCTGGTAAGCCTTATTGAACTTTCCACTTCTAGAAGATAAAGCTTTCTTCAGTCTGCATGCCTGAGATCACGTGGCATGGGACTTTCTCTACCAGCCTTATTCTTTGAACCTCATGTTCTTCAGGTTTCTTCATGTGGCTGCAGATGGCAGGATTTCCCAAAGGTTTCTGGCTGAAACATATTCCGTGGTGTATCTGTACAGCAGTTTCCTCATCCCTGCAGCTGTGTTTGAACAGGTAGGTTGGTTCTCTACCTTGGCCACAGTTAAGAGTGCTTTAGTACCCGTGGGAAGGCAGATAGCTCTCTTCAACCTAGGGACTTCAACTGCTTTAAATGTGGAACCAGTGGTGGGGCTGTTAGCTGACATGGTAGTTGTACTGTGAATTTTTTCAGAAACCTCTAGCTGTTTTTTATAGTGTGTATACTAATTTACATCCTCACCAATAGTGTTTAAGAGGTTACCTTTCTGTAAGTCTACACTGGATGTCACCTTCAAAAATTTGTGTTTTGTTTTTGGTAGTACTCATTCTGAGTGGAATGAGACGGAATCTTAGTGTGGTTTTCATGGACATTTTTTTGTGAGGTTTAGTGATGTCGAGAAAGTTATTTGAGAAATCCCCACATTGCTTTCCATGGTGTCCGAACTAGTTTGCATTTCCACCAACAGCAGACCAGCATCCCTCCTCCTCTGCCTTGCTGGTGTTCATTCTTGTGGACTGTGTCATAATTGTCATTCATCAGAATGTGTGAAATACTATCTCATGGGCCTTTAGCTTTGCATTTCTCTGATGATTCCTGAGGTAAAGCAATGATATCTTGTCTGTTGGTTGCTGTAAACCTTCTTTTGAGATGCATGTTTTCATGCCCCTTACCCTTTCTTCATTGAGTTTTTGTTTTTCTGATTTATTTGCTTAATGTATTTGAGGTAGATCCTGGATATTAGACTTCATCAGATGCGTATGTGGGAACATTTTCTCCCATTGTGTAGGCTGTCTGTTTACTGTGTTGGTAATTGCTTCTGCTGTGCAGCAGCTCTTTTGTATATTAGGCCCCACTTGTCAATAATTGTTTTAGTTGCACTTGCTTTTGGGGACTTAGGCATAGCCATGCTCTGCCAAATCCTCTGTCAAGAAGGGTATTTCCAAGTTCTCTTGCAGGCTTTTCATAGTTTGAGGTCTTGTGTTTACATCTTTCATTCATCTTGAGTTAATTTCTGTGCAGGGTGAGACACAGGGGCCCACTGTTTTTCTTCTGCAACTGGCTAGCACTTTATCCTGGCACCATCTATTGAGAGGAGGGAGTCCTTTCTCCAAAGCTTATTTTTGTGGATTTTTTTGAAGATCAGATGGTGTTAGGGGTGTGGGTTTACATCTGGGTCCTCTAATCTGTTCCACTGCTCTGTGTGAAATGGGGTCCCTAGCTTTTCAATGAAAATTAAAATCGGGAAGTGTGACACAACCAATGTAGTGTGGACTTCTCAGGATTGCTTTAGAAATTCAGGGTGTTTTGTGGTCTGCATGAATTTTAGCATTGCATATTTACATATTTTTTAAAAGGTTGGCCATATAGTAAAGGTATACAATGGGGGGAGTTAGAGTGGGGCATTTTGGTTAATGCAGACACAGAGGAATGTTAAAATCAGGATATTTAGAGTCTCTGTTATCACAAACAGTTGTTAATTTATTTGTGGTGAAAACATTTGGAATCTTCTTTTCCAGATTTTGTGAAAAAGCTGTGATGTTTTGTTAACCTCTGGTCACAGTGCTGTGGAACAGAGAGGAACAATTCATTGCTCTCATCTAAGTGTAATTTTGTACCTATTTCTGATCCCTGCCCATGCCCCTGCTTCCTTCCAATCTCTGGAAACCACTGTTGTGCTCTCTAGATCTATTGCAATAAAGCCTTTTATTTTGGGTTCTACATGAGTGAGATGTGGCAATGTTTTTCTTTCTCTACCTGGTTCAGGTCATTTACCATGCTGTCCTCCAGGTTCAACAGTATGGCTCCAAAGGATGAAATTTCATTCTGATTTTCTGGCTGAAGACTATTCTCTTTGTGTATGTCCACCACAGTTACTTTATCCCTTCATCTGTGGATGGGCAGGTAAGTTTATTCCTTATCTTGGCGATTGTGAATAGTGCTGCAGTCCACATAGGATGGCTGATACCTCTTGCATAAACTGATTTCTTTGGCACTGAAAGTATACTTAGTAGTAGAATTGTTAGATGAAGTGGTAGTTGTAGGTTTAATTTTTGGAGGAACCTCCCACTGGTTTCTGTAGTATGTATACTAATTAACATTCTTTTTTTTTTGGATGGAGTCTCGCTGTATTGCCCAGGCTGGAGTGCAGTGGCATGATCTCAGCTCACTGCAAGCTCTGCTTCCTGGGTTCACGCCATTCTCCTGCCTCAGCCTCCTGAGTAGCTGGGATTACAGGCACCCGCCACCACGCCCAGGTAATTTTTTATACTTTTAGTAGAGACGGGGTTTCACCGTGTTAGCCGGGGTGGTCTCGATCTCCTGAACTCGTGATCTGCCGGCCTCGGCCTCCCAAAGTGCTGGGATTACAGGCGTGAGCCACCGTGCCCGGCTGTATACTAATTAACATTCTTACCAAATGAGTTTTTCTCTGGAAATTTCCACCAGCATTTGTGTCTCTTTTAATATATTGTATCACTTTGATAACATCCATTTGAATTATAGTGAGATATGTGTGTTGTTTTGATTTATATCTTTCTCATGGTTTGTGATGTTATTCAAGTTTTTAAAACTTGTTTTCAATGTTATGTCTTTTTTGTAGAAATGTCTATTCAGGTTTTGTTTGGTTATTAGTTTCTCTTTTGTGTTTTTGCTAGTGAGTAGTGTTAGTTGCTTAGACATTTTGAAGACAGCCTTTTATCAGATGTATGTTTGTCGAAACGTTTCTTGTAGAATGAAACATATATGGAAATGTTCTGTGCAATCAAAACAGCAGTGGTAACAGAGGAGATGTAGGCTCTGAGTGTCTCACTGGAGACTGAAGTCCACAGATATGCAACAAAGCCTTTGTCTCCCTGATGTTTTTGCCTCCTGCTGGTCATGTGCTTTCACACATCAAGAGAGGACATTTAACATTTGAGCCACAGTGTCATTTGCTGTTGTCTGATGGGTGAGATTTTTGCTGGCGTAGTCCATATTGTCATATGTTCTTGGGGCCCACAGGATTATTCTTGGTCATCTAAGATGTTACTGACATCTTATCACCTTAAGATGTTGCTGACTTAATCACCTTCAACTGACTCCTATTCATTCTTTGAAATAAGCAGACACATGTTGTTTCAGTGATTCTTTCAGTTGGTGATTTGCCTGGTGCATTGCTGTGTGAGGTCACCTCCCGTCAAATGACCCACAGGTGGTAACAGTCTGTGAACAAACAGTTTACAGGAGGGACCAACCATGTGCGGACGGACATGGGGTGGGTCATTTCAAAGTGAGGTAGTCAACCTGGGCCCTAGACTGGCACAGACAGAAGAAGCCACAATCCTTTAGAGAGAAAAAAATTACAAAGTATAAATATCCTTTGTTAAGATTAACAGAGACCATTTTCAGAGGGCGTAATAGTATTAAAATGTGTTCTCATTGTTCAGCTCCCACTTACGAGCGAGAACATGCAGTGTTTGGTTTTCTGTTCCTGTGTTAGCTTGCTGAGGATGATGGCTTCCAGCTTCATCCCTGTCCCTGCAGAGGACTTGATCTCATACCTTTTTATGGCTGTGTAGTATTCCATGATGTATATGTAGTACATTTTATTTTTCCAGTCTATCATTGATGGGCATATGGGTTGGTTCCAAGTCTTTACCATTGTGAATAGTGCTGCTATAACCATACATGGAGCAGATGGTTCGCAAAGCAAGATGGACCTCTGAGCAAGATGAGCTCCAAGCTTGATGGAGCTCAGAGCAGATGGAGCTCCAGGTGAGATGGAGCTCCGATTAATATGAAGCTCGGAGCAGATGTTTCTGAGTATGATGGAGCACCAAGCCTGTGGTCTCAGAGCAAGATGGAGCTCCGAGCAGATGGTACTCAGAGCCAGATGGAGCTAGGAGTGACTGGGGCTCTGAGCAAGGTGGAGCTCAGAACAGATGGTGCTCAGAGCAAGATGGAGCTTGGAGTGATTGGAGCTCCAAGCAAGATGGAGCTTGGAGCAGATGGAGCTCTTAGCAGATGGAACTCAGAGCACCATGGAGCATGGAGTGTCCAGCTCAGAGCAAATATAGCTCAGACAAGAAGGAGCTCCAAGCAAGATGGAGCTTGGAGCCGATGTTCCTCTGTGTAAGATGGAGCCCAGAGCAAGATAAAGCTTGGAGTCGTTGGAACTCTCAACAGTTCTCTGAGCAGTTGGAACTCTGAGCAAGATGGAGCTCTGAACAAGATGGTGCTCAGAGCAGATGAAACTCTGAGCAATAAGGAGATCTAAGCAAGATGGAGCTTGGTGCAGATGTTGCTCAGTTTCAGATGGAGCTCAGAGCAGATGGTGCTCAGAGCATGATGGAGCTCAGAATGATTAGAGCTCCAAGCAAGATGGAGCTCAGAGAAGATTGAGCTTGGAGCAGATAGGGCTCTGAACAAAAAGGAGCTCCAAGCAAGATGGAACTTGGAGCAGATGTTGCTCGGTGTAAGATGGAGCTCAGAGCAGATGCTCGTAACAACATGGAGCTTGAAATGATTGGAACTTAAAAACTTTACTCTGGAGGATTGGAACTCTGAGCAGATAGTGATCAGAGCAAGATCAGCCTCGGAGTGATTAGAGCTTCGAGCACAATGGGGCTTGGAGCAGATGCAGCTCTGAGCAAGATGTAGCTCAGAAAACATGTTGCTCACAGTAAGATGTAGCTTGAGCAGATGGTGTTCAGAGCAAAATGATGCTGGAAGTAATTGGAGCTCTCAGCAAGCTGGAGCTCGGAGCAGATGGAGCTTGGAGCAAACGAAGTTCGGAGCAAGAAGGAGCTCTAAGCAAGATGGAGCTTGGGGCAAATGTTCCTCAGTTTCAGATGGAGTTCAGAACAGATGGTGCTCAGAGCAAGATGGAGCTCAGAGAACATGCTGCTTACAGTAAGATGGAGCTTCGAGCACATGATGCTCAGAACAAAATGGAGCTGGAAGTGATTGGAGATATCAGCAAGATGGAGCTAGAAGATGCAGCTCCGAGAATATGGAGCTCTGAGCAGAGGGTACTCAGAGCAAGATGGAGTTTGGAGGGATTGGAGCTCTGAGAAAGATGGAGCTTGGAGCAAATGGAGCTCTGAGTAAATGGAGCTCTGAGCAAAGTGGAGCTCAGAGTGATGGAAGCTCTAAAGCAAGATGGAGCTGGGAGTAGATGGAGCTTCAAGAAGATGGTGCTCAGAGCAAGATGGAGCTTGGAGTGATTGGATCTCCGAACCAGATGGAGCTCAGATCAGATAGACCTCTGAGCAAGAAGGAGCTCCAAACAGAATGGAACTTGGAGCAGATGTTGCTGGTGTAAGATGGAGCTCAGAGCAGATGGTACTCAGAGCAAGAGGGAGCTCAGAATGATTGGCACTCTGAACATTGCTCTGAGCAATTGGAGCTCTGAGCAAGATGCAGCTCAGAGCAGACAGAGCTCTGAGCAAAAAAGGAGCTCTAAGCAAGATGGAGTTTGGAGGAGACGTTGCTTGGTTTTAGTTGGGGCTCAGAACAAAACGGAGCCCACAGTGATTACAGCTCCAAGCAAGGTAGAGCTCAGAGCACATGTAGCTCAGAGTAAGATGAGCTCTGTCCACATGGTGCTCAGAGCAAAATGGAGCTAGAAGTGATTGGAGCTCCCAGCAAGATGGGGCTTGGAGTGATTGGAACTCCTAGCAAGATGGAGCTCAAAGTGGATGGATCTCTGACTAGATGGAGCTCTGAGTAAGATGAATGTCTATGCAGATGTTGCTCACAGCAAGATAGTGCTTGGAGCGATTGGCACTTCGAGCAAGATGGAGCTTGGAGCAGATGGAGCTCTGAGCAAGATGGAGCTTGGAGTAGATAGAGCTTGGAGCAAGAAGGAGCTCCAAGCAAGATGGAGCTTGCAGCAGGTGCTTCTCAGTGTAAGATGGAGCTCAGAGAAGATGATGCTCAGAGCAAGGTTGAGCTCAGGGTGATTGGCACTCCAAACATTGCTCTGAGCCCATTGGAGCTCTGAGCAAGAAGGTGGGAAGTGAGCAAGAAGGTGAAGAAGTGATACATTCCCACAGAACATTACAAGTTTAGCGGAAGCTATTATTGAATGTAAAGAGAAGAATGCCCCAGAATTCTATGTGGATTGTCGGGACAATACTCATTTCTGTAATCAGGCCTACTTTCTTTTAAAAAGTTTATCATATCAAACCTCACAAGGACAACCAGAACTCTGCGATATCCACTCTACAAACCTCAGACCCCTACAGTGTAGTAAAGGTGGCAGCCAAGATAGAAAGACAGAAACACACTGTTGGATGACCAGTCTTTGGAAGTTGAGACAGCAAATGTGGATTTACTCAGATTATTTTCCTGTTAGCACCTCCAGGTGTTATTTTGATGGTACTTTGCATTGGGCTGATGACACAATGGGGAAACATAAACTGCTGACGCTGGACTTCAGCAGTACAGTAACAGCCATGTGCAAGGCCATTGAAAAAGTAAAGACTGGTGGTTACATTGCCACGTGTTTTTCTGCATGGCATCATCATCTTAACTATGGACTTTATGTGCTTTCACAGCAAGATGTTTCTAGTATTTAGAAATGGACCTTATGCATTGTATACTTCCTAAGAGCTTGGAAAGCTCTCACCCAGGTACTACCAAATGCCAGACATCTCTCTATGTGGGCCATTTTCTGCCACAGCCAGAATTCATTCTGGGTGACATGCTGTTCTTGGCTGCTAAGGAAGTGATGTGGGGGAGCCAGGTGTCTCTCGCTGTCTGTGAGTCTATGGGAAAAAGGAGAATACTGAAAGGCACTAAGTTTACTGCCACGTTTAGAGGAGCTTTGTCAAGGCAACACAAGAGTGTTGTAGTCCTTTGTGGCCAACACCAACCTGAGTTTTTACAGCAGTTGTTGCGTAATGATCACAGTCACATTCAAGTTCACTTTCTAAATCTTAGGTTCTACAAAAACTCTGTCTGATAATGTCCTATAGACCTTTCGGTAGCTAAAATCAATGAGTTTGAAAAATAATTTGAATTTGGCTTGCTCACCTTTTCAGCAGAATGCACTTGTGAGTCCTGCTCTGTCATTGTATTTTACATGTGTGGCTGTCCCTCTTGCTGTGTTGGAAGTCAGTGTTCCAGAATGTTAACTTCTACAAATACCTATGTATAGAGCAAAGAGAAAACTCTTCAAGTCAAAAGAGTGTATATTATTTCAGGGCAGCTCTCTAGCCTTGGATTTGAAACTATAGTATTTGTTACACAGAGAGAAGATGGTTCTTTTTTGTATTTTATTTTTAATGTTTGTGGGTACATAGTATTTATGGAGTACATGAGATGTTTTGACACGGGCATTCAATGTGAAAAAAAGCACATCCTAGAGAATGGGGTATCCCCTCAGTGATTCTTTGAGTTACAAATATTCCAATTACACTCTTTATGTTATTTTCAAATATATGATTAAGTTATTATTGACTATAGTCACCTGGGTTTGCTATCAAATAGTAGGTTTTTATTATATATTATTTCTTTTTTGTTTTTTGTATCCATTAACAATTCCTGCCTCCCCCTCACTCTCTCACTACCCTTCCCAAGCTCTGGTAATCATCCTTCTACTCTCTATGTCCATGAGTTTAATTGTTTTTATTTTTAGATCCCGGAAATAAGCGAGAACACATGATGTTTGTATTTCTGTGCCTGGCTTATTTTTCTTGACATAATCATCTTCAGTTCCATCCATGTTGTTGCAAATGACAGGCTTTCATTTTTATGGCTGAATAGTACTCCACTGTGTATATGTACCACATTTTCTTCATTCATCTGTTGATGGACACTTAGGTTGCTTTCAAATATTAGTAATTGTAAACAGTGCTGCAGCAAACCTAGGAGTGCAGAAATCTCTTTGATATACTCATTTCCTTTCTTTTGGGTATATACCAAGCAGTGGGATTTTTGGATCATATGGTAGTATATCTGTTTTTTTTCAGGAAACTCCAAACTGTCCAAGGAGATAGTTCTGTTGTGATTACTTCATTGAGAAATTTAACTTATGAGCCGTTGAAAGGAATGCAAGTTGCTGCAAAATCCGAATGAAGAGTGCAAAACGACTAAGCTACAATGTTTTGTCATTATTCACTCTGATGTGAAAAAGGCAGTGAATTTAATAGAAAATAACTTCGTAGAGCAAAATCTCAGGTGTGTTTTTTTAGTGCCGCAGTCTTGGATGATGGGTTCCTAGAAGCTCTCAACATCTCTTCTTAATTGGAGAAAGTGTTAAGCCCCAAAGTAGCTGGAGCAGTACATCTTCAATTTTTGACAAGAAAGCAGGAACTTGATTACTTTGAGTGCTATTCATTAGTTTCTGCTTTCATTGAGAATGCAACAAAAGCCAACTAGGCTGCTGCTAACTCCTTGCTGGACTTCTTCTGCCACTGTCACAGGAACTGTAATCTCACTGGACAATTAACTAGGGAGTCTTTCATCTTGAGTGACTGCTGCACAAATGATCTTCAAAGCATTTTAGCCACCAGAGGAATTCTCTTGAAATACCCAAAATCCATCAGTATCTTGAATCATGCTGGATTTTGAAGAATTCTTAACAAGCCATGTAAAGGGGGCTCTCTGGCCTTGAAATAGTGATGTTTTTTATACAGAAAGGAGAATGCAGAATGGTCAGACTACCATGCACTGTTAAATTTGATTTCAAGAAATTACAGGAAAACTTTCCAAAGTTCCATCTCACAGAAATTATTTTTACAAAGAATTCCAAGATAAGTTTAGTTTTATGGAAGACTTTTATGTGGTTTTTACTCACTCTTCATCTCAGACATCAACAGATGATTACATCACTTATTTAGCTAGTAAATTTATTAATATAAAAACTCAGAGACATTCCAATATCCACATTGCTTACACCATTAGGCATAGATTCAGTGTCAGCTATGACAATTGAAAATAAGCTGTTTTGTGATTTAAAGGTTTAAATTTCTCTAACCAAACTGCTTGATCCAGATGCAGGACTGCAAATGTTAATATTTGTTCTGGAAGAACAATCAAATAAGACTTAAGAGGAAAAGGAATGGCCACAATCCACCTGAAATTTTTTTTTAAAAAGTGTGCAGCCTACTAAATCAGAATGAAAATAGAAGTACAAGATTATAAACAAAATGCAATCAAACTTTTCTTAAGCTTACCTAAAGTTATTTCATCTGAAAATTTCAAGCAACTTTGTTCAACATTAAATTGACAATCTAAACTAACAAGTCTTTTGAATTTATGCATGGTAGTAAACATTCTCTCTATTAACTGTATTACCTAAGGCTAAACCTAAAATTTTTAAGCAAAATTAGAAAAATAGTCTTCACTCATCAAAAAATAAAGTTTGTTACATTTAGTATTTTCCCAATAAAATTGGTCGTTCTTGGTTTTTTATTTGGAGAGTCTGTGCAAAATGTCACTAAAAATAAATTAGCACTAGAAATTATTTCTAAATACCAAAAAAAAAAAAATGAAGAATGGTTTCACAAAGAAAAAAAGAAAACTTTCTTAATTAGCAGAGTATCATCTCTGTGATTTTTGTGATTATTTGATCAGTGTGCTGAGATGGATACAATGGCAAGTAATGACAAAATTAAAATAAGCATGCAGATTTTTTTAAATTAAGTGCCAAAAAATAATGGGTCGTGCAAAGCCCTTAAAAACACTGTGGCCTAATTCTAAAGTTTTTTGCTACTATGCTACATCACACCCAACATCAGTTAAGTGCTCATTCTGTGACAGGTAGTACATTACATTTTAGCAAACTACACAAGACCCCTATGTGATAATATGCTTCGGGGTTGTAAGGTTGGGTGCGTTTAGTAGTCTTGAATTTTCTGGGAGTATACAAACCCAATATTAGTCTAGATGCCCAAAGATCTATTTAGACGTCAAAGTAGAATGGAGAGAAATCTTGACCACAGGAAGCTGTGTTGTGGCATTTATTTTGAAATTATTTTTTCTTGATTTTTTTGCCTTTTAATTCTTTTGTGAGTTTTATAATGCACAGAATATTTTAAAATTATTATATATATAAACTGATTAGTCTTCAATTTAAACTTACACCTCTGGGGTCTTACTTGGGTTTCTCCTAACAATATTATACACATATTTGCAATAATTTCTCTCATACTGCTTTTAACTCATTTAATTTTTCAACTTTTCAAGAATAACAAAAGTGATATTAACTGTAAAAATGCTGAAGTGACATATGAATTTATGAAGTGCATATGTATTTTTTATTTTACCAATGAGATGGGAGAAATGCTGTCTTATATTTTAACATACATTTTGGCCATTACACAGATGAAGCAACTTTTCATTTGTTAATACATAGCATACGTTTTCTTCTGTGTAATTCCTCTTTATATTCTTTGCTCATTTTCCCACTGGGATTTGCAAGTTCTTTATTATTTGATAATCTCTATACATTCTGAATATCCATTTTTTTGTTATGTATACCATGTAAATATTTTCTTCTAATTTGTTATTTGTCTCAATGGTATTTATCAAGTGTTTGCTAAAAATGAGTTTGTTTAGTTAGTAAAATTTGTCTGTCTTTTACTTCATGATATTTATATTTCATGTCATGAGGAAAAGGCATGAATATTTTAAAAACTTCCTTGTAGTATTAATTTTATTTTTTATTTCATTCTTTAAGTTATTTGAAATTTATTGTTTATTTCTTCAAATTCCAAATAATAACCAACTTTCTCAAAGTAATACTTCTTTCTACTGATTTCAAATGTTACATTTGTCTTCTCTGAAGTTCTTGTCTATTTGATACCTGACGGTCACACTACTGCTGTGGATGTGCTTCGTACCACCACAGTACTGCAGGGTTATAAGATTATCTGATAGCCAATAGAAGCAGACCTCTACTCACTGTCATTCTTTTTTCTTTTGGAGAAGAAAGTTAGCTATTTTTATCTGGGTTCTCAATTTTTTTTTTTTTCTTTTTGAGATGAAGCCTTGCTCTCTCACCCAGGCTAGAGTGCAGTGGCATAATCTTGGCTCTCTGCAACCTCTGCCTCCCTGGTTCAATTGATTCTCCTGCCTCAGGCTCCTGAGTAGCCAGGATTACAGGCATCCATCACCACGCCTGGCTAATTTTTTTATTTTTAGTAGAGACAGGGTTTCACCATCTTGGCCAGGCTGGTCTTGAACTCCTGACCTCGTGTTGCACCCACCTCTGATTCCCAAAGTCCTGGGATTACAGGCGTGAGCCACCGCACCTAACCGGGTTCTCAGTTTCGTATAAACTTTAAAGTAGATTATCAAATCACATACCAATTGCCATCTGATTGAAATTTCAATGTTTTTATATGTAAGTTTCGAGACTAAAGCCATCTCTATTCTTTCAGCACTTCAGATGTTTATCTTTCAATTCAAAATGTATTCTAAGTTTTATTTTGATGTTTCTTTGTGAATTATTCAGAAGTTTGTTGTTTGATTTCCAAACACTTGTGTGTTTACTAAGTATCTTATTGATATTCATTTTTTTCTTTTTTAATTTATATTTTAGGTTCAGGGGGTACACGTGCAGCTTTGTTATGTAGGCAAATTGCATGTTGCTGGGGTTTCATGGAAAAAATAATTTAGTCACTGAGGTAGTGAGCATAGTACCTGATAGGCATAAGTAATCTTTCAATCTTCACCGATTTTTCACCCTCTACCCTCACACAGGCCCTAGTATCTATTGGTCCTTGTTTTGGACCATGTGGAGCCAATGTTTATCTCTCATTTATAGGTGATAATATATGCTGTCTTTTTCTGTTTTTGTGTTAATCTGCTTAATTTGTGGGATGTAGCCTCCAGCTACATCCATTTTGTTGCAAAAGCCATAAATTTATTGTTTTTTTGTTGCTACACAGTATTTCATGGTGTATATGTACCAATTTTTTTTCTTTTTGAGATAGAGTCTCACTCTGACACCCAGGCTGGAGTGCTGTGGCATAATCTGGGCCCACTGCAACCTTCGCCTCCCAGGTTCAAGCTATTCTGCCACCTCAGTTTCCCAAGTAGCTGGGTCTACAGGCATGTACCACCATGCCTGGCTAATTTTTGTATTTTTAGTAGAGATGGTGTTTCACCATGTTGGCCAGGCTTTTCTCAAACTCCTGATATCAAATGATCCACCCATCTCGGCCTCCCAAAGTGCTGGGAATACAGGCGTGAGCAACCACGTCAGGCGGTACACATTTTTTTTTTTCTAGTCCACCACTGATGAGCCTCTAGGTTGGTTCCATGTTTTTGCTACTGTTAATAGTGCTGTGATAATCATACAAGTACATGTGTCATTTGGTAGAACAATTCATATTTCTTTGTGTATGTGCCCAGTAATGAGACTGCTGCGCCAAATGGTAGTTCTGTTTGAGTTTTTTGAGAAATCTTCACACTGCTTTATACAATGGCTGAATTAATTTACATTCCCAACGGAAGTGTATAAGATTTCCCTTTTCTCTGCAACCTCAGCAACATCTGTTATTTTCTGACTTTTTATTAGTAGCCATTGTGATTGGTATGAAATGGTATCTCATTGTGGTTTTCATTTGCATTTCTCTAATGATTAGTGATTTTTAAAATGGAGCATTTTTTCATATTCTTGTTAACAGCATGTATGTCTTTTTTGAGAAGTGTCTGTTCTTGTCCTTTGCCCATTTTTCAATGAGGTTGTTTAGTTTTTGCTTAAAAATTTTTTTAAGTTCCTTACAGGTTCTGGATATGAGACCTTTGTCAGATCCATAGTTTGCAAATATTTTCTCCCATTTTGTCGGTTGTCTGTTTACTCTGCTGATAGTTTCTTTTGTTGAACATAATCTCCTTAGTATACTTAGGTCCCACTTGTCTATTTATGTTTTTGTTGCAATAGCTATTGGAAACTTGATCATAAAATCCTTGTTATTGCCTATGTCCAGAATATTATGTTCTGGGCTTTTGTCTAGGGTTTTTATACTTTTAGGTTTTACATTTAGGTCTTTAATCCATCTTAAGTTGATTTTTTTAATATGTTGGAAGGAAGTTGTCCATTTTAAATCTTCTGAATATGGCTAAACAGTCATCCTAGTACCATTCATTGAATAGGGAGTCTGTTCCCATTGCTTCTAATTATAGACTTTGTCAAAGATCAGATGGTTGTAGGAGTGCAGCCTACAACCTTCTCTAATCTGTTCCATTGGCTTTTGTGTCATGGTTTTTTTACCAGACCTATGATGTTTTGGTTACTATATCCTTGGAGTATAGTTTGTGAACCCTCAAAATCTGAGACAGTTCTCAGTTAATTTACAAAGTTGACATTGCCCAGCTAGCCATATGTAGAAAGCTGAAACTGGATCCCTTCCTTACACCTTATACAAAAATTAATTCAAGATGGATTAAAGACTTAAATGTTAGACCCAAAACCATAAAAATCCTAGAAGAAAACCTAGGCAATACCATTCAGGACATAGGCATGGGCAAGGACTTCATGTTTAAAAACACCAAAAACAATGGCAACAAAAGCCAATATTGACAAATGGGATCTAATTAAACTAAAGAGCTTCTGCACAGCAAAAGAAGCTACCATCAGAGTGAACAGGCAACCTACAGAATGGGAGGAAATTTTTGCAATCTACTCATCTGACAAAGGGCTAATATCCAGAATCTACAATGAACTCAAATTTACCAGAAAAAAACAAACAACCCCATCAACAAGTGGGTGAAGGATATGAACAGACACTTCTCAAAAGAAGACATTTATGCAGCCAAAAGACACATGAAAAAATGTTCATCATCACTGGTCATCAGAGAAATGCAAATCAAAACCACAATGAGATACCATCTCACACCAGTTAGAATGGCGATCTTTACAAAGTCAGGAAACAACAGGTGCTGGAGAGGATGTGGAGAAATAGTAGAACTTTTACACTGTTGGTGGTACTGTAAACTAGTTCAACCATTGTGGAAGTCAGTGTTGCGATTCCTCAGGGATCTAGAACTAGAAATACCATTTGACCCAGCCATCCCATTACTGGGTATATACCCAAAGGATTATAAATCATGCTGCTATGAAGACACATACACACATATGTTTATTGCGGCACTATTCACAATAGCAAAGACTTGGAACCAATCCAGATGTCCAACAATGATAGACCGGATTAAGAAAATGTGGCACATATACACCATGGAATACTATGCAGCCATAAAATTTATGAGTTCATGTCCTTTGTAGGGACATGGATGAAGCTGGAAACTGTCATTCTCAGCAAACTATCACAAGGACAAAAGACCAAACACCACATGTTCTAACTCATAGGTGGGAATTGAACAAAGAGAACACTTGGACACAGGAAGGGGAACATCACACATTGGGTCTGTTGTGGGGTGGGGTGAGGGGGGAGGGATAGCATTATGAGATATACTTACTGTAAATGATGAGTTAATGGGTGCAGCACACCAACATGGCACATGTATACATATGTAACAAACCTGCACATTGTGCACATGTACCCTAGAACTTAAAGTGTAATAAAATATATATATGTATATAAAAATAAATGGCTGATCAGGAAAAAAAAATTTAGGAAGTAGAATTCAACAACACATCAAAAAGATTATACATCATGATTAAGTGGGAATTATCTCTGGCATGCAAGGCTGGTTTAACATATGTAAATCAATGTGATATATCACATTAACAAAATGAAAGATAAAACAACATGGTCACCTGAATTGATGCAGACAAAGCATTTAACAAAGTTTAGCAACCTTTCTTGATAAAACCTTTTAATAGTTTATGTATAGAAGGAAAGTTCCTCAACATAATAAAGACCGTTTATGAGAAACCCATGGCCTACATCATAGTCAGTGGGGAATAACTAAAAGCTTTTCTACTAAGATTGAGTACAAGATAGGGATGCCCAGTCTCATCACTTTTATTGAACATAGTACTTGCAAGAGCAATCTGATGAGGAAAAAAAAGCAACTAAATTAAAGAAGTAAAATTATCTCTATCTGCAGATGACAAGACCCTTTATGTAAGAAACTCCAAACATTCCACAAAAAACTCTGAGAACTACTAAATCAATTCAGTTAAGCTGCAAAGTATAAACTCAACATATAAAAATCAGTTGCATTTCTATATACAAATAACCTAGCTGACAAAGAAATCAAGAAAACAATCTCATTTACAATAACATCAAAGAAAAACATATACGTAGGAATGAATTTAACCAATAAGACGGAAGATGTGTACACTTGAAAACCATAAAACATTGATGAAAGAAATTTAGATATGAACAAATGAAAAGATATCCTATGTTTATGGATCAGAAGAATTAATATTGTTAAAATGTTCACACTACCCAAAGCAAATATATAGATTTAACGCAATCCTCATCAAAGTTCTGGTGGCATTCTTCACAGAACAGAAAAAAACAATCCTGACCAGGTGTTGTGGTTCATGCCTGTAATCCCAGCACTTTGGGAGGCCGAGGCAGGTGGATCACGAGGTCAGGACTTGGAGACCAGCCTGGCCAATATAGTGAAACCCTGTCTCTACTAAAACTACAAAAATTAGCCGGATATAGCGGCATGTGCCTGTAGTCCCAGCTACTCGGGAGGCTGAGGCAGGAGAATTGCTTGAATCCGGGAAGCAGAGGTTGCAGTGAGCCAAGGTTGTGCCACTGCACTCCAACTTGGGCAACAGAGTGAGACTTCATCTCAAGAAAAAAACAAACAAACAAACAAACAAAAAAAAAAACAGAAAAAACAATCCTGAAACTTGTATGGAACCACAAAAAACCCCAAACAGCCAACAGATTACTGTGAAAGAAAAAGTTGGAGGCATCACACCTCTTGATTTAAAATTGTATTACGAAGCTATAGTAATCAAAACAGTATGATACTGGCATAGAAACAAAAAGTATAAACCAATGGAACAGAACAGAGACCTTTGAAATAAATCCAAACATATACTGTCAACTAATTTTTGACAAGGGCAAACAAGACAACACAATGGAAAGAAAAATAGTCTCTTCAATAATAGTGCTGGGAAAACTGGATTTTCACATTCAAAAGAATAAAAATGGACCCTGATCATACACCATACACAAAAATCAACTCAAAACAGATACAAGACCCAAGACCCAAATAAGACCTGAAACCTTAAAACTCCTAGAAGAGAACATAGGGGGAAAGCCTCTTGACATTGGCCTTAGCAATTATTTTTTGGATATCACACCACAAGCCAGGCTACAAATGGAAACATAAACAAGGAGGACTGCATCAAACTAAAAAGCTTCTGCACAGCAAAGGAAAAAACCAACAAAATGAAAAGAGAACCTACAGACTGGAGGAAATATTTGCAGATCATATACCTGTTAAAGAGTTAGTGTCCAAAAATCAGTAAAGAACTCTTTTAATAACAGGAAAAACAACCCAGTTGAAAAATGAGCCAAATAGGAAATGACCAATAGCAAATGGGGAGACGTACATTAAGAAAATACAAAGTAGCAGACATATAGGATGATCAAGTTAGAGATCTAATGTACATCATGAGGGCTATAGTTAATAAAAATGTATTGTCTTTAGGATTTTTGTTAAATACGTAGATTTTAGCTGTTCCTGTCACACAAAAAAATGTAACTATGTAAGATGGTAGATATGTTAATTTGCTTCACTGTAGTAACCAGTTTACTGTCTATATGTATCCTTAAGGTCATGTGGTCAACCTCAAATATATAAGATAAAATTTAAAAAGAAAAGTTTGTCTTCCATCCAGAAAGAACCACTATTGCCATTTTTTGGTATTCCGTTCCAAAATATTCCATGAATATACAATTGTTCAATCAAATTTAATGTTAGACTTTCTACTTGAACATTCAAAGCACTTAAGAAATTATAGAAAAGTGTCTGTGTGACTCCCTGTCTGCAGAGCACAGGCTGCATCTCCACTAATACACATGCCACCGGTACTTTATACAGAGTCCTTGTTTGCCTTTAGTCTGATGCCGTGGGTGAGCCTGAG
The DNA here is from genome assembly GCF_000001405.40 of Homo sapiens. Classification (NCBI taxonomy): domain Eukaryota; kingdom Metazoa; phylum Chordata; class Mammalia; order Primates; family Hominidae; genus Homo; species Homo sapiens. The sequence continues at coordinate 19,316,722 of NC_000014.9, read as the reverse complement.
TTGTCCTGTGGTCCGCGTTCCTGACCAGGTGTCTTTCTCACCCACTGGTTTCAAAAAAGATGTTACTGGGTTATAGAAGGCTGGGATGGAAACAGGATACCAAGTTCGCATGAAGACAGTATCTGAAAAGAGAGGTAATTTACTTTAACATTTTCAAAAGAAGATGCATATCCATATTGTGAAGAAACAAAGAACAAAACCTTCACTCCAAACTTCTCTACCTGGTTGCAAAGTATTTGAAGGGAAAGCTCACTAAGGAAGCTACTCCCATAGATCCCAGAACTGTTACTGGGTGTGGCCAGGGGACTGCAGACACAAAGCGAATGGGCACACCGCATAAGACTGGGAGATCTAAGGCTGGAGCTGCTCAACTCTCTAGAGACCTGACTCCAGCCTCTCGTCACACTGGCTAGAAGTCAAGCATGAATGGTAACATGCTGCCCTGAACACTACTCAAGACACTCACTGCTCATCAGCAGCTTATGCTCAAAGCTGGCCTGGAAGGCTCCTTCTGGAGCCCGGAGTGCTTTCTTGATCTGCTGCCTTATCTCGCTGACAGTTTGAATCACAGCACCTTCAAATATGGCCACTTCCAAGGCAGAATTAAACATTCCCTATGGGTATAGCAAGATAAAAATACACACAAAAAATCATATACTTTCTGCTTTACTTCTTACCTCAAACATACATCCTTGGTTAAAGAACAAAAACAACTCACTGAAAGGTGATAAAATAATCAAAATGTATTTGCCCCTGGAAGTGGAATTACTACCACAAAAAGAATACAACTCTTTCATTTTTCCCAAAATAATCATGTGGGTTCGTGGGCATGCTCATCACTGCTGTCTGTGTGGAAGAGAAGATTAAAGAGGGATTTACTGGACTGCACTGTCCTAGGCAGCCTTTGCTGGCATCTCTCAGCCTAGACTGCAGCCCAGATCCTTTTACTCAGGTGCATGCATTTAGAACATGAAAACAGTAAGATAAACACTGGTGGTATTATTACTTTATATTGCAAGAACACTTAATGATCTTACTATGTGTTTTTAATAGAAACATCCCCACTAATGAAATTGTCAATAAATACTGCTCAAACCACCTTCCCCAAATACTGAAAAACAGTACATCCATTTCTCTACCCTTGCCAAGTTGTCTGCAAATGCTCTGTTTTTCTACTGAATGGTTAGACAAACTTGTGATTTTTTTCCCCTTTCTTAACACAAATCAAAAAAGTAGGAAACAAAACCCAGTGGATAAAACGACATTTTTTTTTTTTCTTGAGACAGAGTCTTGCGCTGTCACCAGGCTGGAGTGCAGTGGTGCAATCTCAGCTCACTGCAACCTCTGCCTCGCAGGCTCAAGCAATTCTCCCCCATTAGCCTCCCAAGTAGCTGGCCCCACAGGTGCGTACCACCACACCTGCTAATTTTTTGTATTTTTGGTAGAGATTAGGTTTCACCATGTTGACCAGGCTGGTCTCAAACTCCTGAGCTGTAGCGATCTGCCTCCCTCAGCTCCCTACAGCTACACCTGTACTGGGATTACAGGTGTGAGCCACTGCACCTACACTTAGCTGTATCTAAAAATACATCACCAAACCCAAGGTCACCTGGATATTCTTGATCTAGAAGTTTTGTGATTCTGCATTCTACATTTAGATCTTTGATCCATTTTGAGTTTTAATTTTTGAGAAGGGTGTAAAGTCTGAACTTAGATTCTTTTTTTTTGTACATGGACATCCAATTTTTAAGCACCATTTGTTGAAGAGACTGCATTCTTTCATTTAATTGCCTTTGCTTCTTTGTCAAAGCTCAGCTAACTATATTTGCATAGGTCAATTTCCGGGCTCTCTCTTCTGAACCATTGATCAATCTGCATATTCTTTCACTAATGCCATGCTATCTCAATTATTTAGCTGGAGAGTAAGTCTTAAAGTTGGGTAGTGTCAGTCTTCTGAGTTGTTATTCTTCAGCATTTTGACTATGAGTCTTTTGCGTCTTCATATAAGCTTTAGAATAAATGTGTTTATATCTACAAAATAACCTGCTAGAATTTTAATTGGAGTAGAGTTGAATCTATAGATCAAGAAGGGGAGTATTAACATCTTAACAATACTGAGTCTTGCTATCCTTGCACATGAAATATATATCAATTTATTTAGGTTTCCTTTGATTTCTTTCATTAAAGTTTTGAAGTTTTCCTCATATAGATCCTGTACATATTTTGTTTACTGTATGCCTACATATTTCATTTTTGGGGTACTCATGTAAATAGCATTGTATTTGAAATTTCAAATTCCAGTTTTTTTCATTGCTAGTATATAGGAAAGCAATTAACTTTTAATACTAACCTTATGGTTTGGATTTGTGTCCCCACTCAAATCTCATGTCTAATTGTAATCCCCAGTGTAGGAGGAGGGGTCTGGGCAGAGGTAATTGGATCATGGGGGAGGATTTCTCCCTTGCCATTCTTGTATAGTGAGTTCTCACCAGATCTGATTGTTTAAAAGTACGTAGCATCTTCCCTTTTGCTCTCTCTTCCTCCTGCTTCAGCCATGTAAGGCGTGTCACCTCCCTCTTCACCTCCTGCCATGATTGTAAATTTCTTGAGGCTTCCTCAGCCATGCTTCTTGTTCAGCCTGCAGAATCGTGATCCAATTAAACCACTTTTCTTTATAAAATTACCCAGTCTCAGGTAGTTCTTCATAGCAGTGCAAGAACAGACTAATACAGAAAATTGGTACTGGGAAGTAGAGCATTGCTATGAAGATACCTGAAAATGTGGAAGCAGCTTTGGAAGTGGGTAATGGGCAGAGGTTGGAACAGTTTGGAGAGCTTAGAAGAAGACAGGAAGGCCTGGGCCCAGTGGCTCATGCCTGTAATCCCAGCACTTTGGGAGTCTGAGGTGGGCAGATCTCAAGGTCAGGAGATTGAGACCATGCTGGCTAACACGGTGAAACCCCATCTCTACTAAAAATACAAAAAAAAAAAAAAAAAAAAAAAAAAAGAAAGAAAAGAAAAGAATTAGCCAGGTGTGGTGGCATGCACCTATAGTCCTAGCTACTAGGGAGGCTTGGGCAGGAGAATTGCTTGAACTCAGGAGGCAGAGTGGTGAAAATGAGCATCTCTTGTTCCAGAGCTTAGAGGAGAGGCTTTCAGTTTTTCTGCCATTCAGTAAGATACTATACTTGTGGGAGTGTCTTATATGGCTTTTATTGTGTTGAGGTATGTTTCTTCTATACCCTGTTTTTTGAAGGGTTTTTACAATAAAATGTTGAATTTTATCAAATGCTTTACCGCATCAATTGACATTATTATATAAGTTTTGTCCTTCATTCTGTTGATATGATGATCACATTGATTTGCGTATTTTGAACCATCCTTCCATTCCTGGCATAAATTCCACTTAGTCATTATGAATAATTCTCAATATGTTGTGGATTTGTTTTGTTTGTAAATTTCCTTGAGGATTTTTGCATCAATTTTTCATAGGGATATTGGCCTGTAGTTTTCTCTTTTAATTTGTCTTTGGTTTAAGTATCAGGCATTGAAATATTCCTCCCTCCTCTATTTTTTGGGATAGTTTGAGTAGGATTGGTGTTAGTTATTCTGTACGTGTTTGGTAAAATACAGCAGTGAAGCTATTGCTTCCAGGATTTTCTTTGTTGGTAGTTTTTATTAAGGCTTTGATTTCATTATTTGTTATTGGTCGGTTCAGGTTTTGAATTTCTTCATGGTTCAATCTTGGTAGGTTAAACTACTACAAGAAGACATTGGGGAAATTCTCCAGGCTATTAGACTATGGAAAGATTTCTTAAGCAATACCCCACAAGCACAGGCAACCAAAGCAAAAGTGGACAATTGGGATTGCATTAAGTTAAAAAGCTTCTGCATAGCAAAAGAGACAGTCAACAAAGAGAAAATCCAAAAAATGGGGAAACGTATTTGCAAACTATCCATTTGACAAGGGATTAATAACCAGAATATATAAAAAGCTCAAACAACTGTATAGAGAAAAATCTAATAATCTGATTTGAAAATGGGCAAGAGATCTTAATAGATATTTCTCAAAAAAAGAAATACAAAAGACTAACAGACTTAGGAAAAGGTGGCCAACATCACTGATTATCAGAGAAATGCAAATCAGAACTATGAAGAGATATCATCTCACCTCAGTTAAAATGGCTTTTTTTTCAAAAGACAGGTGATAACACATGCTGGTGAGGATATGGAAAAAAAGCCAACCCTTGCATACTGTTGGTGGGAATGTAAATTAGTGCAACCACTATGGAGAACAATTTGGAGGTTCCTCAAAAAACTAAAATTAGAGCTATCATATGATCCAGCAATCTCATTGCTAGATATATATACAAAAAAAGAAAATCAATATATCGAAGAGATAACTGCACTCCTATGTTTATTGCATTACTATTCACAATATCCAAGATGTAGAAGCAACCTCAGTGTCCATCAACAGATGAATGGATAAAGAAAATGTGCCTATATATGATGGAGTACTTTTCAGCCATAACAAAGAATGAGATTCTGTCATTAGTGACAACATGGAATGGTGCTGTAGGATATTATTTTAAGTAAAATAAGCCAGCCACAGAAAGATAAACTTTGTACATTCACATTGATTTGGGGGAGCTGAATATTAAAACAAACTCATGAAGATAGAGTAGAATGGTTGTTACTTGAGGCTGGGAAGTGTAGCCAGTGGGGGGAAGTGGGGATGGTTAATAGGTACAAAATGTAGTTACAATGAATAAGATCTTTTATTTGATAGCACAACGGGGTAGCTATAGTCAGCAATAGTTTTTTGTACATTTTAAGATAACTGCATATAACTGAATTGTTCATAATACAAGGAAATGATAAATGTTTGAGATGATGGATAACGCATTTACCCTGATGTGATTATTATGCATTATATGTTTGTATCAAAATATCTCATATACCCCATAAATACATATATGCCTACTGTGTACCCATAAAAACTACAAAAGACCCATAGATGGTGACACCTGGGGATTTCCTGATACAATAGTGGGTTCTGGCTGATCATCCCACAGGGAAGCCACTCAGCAGCCACACAGTTCCCCCTACACACCCCCACCTAGTAATCGGCTTTGTTAGTATATAAACCTTAAAATATGTGCAGAAAATATCACAAGTCATACGGGAGATGTAAAGCAAGATCACAAAGAGGTACAACTTCATACCCATTAAAATGGCGATTATAATGCAAACAAACAAAAGATGGAAAATTAAAAGTGTTGACAAGGACATGGAGAAAATGAAACCCTTGTGCATTACTAATAGTAGTGTAAAGTGGTGGACTGCTCTACAGAGCAGCACAGTGGTTCCTCAAAAAGTTGAACATAGAATTACTATATGACCCAGTAATTCCACTTTGAGGTATATAGCCCCAATAATTAAATGCAGGGACCCAAAAAGATATTTCCATAGCAATGTTTACAGCAGCAGTACTCACAGTAGCCAGAAGGTGGAAGCAACATCATGCCCACTGGTGGATGAATGGATAAACAAATGTGATATATGCACGCAATGGAATATTATTGGAATATTATTCCTTTTTAAAGGAAGGAGATTCTGACACATTTCACAATGGGGATGAACAATGAAACCTTGAATACATTATGCTAATGGAAATAAGCCAAACACAAAAAGACAAATACTGTATGATTCCACTTATATGAGGTACCTAAGATAGGCAAAGTCATAGAGGCAGAAAGTAGAATGGTGGTTAATAGGGACTGGAAGATGACAGGAGTTAGGAATTACTGTTTTACAGGTACAGAGCTTCACATGAAAAAGTTCTAGAGAGGAATGGTGGGAATCATTACAAAACATTATGAATATAGTTAAAGCAACTGAACTGTACACTTAAAATAGTTAATGTGATGCATTTTATGTTACATGTATTTTGCCCACTGAAAAAATAAAAATATATAAACACACAGCAAATGATGACCAGGCCTTTGAAGAAAGCTTATAAAACAAAATTAAGAAGCCAAGGCTGGGAGCGGTGGCTAACGCCTGTAATCCTAGCACTTTGGGTGGCTGAGATGGGCGGACCACGAGGTAAAGACATCGAGACCATCCTGGCCAACATGGTGAAATGTATGTTTAGTCTCTACTAAAAATACAAAATTTAGCTGGGTGTGGTGGCATGTGCCTGTAGTCCCAGCTACTGAACCCGGGAGGTGGAGGTTGCAGTGAGCTGAGATCGCGCCACAGCACTCCAGCCTGGCTACAGAGCGAGACTCTGTCTCAAAAAAAAAAAAAAGAAAAAAAGAAAAAGAAAAAGAAAAAGAAACCAAAACACCAGGTAGCAATGGGGAGAATCGAAGAGGTGGGCAGAGTAAACAGAACACAAGGGCAAGGTCAGGAGAAGGCATTTGACAACTGTAAGAGTGACAGCATATGAAAATATCACCAGAAAGATAGAAAATCAAGGTGAATTAGATACCAGAAAATTAAACACAAAATACAAAAAATGAGAGAGGGAGATGACAAAAATTAGAAAATCAACTCAAGAGGTTCAATACCTAACGAGATCCAGAAGAAAAAGGGAAGCTAGAGGGGAAGAAAATTATTATAGAAACAATAGAAAGACATTTCCAAGAATTAACAAGAAAAACAGACATGTACCACTAGGGGTTTATTAAATGCACAAATTAAAAAAAAAATAAGCCTACCCCAAGATTCATGATTGGAATGGTATATGCTAAGGATACTCAAGAAATTTTAAATATTCTGAAGGGGGTAAAGCCAGAGTAGGTCAGGATGGGTGAGAGACAGGTCACATAAACATGTTATTTTGAAATATAAAAATACATTTTTTAAGTAAAAAATGTTGAAGTTGGCTGTGTCTGGGGAGTAAATAGGAAGTACTGAATGAAGAGCAGTCTGTTTCTTTGTGAAATCTTATACTACCATTGGACTTCTAGAACCATGTTTCTTTAAATTTTATCCTGGCTCTCTTTCAAAGTAATGCATTCACAGCTTATATTTACATGTAAAAATATGCAGGTGAAAAATGCTAATATAAAATTATTCCAAAGCCTTTTCTAAAGTGTCAAGAAGTGCTAGGATTTACTTAGCAGAAATCATCTCAGGATGAATTCCTTGTCAATTCTGGGAAATGACTGCCAGAGAGAGAGGAATAACAGAGTGGTCACAAAACTGTGATCAAAAGACAGCCTGATCAAAACATACACTAAGAAATTCATGATTGTTAGATAGAAAACACAAATGTGCAGATTCCCTGGGATTTCTCACTAAGTTAATATTTGCAGAAATAAACCATGTTTTAACTGTTCAGTTTCCTTTGGGATGCATTTAGTTTTAAATACATTCAATATTAATGAAATAACTAAATCTATTATAAATACTCTTTAAAAACATCAGAAAGTCAAGATAATTTGACTAAGTATCTAAAAATAAACTCATTTTCTTGAAAGAATGCAAGTAAAATGTTCAGTAAGTGATTAATACACGTACCACAGGTTACTCTGGCAATGTTGTGCTTCTTTTAGTTCATGGTAGTCTATGTAAGAGTCCTAGTCTTGTCAGAAAAGAGGTATTTTACCTAAATCAGAGAAACAAAAATATAGTATTCTGTTGTTTTTGACTCCACCTCTAGCTGAATTCAGAAGGCATATTCTGAAATAGCACAGAAAAACATGTAAAGTTTCTCAATCACTGTCACTACCACAATGAAGATGCATCTAAAAACAGCATGGGTCTGCTACAGATTATGTCACTTTCCACGATGCAAAGTTTTACAGATTTAATACACAAAGCTCTCAACTCACAAAGGTGAAAAGATAACTGACTGAGTAGGTCAGCAAGCAAACCATCTCAACAAGATTAAATGAATGCAAAACAGATGCACTCCAAATGCAAATGTGGTACGCAGATTACGTTACCTGTGGCCATATGTACTAAAGAAGAGGGAGAGAACTCAAGGCCCCAGAACAAGAGAGAAGTCCAGGCCAGGCTCTGGACACTAACTAGCCATGTGGATTGTGAACAGTCACCTCATCCTTCATGGCCTCAGTTTCCACATCTATGAAATAAGGGGTCTGGTCAGGAGACACATAACAGCATTCTACATGTAACTGGAGAAATTGTGTCATGGATAGGGAAGGGAGGGTAATTAACCCAATTGCCTCTAGAGGGCAAATAATTAACAGAATTGCCTCCAGTTTCTCCATGGCTTTCTAAAGAGGGGTCAAGACTTGCTGGATGCCAGATGTTTTCCAGGGATCCCAGAGAATTGGTCTATGGAGGCAGTGCTTTACTGTATTATAGAAGAGGAATTAATCACACTAATTGCTTACTCTGTACTTTTGCTTAATGATACAATATAAACAAATACAATGAGAAATCATTTTAAAGCAATCAAACGGGCTTCAAGTTATTAAAGCTCCTGAAGAATCAAACATTACCTCCATATATAGAATTATTATACTAGGTGCAATTAATGATTTGATTTATAGATGTTTTTACACAGGTTTGATATGCAACAAGTCTAGGGGTATAAAATCAATAAAATCTGCCTTCTAATAAGCAGTGGTTTCTGCCTTTTTCTTTAAAAATTATATCAAAATAGTAAAACATGAATATTTTAAAATAAAAAATTATTGACATTTATTTTCATTCTGCCTGCTGAATTTTAACTTTTCCTCAAAAAGAAAAACTTCTTTCTCATGCAAACTATCCCCATATCCCTAATTAGGATGAATTATTGAAGCATCCTGGGTGATTTCTGAACACTTTCAATCCTTCAATTATTCAGGTCTAGTTTAATGGCACCTGAGAACAATTACATACTGAGAACTGTCCTAAACTGACAAAGGCGACCAAAGAGCTTCTACAGGAGCATACCTGTACCCTCACATTGGCTCCAAAGTCTCCAGAGGGAAACGGACAGGACATGATGCATCAGCTCTTTTTTTACTGTATTATGCTTGGAGAGATTGTTATGGAAACATAGAATAAATAGATAGATAAATCAACCTTGCCTGGAAAACTGGAAAAAGGTTCAAAGAGGAGGCAAATTTAGACCAATATGTACCAAGAACTCATTGATTCTTACGGGAGTAGGTTATTACCAGACAGACAAGTGAAATTCAGTAGGCAGAATGATAATAAATGTCATTTATTAAATATTAAAAAGACAAATACCTTCCCTATTTTAGAAATAAGGTAGGCAAAGGAACTGAGGAGTGGAAATTGAAGGCCAGCTCTGGGTGCTTTGTGAACAGAGCCCAGTTGACAGTGGGAAGATCTGTGCTCTATGCTAAGGACATGCTCTGTAATGACAATCCACTCGGTTGCACTAAGAATTTAAGAGCATTTATATGAATATATACAATTTAAGGAAAGATAAAGAGAAAAATTTGCTATCAACTCTGTGTAGATTTGGAAAATGGTGTCAAAGGAACAGTTTCACCTGCATTTCTTTGTCTAGAAAGTTTTATTTTATTAAAAAATGTAGTCTACAAACGAGCCTCAATTTTTGGCAATAAACTCAAAAATGCTACACAAACCATCACAGAATTCGGTTTGTCCTTGCAGGAAAGAAAAAAGAAGAAAACAAACCTCCATACGAGAATGGGTCTAAAGGAACTTCCCAAACCTCCATGATTTTGCAGGAAACAAGATAAAGGTAATCACCTGCAGCACCTGGACCCATCTAGATTAACTACTCAGCCTCCAGAGGAAGGTCTTCAGGACTCAGACCTTAGTTATAGATTAGAAGTTAATCACTTATGTCTTCAGACAGGCCCTGTTCCATGTTTAGAGAGAGATCTTTGAGCACCCATCTTCATACATTTGAGAACAGGGTCACTGAGAGGGAGTCTCTGAGGTCACAGAGTTTATTAGTTCATTTTCACACTCCAGGAAAGAAGTTTAATTCACAGTTCCACATGGCTGGGGAGGCCTCAGGAAACTTACAATCATGGTGGAAGGGGAAGCAAACACATCCTTCACGTGGCAGCAGGAGAGAGAAGTGCAGAAGAGGGGAAAGTCCCCTTATAAAACCATCAGATCTCGTGGGAACTCACTCAGTATCACGAGAACAGCATGTGGGAACCACTCCCATGATGTAATGCCCTCTCACAAGGCCCCTCCCCCAACACGTGGGGATTACAGTTCAAAATGACATTTGGGTGCAGACACAGAGCCACACCATATTACAGAGCCAGAAGAGCTGAGCAGTGGGCGCTAAGTAAATGTTCATTAAACCAAACCCCTGCACAAGGCTGGCTTCATAGAGGTGCCACCTGTGCAGTGGCAAAAGCCCCACTGTCAGAGGGGACCTGAACTTGGTTTAGTGCTATGTTGTCACTGCCTTCAAATTCTTAACAATTTTTGAACAGACTCCACATTTTCAGTTAGCACCGGGTCCTGCAAATTATGTACCCAGTCCTGTCCCTGAAACAAAGATAAGGTTTGTTCATGAAGGGACTCACTCGACCCCTCCCTGCCCATCTCACTCCAAGATGCCCTAAGTAAAGGGGAACACAGAGCTAGGAGAAGGCAGTATTTGAGGATGATCTTGGAGGTCCCACCTGATCATGGCTGGTGATGCATGTGTGTGGGTGGGAGAATTTGGCTGCTCTCTTCTGGCACCTTCCATCCCATGTACAAGGCCTGCACTTTGCCTGTCTGTCCCAAGTCCTCCTACCTGACTCAGACCAGGAGTGTGGATGGGGGTGGGGGGTGGTGGCGGGCACTGGGGCCCAGTACTCCTGGTCCCAGCTGGAGTTCCCTGTTGACTGGGGAGATTTGGCCCCTCTGACTACTCCTACCCCATCCCCACTAGGACAGGAGTTGGTGAAGGGGACAGGGTGGGAGGCTTAACTAGTAGCCAGGGGCAGGCGGCAGGCAGTGGGGCGAAGATCAGGCTGAATTTTCCTGCTACTGATCTGCTCTCTGGAAGAGGCATTCATGAACTGGCTTAGGCTGTGGCTTGGCTATTTTAGGAATATTCTTAACCCTTCCTGAGTCACTGCCGCCATCAGACTTCTCTCCCAGAGCACAGAGCACCAGACTATTCCCTCTCCTTGTCCCCTCCTCCCCAGTCCCTGCTTTCCTCCCTGGCAGCTGAGGTCAGAGTTTTCTCAGGGGCGGGGCAAGTTGACTTCTGCCAAGGAAAACTCCGGGGTCCCTGAGCCCCCTTCTTTGTCCTGTGACTTCTCCCTCTTCATCACAGCTCTGGACTCAGCAAAGTGGCAGAATGGGCATCACCTCAGCCCTTCTTCTCATCTTATAAAATTGGAACTTCAGCATCTCTCATCTGAGGGAAAATAGTTGACCTGCATCCCCAGAGTAAGGTGGGAAGCTGCAGTCCTGATTTCCAGCCTCTGGCAGAGCAGGAGCCCCTGCCTGCCTGGCTTTGATGCCCTGTTAGGGGCACGTTTCCAGCAGGGAGTCACATGCCAGAGCCCCTCATGGGGTTACCTCTGCCTGGTTTTTTCCTCCACTCCAGGTTCTTCCCAGAGTCTGGCTTTTTGGAAAAACCTAGGCCATGATATAGGCATTACCTCTGTAAGGCTAAGGGGGGGTCCCACTGCGGGCCAGGAGGGCTCAACATCAATATATCTGAATTTCAAGCCAAGACAGGGGGAAAAGATCTTGGCTCAGTGTCAGGGGTTTCTGTGTCCCTGACAGCTGGGCTTGCCTGAGCTGGGAGGCCCAGCATATCTGGGCCTTGTGATGCCTTCTGACAGTAGGAGTTGGAGTTTGCCACCAACTGCTATTGGGAAAGCTTGACATGGTGATCCAGGAATAAGGCTGATGATGCCACAAAAATGCCCAAGGGCCTGTGGTGTGCCTGACAGTGTCCTGGGAAGTGGATATAGAGGATCAATAATCAATAATCATTATTTCCCTGAGAAAGGAAGCTCTCTTGGGGTGGTTAACCAGGTGTCTGGCCACAAGCCTAGGCCAGGGTTGATGGGCTGGGGCAAGTGAGTCATCCCAACTCATTCCCCCTCCTCCAGGTTATCACAACCAGCCCAGCTCCAGAAGTGAAAGAGCTGGCTGCAGCTGGGCATGAGGCCAAATGAAAATGCTTTCACTCCCCTCAAGGGCTGCAGAGGGGGCCCTTGCAAAGGGAGGGTCACCGAGCTGCAATTTCTTCTGCCTCCAATCCAGAAAGAGCCTGAAGGATTGCTCAAGGTGTCCTGGGAAAGATTTTGATTTCAAAGAGACAATCTCCCCCAGGAACTCCAGGAGAATTTTGTGTGGCGTTTAAAGGGTAAGAAGCTGCTGGGTGTGGCAGCTCACACCTGTAATTGCTGTGCTTTCAGAGCTACAGGCAGGAGGATCACTTGAGGCCAGGAGTTAGAGAACAGTCCGGGCAACACAGTGAGACACCCCCCACTACAAAAAACAAGAAGACCCCTCTTTTTACCCCTAATTGAGAGGCGTGACTAGAAGGCAGAAAGCTGGCTGTTGAGGTGGGAGTCTCTCTCTTCAGGCAGAGGTAGGGCCGCTTCCTGGGGCAGAGGCGTGGGTGGTGTGTCTGGCTCTGCAGTTCCTGATGAAGACATACTGGGGTGCCCAGGCTAACCTTTGGCAAAACTAGGAGCTGAACTCAGGAGTCCCTGATGCCAGCCTTTCTGATGCGGTCCCCCTCCCCTCCCCCATGTGTCTCGCTCCATAGCTCCAGGCCAGGAGCCCCAACTGGCTGGTGGAGGATGTCTTGCTCCTCAGCAGCTGGGATTTGTAAGTATTTGTAGGAACATGGAACAGATCAGTGGCTGACAGGCCCAGGAAGCAGACAGTCCCCTTCCCATAGGTCACCAGCTTCACTTCCCCTTCCTGCACCCCATCCTGATTTGAGGGAGCCCAGGATGACAAAGAGGGAGTAGTTGAGCAAGGTATGGAGTGGCAGCCTCTACAGGAGCTCAAAGGATGCATTTGTCCATCTGCCCTGGGCTCAGCTTCCACACTCAGAGTCACTCACATCCCTCCACCGTCGCCACAGCTCACCTGTGTGCCCACACGGCCAAGGTCACACTGACCCCAAACGCACACTGTTTCAACTCTCAGCACTTCACTGTCACACTCGCGTGTGTACACACATGCTTTCTAATTTCCACAGCCACATGGATGCTCACACACTCACACCTTTGCACACACACACAAGCTGGCTCACAGACACACTGGGGGCCCAGATCCTGGTCATTCCCCACAGGTCTTAATAAAGGTTCATGGAAGGAAACCTGTTTCCTAAGGTAGGGTGGGAGTGTGTGTGAGTGTGTGGGGGGGAGAGGGTGAGAGTGAGTGTGTGCGTGTGTTAGTGTGTGTGTGTATGTAAGGAGCAGGAGTGACTGGGTCCTGAGTTTAGGGAGTTGGGAAGAGGAAGGAGAGATGGAGACAAGCCTGGACCAAGAGCCACTCAGAGCTGCCTGGAAGGGAAGCCAGGCTGAGATAAAGGCAAGGCAAAGAAATAAGACACTGACAAGGATCAAGCCAGGGTTGGGTAGGGACTGGGAACAGAGTCTGCCTCCATGAGAAGCTGTCACATTGCTGCTCTGGTGCCCTGTGACAGCGGCACCATCTCCAGCTGGAGACTCCCCTCTCTGGATCTTGTCATTGTGACTTTGCTTTGTTGGACAACCAGGAGTGGTGACAGGCAGGGAATATGGTGCCCAGGGCAGCTAGCCATGCCACGCCAGTCCAGCTGCCAACCCACCCGTCACTGGCCATCTCATCACCTGCCAGAGGGAGTGGGGTGGTGCAGATGAAACCAGCGATCAGCTTGGCTGCCCTTGCTTCGTAGTGCCACAGTAGAGGCTAGGGGAGCAACTGGCTTTCCTCCCCAAAAGGCGGGCAGGGTTATCCACACTTTGCCCAGGTCCCTGAAGCCTGCGGCTGAGCTCGGGGATAACAGGGGCCAAGTCACCGGTCCCAGACACCTAGGAACTATTAGAGACAGGAACCAGCATATGAGACAGGGGCTGTTAAGTAGGAGGTTGGAGAACACACGTTTTTGGTCTAAACCGGGGGCCCCTCTCTTTGCCCACTGAGCCCGCGGCCTGCGTGGTGCTGAGACTGCCTCTGGCCGCGTCCGCTTGGGACAAGGCCTGAGCGGTGGCTGATCCCACCTGGATGTCCCGGGCCGGCTCCCACCCGAAGCCCGCCATCCCGGGACGCGGTGGGGAGAAGCTGGCACTGCTCCTTGCCATGCTTGGCGGCCGCTGCTGCCCGGCTGGGGGTCCCGAGTCGCACACGCCCCGCAAGCCCTGGCCACCGATCCGGAGGGAACGCCCTGGGCTGCGGTCCCCGAAGCCAAGAGAAGAAGCAGGTCCCAGGGCCGACTCCAAAGCCGCATCTCCAGCTTTGTTCATGGGTCCGGGAAGCAGAGGCCGCCGCCGGCCACCGTCGTGGGCGAGAAGAAGGGCACGAGGCGGCCGGGGCTCCTGCCCGGAACCACATGTGCGCGCCGGGCCCCGCTTCTTCATCGCACTTGCGGCCCCGGCTGCCCGGGGCCTGCGAGTTTCCAGCCAGGGCCCGGGACTCTGGCGCGGTCCGGCCGCGAGGAAGGAAGGCGTGGCCCGGGTGGGGGTAGCGGCAGGCCTGCGGCTCCGGCCACGGGGCAGGGGCAGAAAAACGACCCCGGCGCTGTCCGGGCATCCAGCTCGGTTCCCGCTGCAGCCAGGAGACTCCCGGGAGCGCTCTAGGAACCACAGAGCCCTGGAACTCACCTGGCAGCCTCGCGGCGCTAAAGCCGGCGGAGCCTGAGACAGCGCGCGGCGAGGCGGTCACGCTCCACCCCCGCGTGGCGGCAGGACTCGGATTTCGCCCCTGGTTTTAAAATTGTGCCGGTGGAGCCCGGGACGCTGGGAAGAGCGTTCTGCGCCCCTCCAGTCGCGGTCTCCGCCCTAAACCGACTTCCAGAGCCGCCTCTGCTCCCTGGAGGGGCGCAGTGGCGGACACCGGCGTCCCACGAAGTCGCAGGTCCTCAGTCTGAGGGCTGCCCCGCACGCTCGGAATGCAGGAGGGTCTCCGCCTCGCTGCGCTGCCCCTGGGGGCGGAGGCGTGCGCTGCAGGCGAGAGAGGCGGCCCGGTATCGATGGAGAAGCACAGAGGGCTTTGAGGTCGCAACGTCCCGGTTGCTGAGCGGAGTCAGGAGTCAGGTTCCAAAGGGACAGCGCTCAGGGTTGTAATCACCACCCGGCCCACCGCTTCCGCAGCTGCGAGTCTAGGGCGGAGCTGTTGGGTGGACCGAGCAGGCGAGGCGCAGGCAGGCAGCGGCTCCGCCTCGGAATCCGCCTCGACCGGGGCCCAGGTGCCCGCCCCACCTGTCCCTCGGTCACCCCAACCCTGTTTCCTCGACCCCCAGCACTCCTCCAGGCCTAGTTCGCTTCAGAGGCGCGAGACCCGGAAAACAAGGAAGAAGCGAGCTCAGCCTCAATCCCCGTCCCCACCCCACTTTCGGGACCGCTAAGCTGGAGAATTGAAGGGGGCGGACCCCGGATTAAAGCCGCTCCCTTCCCAGCCTCGCCCCGCTTTCCTAATGTCCGTGATGATTTCGTTATTGGCAGGGAAGAGCCAGACTCCCTGCGCTCCCAAGACGGGGCGATTGGGAGGGGGTTCTGGAGCTCATGCCTGGGGTCGGCCCGGCGGGGGTGACCCCGCGCCCTCGCCGGTGCAAGGAGAACAGCTGGTTCCCGCCGGGGCAGGGAAGCGTGGACGGTGTGGGCTCAGGCGCCTGGCAGGCACACGGGGCCTCTAAAGCTTGGTCACTGTCACAGATCGTGTGGTTGTTTCTTCCGTCCCCGCCACGCCTTCCTCCTGGGATGGGGATTCATTCCCTAGCAGGTGTCGGAGAACTGGCGCCCTTGCAGGGTAGGCGCCCCGGAGCCTGAGGCGGGAACTTTAAAATCAGACGCTTGGGGGCCGGGCTGGGAAAAACTGGCGGAAAATATTATAACTGAACTCTCAATGCCAGCTGTTGTAGAAGCTCCTGGGACAAGCCGTGGAAGTCCCCTCAGGAGGCTTCCGCGATGTCCTAGGTGGCTGCTCCGCCCGCCACGGTCATTTCCATTGACTCACACGCGCCGCCTGGAGGAGGAGGCTGCGCTGGACACGCCGGTGGCGCCTTTGCCTGGGGGAGCGCAGCCTGGAGCTCTGGCGGCAGCGCTGGGAGCGGGGCCTCGGAGGCTGGGCCTGGGGACCCAAGGTTGGGCGGGGCGCAGGAGGTGGGCTCAGGGTTCTCCAGAGAATCCCCATGAGCTGACCCGCAGGGCGGCCGGGCCAGTAGGCACCGGGCCCCCGCGGTGACCTGCGGCCCCGAAGCTGGAGCAGCCACTGCAAATGCTGCGCTGACCCCAAATGCTGTGTCCTTTAAATGTTTTAATTAAGAATAATTAATAGGTCCGGGTGTGGAGGCTCAAGCCTTAATCCCCAGCACCTGGCGAGGCCGAGGAGGGAGGATCCCTTGAGCCCAGAGGTTCGAGACTAGCCTGGGCAACACAGTCAGACTCCATCCTTCCAAAACAAACAAACGAAAATAAAACAAACAGAAAACGAAATTAGCCGGGTGTGGTGGTGCGGGCCTGTGGTCCCAGCTCCTCGGGAGGCTGAGGCAGGAAGATGGCTTGCGACTGCACCACTGCATTCCAGCCTTCGCGACAGAGCAAGACCCTGTCTCGAAAAATGTGTATGTCTGGGTAAGTGTATAGATTTTACAACTATTTTGAAGGCGACCTTTTTAACTTTAAACAGACCACTCTGGAGGAGACGCCTGACCCAGAGCGCTTTACCTAAAGTTCGGTGCCTAAAATGCACCCTTCCTCTGGCTGGTGTCTCCCTTCTGCCAAGCTATGCCTCCTGCAGAGGTAGGCTCCGTGGTGTCTCCCACTCCGCCCCAACTGGAGAACGGTGTAAAGAACTGTCAGCCGGGTGCAGTGGCTCACGCCTGTAATCTCAGCACTTTGTGAGGCCGAGAGGGGCGGATCACTTGAGGTCAGAAGTTCAAAACCAGCCTGGCCAACATGGTGAAACCCCGTCTCTGCTACAAAAATTAGCCAGGCGTGATGGTGGATGCCTGTAATCCCAGCTACTCAGGAGGCTGAGGCAGGAGAGTTGCTTGAACCCGGGAGGCGGAGGTTGCAGTGAGCAGAGATGGCGCCACTGCACTCCAGCCTGGGTGACAAGAGCAACTCCGTCTCCCAAAAAAAAAAAAAGAAGAATTGTCAACAAGAGGGAGTGGCAATTCAGAAGCATATTTAAGCCAAGTCCTCAAGACTAGAAAGCATGAAGCAGGGGAGGCGTTTTGAAAGCGTAAGAACAATAGACCATGGGCATGGATGGCCGAGTCTGGGGATCAGCATCGTAATTTGTTGAGAAGGAGGCCGTGCTGTGCTGCCAGTTATTAATTGGTTTAATCGGTTGATACACAGCCCTACTGGCCTAACCAGTAGCCCAGGGCCCTGGAGGATTTGCAGTTCGTGTCAGAATTTGATTGCAGTTCCTTCCACTTGGCATAAGGAGACACTATCAGCCTGATTGGGAGGGTGATGGTGGGATGGAGCCTGCCGAGGTGGCGGCGCTGAGCTGACCACACCACCGGCCATAGAGTGGGAGCCTTTCCTGCCCGCTTAACTGCAGCTAATATCAAAAGCACTGGTATGGGCTGTCTATCTGTGCTGGAACCTGAGTTTATCTTTGTCTGCAATTACGATTCTTCTGGGTTTATTTTGCCAGCTCATTATCCAGCCCCCTGGAATCAGGCCTCCCAAATTTAGCAGGTGCTGGGGAGGACCCTAGGGAGTGGTTTATGGGGGCTAGCTGGTGAAACTGCCCTTTCCTTTCTGTTCTATGAGTGTGATGGTGTTTGAGAAAATGTGGGGCTATGGTTCAGGCGCACTTCACATGTGCAAAGATGGAGAAAGCACTCACCTACACGTTTAGGCTCAGAATATTGATTGAAACATTTTGAATGATCAAAAATAAAATGTTATTTTTAAAGTTTCTCTCTGAGATTTTGCTTAAGTTTTGGTAGATATTCTTAAGTTTTAGTGACCTCAGTTTGGGAATTAAGTAAGCTAAACATTGTGTCCTTATTATTAGTTATATAAAACTATGCTTTAGACTTTGTTAGAAACTTCTGCCCCACCTTGACTGACTCCTTTTCCATTTCTGGTTGTACAAAATGAATTCACACTTTAATGCTATGGCCACCTTTAAATAAAGTACAGCGTGACTAAAAAAAAAAAAAAAAAAAAAAAGAACCAGTACAAATGTTTTCAGAGACAAATGCATTCTCTGACATCTGAGGTTACAAGCAAATCTCTTCTTCACCTGTTTGCTTGTTTGGAGTTGTAATATTTGCTTTGGTGTAGAGCTGAAGACATAAATTGGTAACCAATGGAATTATCTGGCCTCAGACTTTATTTATTTTCATCATTTATTTCACTGATGTGCAAATTTATTCCGTACCAGCAAATGTCAATTTAATTATATTCTACAGTACACAGTGAATCATGTATACTTAGTTAAGTTGTAAATACACTAAACCATATAAACTCACAACAGTATATCAGCTCATGATGGGTAAATGACTTTTCCCTGAGAAAGAGTATCTGTTTAACCTGCATGATCTCACTCTTTAGTATTTGCTTCTTTAGTCTACGTTTGTTTCCTAGTTTTGAATATAATCATGATATGGAGAGACAAGTGAAATCACCACAATTTTGTTTTCCAAAATGTGAGACTATGCAAATGCTGAAATGAGAATTAATACATCCAAAATATCGAACCACAATTATGGCTTTGCTTTACTTTTTGCCCGTAAGAGACATGTGGCCTAGAATAGGTGGCAGGTATTCCTACCACAACCTTGCTTAGCATAGTGGTTGACTAAATATAAATTTTAGAGATGAAGGTTGTTCTATACCCAGATTTCAATGTGATTGCTATGCCCACTTCACTTTCTCTAAAATACATATTTTTCTTACTTCTCACTTTCTTTTTCTTCTTGGTTGACATTTTTTGGCTCAGGGATTTTTTTTTTCCTTATGATCTCAATAAATTTTTCTCATATAAAAAGACATAATCGTGCTGGGAGCGGTGGCTCATGCTTGTAATCCCAGCACTTTGGGAGGCTGAGGCTGGTGGATCACCTGAGGTCAGCAGTTAAAGATGAGCCCGGCCAAAATGGTGAAACCTCATCTCTACTAAAAATACAAAAATTTGCCAGGTGTGGTGGCAGGCACTTGTAATCCCAGCCACTCGGGAGGCTGAGGCAGGAGAATCGCTTGAACCCAGGAGGCAGAGGTTGCAGTGAGCCAAGATCATGCCATTGGACTCTAGCAGGGTGACAAGAGCAAAACTCCATCTCAGGAAAAAAAAAATCATAAATTTTCCCATATTAAAAAAATAACACAAGATCCGGAATACAGAGAGGAGCATAATGCTTTGCAGGTCATAGATGTAATCTTTCTTCCAGGAAAAATGTATTTCAGATGAGACCAGAATTGGAAACATATTCTGTGCCGTCAGATAGCACTGGCTTAGGAGATGAATGAGGAGGAGCCTGCAGGCTACCTCAAGGATAAGAAGCAGGCAAAAGGCAAGCACAGGGGTGGCATGCACTCACACTGGGGCTGCTCCTTCCTGGGCAAGTTTCAGAAACTCACTGACAGTTAGAGCTAGCAGCTCCCGTAGAGATGAATGCCCATGTTTTCCCGAAGGGAGAACTGATGTTTAGAAAGGCTGAATGACTTGTCTAAGACTCTGGGGCCAGAACAGGGATCTTATTCCAGTATTTCTTGCATGAAGCCATTCTACTTCCACGTTTCTAATTTATAACTTTTAAAAGGTCATTTTAAAAACGAAATAGCATAAACATCAAGTCTGGAGGCTAGTGGTGGGATTATTCACATTTATTTTTCCACTTGACATTTGAGGGCAATAGTGATGCTTAAGTAAAACCAAAATTATCCTGGGAGTATAGAAAATAATATATCTGTTTACATTTTGGTGTGGGATGAGTAGAATCTTGTTTTCAAATTCCTTGCTTGAAAGGCTATTAAGAAGAATAAATCCTCACTTAACAGTTTTCTAAATCCTTGGTGGTGTCCTCTGTCCTTTGGTAACACGTGAAAGTAGAGCACACTTTTCTACTTTTGTTCCTTCTGCACCCCTCATAAGGTGAAGCATGCATAGAGCACTCCCAGGGTCAGTGTGAGCCCAGCAGCAGCTCAGGCTGCCGATGCTCCAGAGTCGGATTCCACCTTCCACTTAAATGGCAGCCACAGGTAGACGTGCCCATCACAACCAACTCTGTGCGTTCATAATTTCTGTTTATTCTACAGGTGGTTTCCACAAGAAAAATGGCACAATGTTTCTCAGAAGACAATTACATAAGAATCAGCATACTTCAAATTCACAGCAAATAATCAGACAATTGATGAAAATACTTACCCAAACACTAATTGTAGACTATGCCTTCTGAATATGTTTGTCATAAACTTGGAGTAAGGAATCCTCACAGGCACTGGACAATTCAAAAAACGTAAAGTTGTTTGTTAGAATACTGGTGCTTTTGGGTAGAAACCCTCATCCATATCCTGGTAAGGCTTGAAGTTGCACAGGAGTTTTCATTTGTCAAAACCCAGAAAACCATAAGCTTTAGATTTGTGAATTTTATATTGTATTATATGTGACCTTTCTTTTTAAAAAATGAGCTGTAAGCAGTCTCCCAGACAGTAGCTCAGCCTCCAGAACTCTCTTTCTGCATAGTTGAAGACCCCTCTTCACACAAGATGGTAGCAACAAATCATAGGTGCAATTGCACCAAATTCACAGAAGATCAATTGAAAATCCTCATCAATACCTTCACTCAAAAACCTTACCCAGGTTATGCTACCAAACAAAAACTTGCTTTAGCAATCAATGCAGAAGAGTCCAGAATCCAGATTTGGTTTCAGAATCAAAGAGCTAGGCATGGATTCCAGAAAACACCAGAACCTGACTTTAGATTTAAGCCACAGCCATGGACAAGATTAACCTGGTGTGGAGTTTCAAAATAGAGAAGCCAGATGGTGTTGTACCACCTATAGCACCTTTCAATTACACACAGTCATCCATGCATTTATGAAAAACCCATACCCTGGGATTGATTCCAGAGAACAACTTGCTGAAGAAATTGGTGCTTCAGAGTCAAGAGTCCAAATTTGGTTCCAAAATCGAAGATCTAGATTTCATCTCCAGAGAAAAAGAGAACCTGTTATGTCCTTAGAATGAGAAGACCAGAGAAGACCAGGGGCAAGGTTTCTGAGGGACTTCAAGGTACAGAAGATACACAAAGTGGCACCAGCCTCACTAGCACTCTCATTTCTCAAGAGCCAGAACATGGTGAATACAATCAAGTTCAGTGTATTTGATAATATCAATTTGGGCCCCAAATCTCTCTCACAGTCTTCCTGGGAGTCTATTCTTCTTCCAAAAGTGCAAGCTAAGCCTTCTGAAGATGGTAAAGAACTTGGCCGGGTGTGGTGGCTCATGCCTGTAATCCCAGCACTTTAGGAGGCTGAGGCTGGAAGATTGCTTGAGCCTAGGAGTTTGAAACCAGTCTGAGCAACATAGTAAGACCCTGTCTCTATTCTAAAAAACAAAATAAGTAAAAAGGACTGTAGGAGGCCAAGACAGGTACAGGAGGCACCACACTACCCTGTTGACACAGCCTGGATCCAGAGTTCAGCAGACCTTGAGACAATGAAAACAAACTTAGTAATAATCATTTTTCAATCATTGCAGTAATTATTGATTTGGACAAAAATCAATTGACGTCAAAACCTTAAAGTGACGTTTCTCTGCCTATGGAGTGGTCATTCTTTTATTCCTTTAGTTTCATAATAAATTTTCTTTTACTTAAAAAAACTTATAGTTTGATGAAGAGTGAGATATATACCTCATCTCAAAGAATCTTCACACACACACTTATTAATTACAAAAGGAAAATCAGTAATTTTGCAGTGGAGACATATGGCCAACTCCACCTTACCCAAGTGGCTGAAAGTCACTGCACCAGTAATGGCACAAACCAATGTGAGATGATTCCTGATATGATACACTAAAAAGGGCACTGTCTCTTCTGCATGTTGCAGACAAAAAGTGGGTAAGCTGAAACTGAAACTAATAATTAGGCAATGTCAAGCAAATACAAATTCAGGTTGACAGTCTGCGAAGTAACATCCATGTACTCTTCAACAGTGGATCGACCCTAGCTACTCAGGAGGCTGAGGTGGAATAATTGTTTGAGGCCAGGAGTTCCAGATCAGCCTGGGCAACATCATGCGACCCCATCTCTAAAAACATCTTTTTAAAAATGAGCCAGGTGTGGTAGCATGCACCCGTAGTCTCAGCTACTCAGGAGCCTGAGACAGGAGGATGGTTTCAACATAGGAGATCGAGGCTGCTGTGAGCTATGATCGTGCTACTGCACTCCAGCCTGGGTGACACAGCAAGTTCCTGTTTCCAAACAACAACAAGAAAACAAAACAAAACAAAACAAAAAATAGATAGAATAGTGGCAATAAAAATGGAGAAAAAGTAGGCTGACTCAGGAAATGCTTAGAAAGTACAGCCATACCTCAAAGATATTGTAGATTTGATTCGAGACCACCACAATAAAGCAGATATTGCTACAAAGTGAGTCACACAAATTGTTTTGTTTCCTTGTGAATATGAAGTTATATTGGCTGGGTGTGATGGCTCATGCCTATAATCCCAGTACTTTAGGAGACGGAGGCGGGAGGGTCACTTGAGCCCAGGAATTGTGAGATCAACCTGGGCATATAGGGAGATCCTGTCTCTATTTAAAAAAAGAAG
Organism: Homo sapiens; assembly: GCF_000001405.40. Lineage (NCBI taxonomy): Eukaryota > Metazoa > Chordata > Mammalia > Primates > Hominidae > Homo > Homo sapiens. The sequence continues at coordinate 19,293,833 of NC_000014.9, read as the reverse complement.
CTATGTTTACACTACACTATAGTCTATTTAAAGTGTGAAATGGCGTTATGTCCTTAATTTTAAAACTCTTGATGCTGGCTGGGTTCGGTGGCTCATGCCTGTAATCCCATCACTTTGGGAGGCCAAGACAGGTTGATTACTTGAATTCAGGAGTTCAAGACCAGCCTGGACAACATGGCAAAACACGTCTTTAAAAAAAGAAAAGAAAAAAGAAAAACAGAAAGAAAAAGAAGAAAAACTACTTGCTGCCCTTACTTGAAGCTCTATTATTTAAAACAAAGAAAAAATAGAAAAATCTTTTATTGCTGAAAATGCTAATGATCACCTGAGCCTTCAGAGAGTCTTAGTCTTTTTGCTGGTGAAGGGTCTTGCCTTGATGTTGTTGGCTGCTGCCTGATAAGGGCGATGGTTGCTGAATATTGAAGTGGTTGTCACAATTTCTTAAAAGAAAACAATGAAATTTGCCACATTAACTGACTCTTCCTTCCACGAAAGATTTCAGTGTACCATGCGATACTGTATGATAAGCATTTTACCCATAGTAGAACTTCTTTCAAAATTGGAGTCAGTCTTCTCACACCCTGCCACTGTTTTACTATGTTTATCAATATTCTAAATCCTTTGTTGTAGGCTAAACAATATTCACAGCATTTTCACCAGGAGTAAATTTCATCTCACAAAACCACTTTCCAGGCTCTTTCTGGACTGTAGAGTTCTTTCCAGGCTACGTTGTGGCAGTTTAAGAGTCTGGCATCATTTTCCGCTGGGACCTAAGGATCGAGGAGGTGCTTGTGACTAGACTGCCAATGGACCCATCACAAAGTTTAACCCAACCTTGATCCCCGAGTCTTCACAAATGCTCACTGAAGAAAATTCCTAGAACAATTCAGGGTCCTTTCATAACCTCTACTCTGAGGTGTTAATAAAAAACCTTAGTAACTTAAAAAAAATGAGCTGTACACAAATACTGAACAATAATGCTACATATGTTAAGTATGTAAGAAAAATATATACTTTGACATAAATAAGAAACGGTGAGTTGATAATTGGATAGAATGGTGGATAGAGTGAGAGATATGTAGTAAAGCAAATATAACAAAATGATAATTGTACAATCTAAGTGGTTGGACTATAAATATGCACTTCCCACAACATTTTTATATGTTTAAACAGTTTTATAATACCATATTAGGGAAACTGTTTGTCTCAAGGAAATAGAGATTGTGATATATTCTAGTACAATGAAGTGTAATCATGTAAAATAAAAGCTTTTACTTCTGGCAATTAAAGTTAGTCATGTTAGAACACTGTCTAGGAATGGTTGGAAAATAACATTTTATTTTCTAATCAATATATTTATGTCATCTGTCAATCAGAATTACACTGACTTTAAAAAGCAATAATATGACTGTATATTCATGATGAAATATAGCCTAAGAACAAAATAATGCACAAAAATAATCTCAGATTGCTTATTATTTTTCAGAAGGCTGTATTTTTAGTCTTAGGCTATTGGTTTGTCTTATATTGCAGGATTTTAAAAAAATGATTAGTTCCCAGCACTTTGGGAGGCTGAGATGGGCAGATCACAAGGTGAAGAGATTGAGACCATCCTGGCCAACATGGTGAAACCCCCTCTCTACTAAAAATACAAAAATTAGCTGGGCGTGGTGGCATGTGCCTGTAGTCCCAGCTACTCAGGGGGCTGAGGCAGGAGAATTGCTTAAACTCCAGAGGTGGAGGTTGCAGTGAGCCGAGGTGGTGCCATTGCACTCCAGCCTGCTGACAGAGTGAGACTCCGTCTCAAAAAAAAAAAAAAAAAAAAAGAAAAAGAAAAAAAAAAGAGAGTAGTTATGGGGCTGGGCACGGTGGCTCATGCTTGTAATCCCAGCACTTTGGGAGGCCGAGGTGGGTGGATCACGAGATCAGGAGTTCAAGACCAGCCTAGCCAAGATGATGAAACCCCCATCTTTACTAAAAATACAAAAAAATCGGTTGGGCACAGTGGCTCACGCTTATAATCCCAGCACTTTGGGAGGCTGAGGCGGGTGGATCACGAAGTCAGGAGATCAAGACCTACCTGGCTAACACGGTGAAACCCTGTCTCCACTAAAAATACAAAAAATTAGCCAGGCATGGTGGCACGTGCCTATAGTCCCAGCTGCTCGGTAGGCTGAGGCAGGAGAATGATTGCACCACTGCACTCCAGCCTGGGCAACAGAGCGAGACTCCGTCTCAGAAAAAAAAAAAAAAAAAAAAAAAAAAAAAAAAAAAAAAAAAAAGCGCCGGGCGCGGTGGCTTGTGCCTGTAATCCCAGAACTTTGGGGGACCGAGGTGGGTGGATCACGAGGTCAGTGGTTCAAGACCAGCCTGGCCAACATGGTGAAACCACGTCTCTACTAAAAATACAAAAATTAGCCAGGTGTGGTGGAGTTTGCCTGTAATCCCAGCTACTCTGGAGGCTGAGGTAGGGAACTGCTTGAACTCCGGAAGTGGAGGTTGCAGTGAGCCTAGATCACACCACTGCGCTCCAGCCAGGGTGACAGAGCTAGACTCCATCTCATTATGGGTGTGACATTGAAAACTGGTACTTTCCTAATGAAATAGAAGAAGATACAGATGTAATATCTCTGAGCATAATTAAAATCCTCTAATCAAGACTGTTAACCGAAAGGTTTGTTTAAAAGTTATAAATTTTTATTAAAAAATACACTTATCTTTTAGACTTATCCACTGAAAAGTCCTGGAAGCATTAAATAAAACAGAAGCAGAAAGCACCTTGGTGCCATAACTTTGGATTCTCCATGTCATCATTCACTAAAAGGAACCAAAGCTTCTCGGAGAAATGGCTGCTTTCTGGCTGCAGGCAGGCAATGTGCAAAATCAATCTAGAGCATCTCGTCATACTGGAATGCAAGGACACTTTTATACCCCCTAGGATCGTGTCCATAGGATCCAAGAGGCAACTTGAAGGAAGTCCCACTCTCCAAACATGAACTAATATAAGCATCAATAATATTGATGACCACAAGCCAGGCACGGTGGTTCACACCTGTAAGCCCAACACTTTGGGAAGCCAAGGCAGGTGGATTGCTTTAGCCCAGGTGTTCAAGACAAGCCTGGGCAACATAGTAAAACCTTCTGTCTACCAAAAATAGAAAACAAAAAATTAGCCAGGCATGGTAGCTTGTGTCTGTAGTCCCAGCTACTTGAGAGGCTGAGGTGGCAGGGTCACCTAAGCCCAGGAGTCTGAGGATGCGGTGAGCTGTGATTATGCCACTGCACTCCAGCATGGGCCATAAAGCAAGATCTGTCTCAAAAACAAACAAACCAAAATAATGATGATGATGATGATGATGATGACTGCAATGAGCAGGTGCACACCTTATATGTTTAAATCATTGAGCTTATAATGATGTTAAAGCATGCAGTCAATAGAATAAATACATTATGCAGGTATTGGAATTAGCATAAAAAGACTACAGTATTCCCTCTTTATCTGTGGGGCATACTTTGGAAGGCCTCCAGTGGATGTCTTAAACCATGGATAATACCGAACCCTACATTAGCACTTACTACACACTGTGTCTGTGACTTTTGAAGTTTGAGGTACAAAAGCGAAACTAGCAAGAATTTATTTTTCCTTTTCCACAATTGTACCAATAAAGGAATAGTTCTTACCCTAGATGTTGGCAATCTCAGCATATCTTTTTCCTCATTAAGTGCAAAACTTTCTGCTTTTCAGTTACTGAAAGCACTTTCAGGTTTCTCTTTTGCATATCTGAATTGCCAGCATCAATACTATTGCATATTGAGACCATTACTAAGTAAAATAAGGGTTACTTGAACACAAACACTGCGATACTGAGATAGGTCCATCTGATAACTTAGACAGCTGCCAATGTCTAATGAGCAGGAAGCAGGAATTGTGTATCTGCTGAGCAAAGGGGTATGTCACATCCTGAACTGGATACAGCAGAATGGCGGGAGGTTGCATCACATTCCTCGGAACAAGGTGTGACTTAAAATTTATAAACTGTTTACTTCTGGAGTTTTATATTTCATATTTTTTGACTGTGGGTGACTGAAAGTGAGGAAAGTAAAGCCACAATAAGGGGATACTACTATATTATAAACATGCTCAAGGATTGAAATAAAAATAAAATTGAGCAAACAGATGTGAAGCCTCAGCAGAGATAAAAACTTTAAAAAAAATTCTAGTACTTAAAAATACAACATCTTACAGAAAAATTTCATCAGACTGAGAAGAGTCAGGAGAATAATTCCCAAAATTAATTTTTAAAAAGTCAATCCATTTTTAATTTCTTCAAGTACTTTCTAGGATTTTAGGAAACCATATTGCTACTTAGAAAACTGGCAAATAAAAGAGTAACTGATAAATAGAAAATGGTAAATAAAGGGAAAGAATCACGTATTTATTCTACCTTTTCACTACAAGCAGTACCTCATGGTAACCAAAGAGACAGCGAAGAAAATCTATCTACAAAAATTTTCTATTTAATCTATGAAAGAAGAATAATAGAATTAAAACAGCTCCATTTATTGATCTCTAATTTAATCAGTTTTGAAGGTTATCATCCCTTATGCTCTTGGTTTGGTTCAGCCAGGAAAACAGCCAATTAAGTATTATAGAAATAAACAGTTTAATATAAGAATTAGCGCTTACATTTATGTGCATGTAAGCAAAAAAAATGAAAGTTTTTTTCTGCCTACAGAAAGTCAGAAACACAATCACAAATGACATCAGCTGAAAACACTGATATAGGAGCGAAAGCAGTAGCTCATCAAGGAGTCCAGGAAACTTCTGTATTCACCAGGATTATGAAGTACACGCTTGTGTGATGTCTATGATGGGCCTATATCTGGATACTAGAATTGCTGAGAAGAACCTTGTTAAAAAAAACTCTGGGCTGGGTGCAGTGGCTCACGCCTGTAATCGCAGCACTTTGGGAGGCCAAAGCAGGAAGATCATGAGGTCAGGAGATCGAGACCATCCTGGCTAACATGGTGAAACCCTGTCTCTACTAAAAAAAAAAAAAAAGAAAAAAAAAATTAGCCGAACATGGTGGCATGTGCCTGTAGTCCTAGCTACTCGGGAGGCTGAGGCAGGAGAATTGCTTGAACTTGGGATGTGGAGGTTGCAGTGAGTCGAGATAACACCACTGCACTCCAGCCTGGGCAACAGAGAGAGACTCTGTCTCAAAAAAAAAAAAAAGTCATTAGAATGATGGGGCCCGGAAAAAACCAATCTTGGGTCACGAATACACATTCAAAAGTAGATTAGAACATTTATAAGCTTAAATTTGAAATTTTGAAAATATTTTCTTTTAACCTGTATGAGTCTAAATATTTGCCTTTCCTTAATAATTTTGAAATTAGTACTCATCAAAGGGGTTGGCAATCATGGCGAGTGGCTATTAATGACTGATTTAAAAAATAATACTAATTGCATTCATTAATTCCTTTATACATTTTTAAAAGTCCTCCAACATTTTTTCTTATTCTCGTTTGCTCATATTCTTCAATATCCATATTCTGTGATCTGTATTTTGATCTTTTAAAATACCTGTTGAGTATCCCTTGTCCAAAATGCAGGGAACCAGAAGTATTTTGGATTTGGGATTTTTTTCAGATATTGGAATATTTGCATTATACTTACCAGTAGAGCATACCTATTCTCCTTTGCAACAAAGTGCTAATATTCTCTTCTGTCTTTTTGTTTTGCATGGTAGTCTATTTCCATCTTCTTCTGGAAGTTAACATCTATGCCAGCAACATTTCTCTAAATTTGTCCTCATTTTTCATGTTTCCTTCTTCAAAGATCTCTTGAGATTTTTGGTTTCTATGCCCCACTTAATTTTTCTTTAGAATCTTTAACTAGTTATCCAGTCCCAAGAAACCCATCAAACTTCAGATGTCTTTACTGACAAATGGACATTGCATTTCTCATTGATTTTACTGATCTCTGGGGAGGCGTGCTCCCTGAAGGCAGCACTTTTTTTCCAGTGAAAAAGGCACAGTTAGGCAATATGGGAAAGGCATTTCTGAATTTCAGGACCAGTCCTAAAATTGAGTTTGGGTCAGTTCTCTCTAGAAAATATTCTATTTTATTTACAAAGCAAAATTATTTTATTCCTTACAATAATATCAGAGACAGTTTCGCTACTATTTACATTCGGTCTTTTGCCCTAAGTCAAATAATCAACTCTGGGAGGAGGAGATCTTTGAAATAAATTTATTCTGTACCTTATGGACAGACACAAATTCTTTGGAGGCCTTCAGTTATATCTCCCTAAGAACTGTGAGGGAAGCTAATAGGCAACTAACTTCAAAAAATTTTGTTCTATTTTTTTGAAAACTCGACTCATTTATGCTCTCCAGTGTCATATCTCCATACTGCTCTGTGTTTTACTTCTGAATCAATCTTCCCTCCCTCCCAAATATTTTCAATGTGACTTCTGGAAACCTCATTAGAGGACATTGACTCCATTTCTTTGCTTTAATTAAAATTCAGCTATCTATATGAGGACAATGCTTCCCTCGACATGTGCTCCACTGAAGGCTAGTCATTTTCCCAAAGGCTAAGGTGTCATAGAATTTATTTAATAGAAGTGGGTTGGCATAATTTTAGCTCCATATTTCCTATTCCCAACCACTATTCCTCTATTTTAATACAAAAGCCCCTTCTTTACTGTCTATCCATCTAACTATAATGCCTTCTAACTATAATGTCTTCTAACAACTGCCACATTTATTCCAGAACTTCCTCTACACCCAAGCAACATCATTTTCTCATTTGGCCTCCCTTTCACACTCATGTGGTTGGCTCATTTAACACCTTAACCTCATAGGTTCTTTGTTTCCTCAGCTCTGAGACTTTTTCTTGAATTCAGCCTTCCACTGCCTATGTCTTAGACATTTTTTAATGGCCTCAACTGTTCCATGTAAGTAACCATAAGCTTAAATATCCATATTCTCTTACCCTTATTTTGATCTTTTAAAATACTTGTTGAGTATCCCTTATCGAAAATGCGTGGGACCAGAAGTATTTTGGATTTTGGATATTTTTCAGATTTTGGAATATTTGCGTTATACTTACCAGTTGAGTATCCTTAATTTGAAAATCTGAAATCTGAAATGCTCCAATGAACATTTCCTTTGAGCATCATGTAAGTGCTCAAAACTTTCAGATTTTGAAGCATTTCAGATTCAGTAACAGTGTGCAGTTGTGATAAACAAATTATATATGGAACTGACGTGATCCTACAACATAAACTCTTTGAGAACTGAGGCTGTGCATTTTTTAGATTAGTAGATACTTTGCAATTTTTTTGAATGGAGTTTCACTCTTCTGCCCAGGTTGGAGTGCAGTGGCATCATCTCAGCTCATTGCAACCTCTGCCTCCTGGGTTCAAGTGATTCTCCTGCCTCAGTCTCCCGAGTACCTGGATCACAGGCATGCGCTACCACGCCCGAATATTTTTTTGTATTTTTAGTAGAGATGGGGTTTCACCATGTTGGCGAGGCTGGTCTCGAAATCCTGACCTCAAGTGATCTGCCTGCCTCAGTCTCCCAAAGTGCTGGGATTACAGGCGTGAGCCACCTCGCCTGGCAATCTTCTTTCAACTTAATCAGCCCTTATACACTCAAAGAGTTACTTGGATGCATGCTTTCTCATTATCTATTTTCATCACTGCATATATCTGAGGAAGGATAATGAGACTCTACTATCAGTAGAAGGATGCTTGGATTATCACGTGCAACACTTTATAGCCTATCTTGACTTTTCTCCCAAACTTCATAGAAGAAAAGATGGGATTTTCTGACTCTTTTTAACTTCCTAGGACTAGAGAGCCAGGAAGACAGAAAAAAGGGGCAAAAGGGGCCCTACTTTTAACTTGGTACAAAGTTTATAATGGGAACATAATAGTTCCAGAAAGCGGAATAGAAAATCTTATTAAAGAAACCAAGGCAGGGAGCTTCATTAACATTCTGCTCTTGAACTCATGCTTTTATTAGATACTTATGTGTAGGGCTATTCTGAGGACCTGCTATTCATTTTTTCAAATAATTCATATTTTAATGTATTTAGATAGGTAATTTACATGACATTATTTTTAGAAATCATGACCTATTTCAACCTGTCATTGTTATCTATGGCTTAATTTCTGTGAAAAGCAATGAAGTCTGTCTGCAATATAGCTATGATGATCTCTAATTTTGTAGTTCTCTAATTTGTTCACACATTTAGAATGACCTTTTATGCCTTTCCAACTATGGCATCTTCTATTGTTATATGATTCGGGTTCAAATGTTCACCAATATATAGTGCTTAAAATGCGTGTTAAAAAAGTATGAACAAGGGAGAATAGAAGTTGATACAGAAGCAGTAATACACAGTGTTCTCAAACAATCCACCTAAGTTGCCATTTCTAGTTTCATATCTCATAATTCAAAATCCTGGGGAGCTGCCACTGAATCATTTCTTCTCCTAATCATAAATACCTAGACCCAATACACCAGGGAATACCAGGATCTTGAAAAAGATGAAAGAATGGAATAAAAAATTAGCCTCAGGAAAGCAGCCTAAATATATTTGAAGATGACAGATTGGTAGGTAAGTAGGTAGGTAGGTAGATAGATAGATAGATACCTAGATAGATAGACAGACAGACAGACAGACAGATAGATAGATATTCCAAGACTATAAAACTATGAACCAATTTTTAAAATCATATAATCTTCTAATATTATGCTGAGCTGTGATCATCTGCTTATATAAAATTCAAGACACATTCAAAGAGATCCTTCAGTGATAATTTTTTAATCAGAGGGAAAAAGTTTTAGATGCTACTTGAGAAAAGGACAAAGTATAGGTTGAGTTTCTCTTTTTTGCCAGTTGTTATTACTTAATTACACTATCTTTCTGGCCATAAAATGAACAAAAGGATTCATTCACTTGTCTCATTAGGTATTAAGCATCAGTTGTCGATTCATTCATTTCACACATTTCACTAGTGACACTGAATACTGCAGAGCCAAAGATGAAAGGGGAAGCAATTCCAGGCCGATGAGAAGATGCACGATTGCCATTCAGGTACTGAGGGCTGCAATGGGGGAAGGGTGGTGAGAGCACTAATGAATTCTTGCTATGTTCTGGTCGTTGTCTCATCCTAATAACAGCTCCCTGGAAAAGGTACTATTAATCCCTAAAGAAACTAAAATTCGGAGAGATTAAATGACTTTCCCAAAATCACAAAACCAATATGAAATAGAGCCATAAATCCAATTCAGGCCTGTCTCATATCACAATTATTTTCTATCTGCTATGCCAAGTGGCATCCTTGAGTTTTGCAAGATGCCCTCAGTGCCAAGGCATGAGCCCTTACCAGGGAAAGTTACTTACTTTCTTCCTTTCTTTCTTTTCTTTCTTTCTTTCTTTCTTTCTTTCTTTCTTTCTTTCTTTCTTTCTTTCTTTCTTTCTTTTTCTTCCTTCCTTCCTTCCTTCCTTCCTCCCTTCCTTCCTTTCTTTCTTCTTTCTTTCTTTTTTTTTTTTTTGACGGAATCTCACTCTGTAGCCCAAGGTGGAGTGCAGTGGTGCAATCTTGGCTCACTGCAACCTCTGCCTCCCAGGCTCAAGTAATTCTCCTGCCTCAGCCTCCAGAGCAGCTGGAATTACAGGCGTGTGCCACCATACCTGGTGAGTTTTTTGTATTTTAGTAAAGACGGGGTTTCACCATGTTGCCCAGGGCAATCTCGAACTCCTGAGCTCAGGCGATCCACCTGCCTCAGCCTCCCAAAGTGCTGAGATTCAAAGAAATTTTCATGGAGAGGGGACAGATGGAGTCAATTCTTGTGGGGTGAACATGAGTACCACAGTTAGACTGAGGTTGGGAAAGATTTTCCAGACAATTGGAAGAGCATGTGAAAGACACAGATTTTGAGAAATGTTAAGTCTAGGGAACTGCAAGGCTTTTGGCACAAGAAAGCCACTGTAGACTATAGAAGCAGGATGCCTAGATTCAAATCCCAACTGCTACACTTCTAAGCTTTGTAATTTTGGCAAGTTTTTACCCTCTATTTTCTTATCTATAAAATATAGATTTTATATATATAGATATAGATATATAGATAGATAATAATTGTGCATGCCTAATAAAGTTGTCAAAGATTAAATGTTATATGTGAAGTATTTTGTACGGTGATAGGAACCCAGGAAGGGCTCTATGAATATTATATATTATTATTATTCTAAAGTAGCTGGAATACAATGTTCAAAGGAGATAGTGGCAGGAGATAAGTTTGAATTGAAAGATTGAGGCCAGAACATAAAGTGCCTCCTATATTATATTTTACATAATTGGAACATCATTGAAAAATTTAAGTATTATTTATGTGTGTATGTGTGTTTTATATAATTAATTCTAGTTCATTATTTTAAAATATCTTTCTGATGTCACTGTGAACAACAGATGAGAAGAAGTGAATCCTGAGTTAAGGAGACCAGCTCTCTGATTACTGCCATAATCCAGGGAGGGTACCATAAGGATTTCAACTGGAAGTGAATCCATCATGATGGAGAGGAAGGACAGGGCTGAAAAATACTTAGGAAGTAGTATCAGTAGGACTGGTTAAGAGAGAGCAGAGGCAGGCTACAGGGGTTGGAGGTGTCAATCACAGAGATAGGGAAAATGGGAGGAGAAGCAGGCTTTGAAAAAGTGGCTTGTCTTGTAAAATTATGTGCTGTTAAAACAGTACAAGAAATTAATATATTCAATCCCAAAATACAGGTACAATTCTTTTTGAAAGAGTTACCCAGATAATCTTCCTTGAAGTTTTCAGTTAAAGAAATTTCTTGTTAACAAGTAATGTAGTCATAGAAGAAAACACTTAAAACTTTATTGAATAAAGCTAATAAATCATTTAATATAATTTATAGGAAATTGTTACATAACACACACATTCAATACTTTTTGCTAAAGTATAAATTAATGGAAGGAGAGCACACACACAGAGGTTGAATTATGTTTATGACTTTATTAGTCAGGAATACAAAATTGAGTAGCTACATCAAGCAGAAGCACATGCTTTACAATCCAGCACAGAATCCCTTGACATCCAAACTCCCGAAACAGACATGTAAATACAGATGACATTGTCAGAACAAAATAGGGTCTCACCAGACCTATAATGTTCTTTTCTTGATATAAATATGCACATGAATTGCATACGGTCATATGGTTCCAATTACCATTATTTCCTCTGGGCTTAGCTATCCATCTAAGGGGAATTTACACCAACACTGTACTTCTACTTGCAAGAATATATGAAAGCATAGTTAACTTCTGGCTTAGGACCCCAACTCAGGATCAACAAAGCAGTGCTCTTGGGGGAAGCCCATTTTGCTACAATTTAAAGTCATTAGAAGCATTAAATAAAAGCTAAGAACTTGAAATCAAGTGTGTTATAATGTAGTTAGGGAATTAGATTTCAGGTGTTTATTTTTAACACAAATCCATTAATTCTGACACCTAAGGCAAATGCTAGTCAACATGAATGGAGAAACTTTTGATTAGTGGTATATGTTTTCAGATTTCTGGAACAGTCATAGACTCTTCAATGTCTTATGACTGAAATTTTTTAAACCACTGTTTTCTCTAGAAACTAATGAAACTCATCATAAACTCATTTTTCAATATTAAAACATAGTCATAAGTAGAATATTAATCTTATATTAATTAAGATGTTAACATATGTGAAATTTAATACTTCCTTTAAGGTATGAACACTTATCCAATTCATAATTTCAATGAAAGGAAATGTCTAAAAGAGACTTTTAATTCTTCAACCGCAAGGACTACACAGAGCAGTTTCAGCACCAGGGATAGTTTTCTTCCTGGATAACAGCGAATGCTCTAATACTGATGAGTAAATCCTGTGTGTCTAACTTCAAATTAATTGTTAGGTTTATATGAATGAGTATAACATGATAGTTAGGAGCATAGGCACAAAGGAAACATTCAAATTTGTTGTTGTTGTCCTTGCTATTATTCTTGTTGTATGTGAGGCTGATATGACAAAAGATACTGATTTAGGTCAAGTACACATATTACTTGTGGAAAATTAATAACTCTAATTAAATATTTCTTGTTTCATACACATTAATTTTAAATACAGCCCAACAGTGGGCCACTATTTCTCAATACAAGAAAATAATACACAAGAATCATGAAGTTCTTCAATCAAACTTAAATAATCCTTATTGCAAACATAAAACATAAAGAAACCACATTTTTAAAGAAATATTATCTTTCCAAACATAGCCATATAATTCCTCTGTATTAGAATTTTTCACAGGAATTCTAACTAGTATATTTTTTGTACATGCTTTAAAGAATAAAAAAATTTGAACTGTTGACCAAATGTGATATATTATATACTATTGTGTGTATTTTAAAGTGAGGGTAAAAAAAGACACCAAAGCCTCTGGGAAGGTAAACTATAAATTGACTTACAGAATTAATTAGTTAGGAAGTTAAACTATAATTAACTTACAGAACTTACCAAGAAGTGTTAATGCCTACCCTAGGAATGACTATAAACCTATTAGTTAGAATTTCCGTATATCTCAGTTTTTAATATGTAATTGTTTTAAAAAATTTGGCCAATTTGAAAAAAACAATTAATATGTAAATGAATATATCTACATTAATTCATATTCTTTATTAATTCTTTATTAGCTACTAATCTGGGTTCTGTACAATTTTGTATCTGGCCATTCATTTGTTTTATATGCCAGTAACAAATATACAATTTTTTGAAACCACCAATATCAATATATTTTTAATGGATGGAGCCATCTCTATGCCGATATATCACGGTTACTACACCAATTTATAGTTAAGAGATATCTAAATGTGGTGTTGGACCCAGGAAACTAATACTTATAAACCCAGTCACCAGGAATGCATGGTTGAATGGCGAAAATTCAGGAAATGTACAGGTGGATAAACCAATGATCCATTAACCTAACAGTATAATGGTTCCCAACAACCAAGGGGAACAAAATTGGTTGGAGAAGAAATAGAAGATACTTGCAGAAAAAAAACCAACTTGCTGCTAAGGCCAGGTTCCTTACTGGCATGCCACCCCTCCATCCTGGGGGTAGCCAGTCCTGAGTGAGCCTCCCTGAGGTTCGCTGGTAGTCACTACACATGTCTAGCTAGTGGCATTCCGTGGTCAGTTTTGAATGTAGAGATAGAAAGCAAACAAACAGTTACCCAAAGACAGTAATTCTCTCCCATCCACAGGAGGGTTTTGCCTAGCATTCACATGCATGTTGCTACAGTACAATTGATTCATTAATTAACTTTAGCCAATTACTTAGTAAACTCAGGTCAACAAGAAAGGAGGCAATGCTTTCATTCATAGCTGAAACCATACATACTGAGGATCTAATAATGAGTGCATACATCGACGGTTGAGTTTTTTTACTTTCAAAATATTTTGTGGTATCATGAAAACATGGCATAAGTCCCAAGGGAAATTTGTCTAGAGATTTGATGAAGCTTTATCTTGCTGTCCAATTAGAAAATGAATGACTGGAAAGATTCTTCTAAAAACTGGCTAAGATATTTATTGCCAGAATTTTCTTGAGGAGAAAGTGTTGGTTCGGCTCCACCTACATTCCCTTACCTCAATCATGTAATCCTGAGCACCTGCTCCTCAAGAGTGAATGCTTTCCTTCAAAGGATCCTTATACATACACTGGAGCTGATGCACAAAACTGCCTTGCTGCATTTTTGAAGATCTCCAATTTGGCCTCTCATTTACATTATCCTTCTTTTTGTTCATCACATTTCCAGATTCCTGACTGTTTACCAAACTTTATATTGCCTTCCTATTCTGTTCTTGAGGATCCATGGTCACTGCAACTGTCTTTTCAGGTTTGACCCGACTGTGGCTTGTATGACTAGATTTGATTCCTTGCCATTTGATTCCTGACCACTAGCTCTGGGTGTGGAACCTGCCTAGCTCCGATTTTTTTTTTTTTTTTTTTTTTTTTGAGACAGAGTCTTGCTCTGTTGTCCAGGCTGGAGTGGTGCAGTGGCCACTGCAACCTCTGCCTCCCGGGTTCAAGCGATTCACCTGCCTCAGCCTCCCGAGTAGCGGGGATTGCAGGCATGCACCACCACGCTCGGCTGATTTTTGTATTTTTAGTAGAGACGGGATTTCCCCATGTTGGCCAGGCTGGTCTCGAACTTCCTACCTCAGGTGATCCGCCCGCCTCGGCCTCCCAAACTGCTGGGATTACAGGCGTGAGCCACCATGCCTGACCCTGCCTAGCTCCTTTTAATATCCCCCACAACTTGTCACACACTTTATCCAAACCAGTTCCCTGCTCTGAGTCTGTAGCCATGACTCACTACTGCCTGTATTTCCAGATGACTGGAATTACTGCTCCATTCCAGACTGCTGCCAGAATTAATGCTATTGCTTTCTCTGTAATACTTTGTACTTTTCAAAGGATCATAATTTATCTCATTTGTGCTTACAACCCCTTTCTATAATGAGAGCTGTTCATTCCTATGCTCTCATTCCTATTTCATTGGTAAGAAAATCAAGACTCCAAGAGGCCAAATAATTTACTTAACACAACAATGATGGTTTAATACTTTGAATGCTAGTTTTGAGGACCTTATTATTCCCCCAAAATCATGTTTTAGGGAATTTAACAGTCCTTTAGAGGAATGATTTTATTCTGACTTTAAAACCTTTTGTTTTTCTTCCTTTAATATGTGACATTGCCTTGTAATGTAAGTAATCTGTATCAAACTACTGAATGTATTGAATTTTTACCTTTAAGTTATTTCCTCCTTTCTTTCCTTAATTGAGACATTTATCAAGTATTTACCATGTATCAATCAATGAGCATAGCTTATTGCTGCAGAGTTTATTTATAAGCTATAGTCCCTGCCTTCAAGTAGTGCTAAGGTAGTCAGGAAAAAATTGTATAACAAATTACTACAAGACTATATTTTTTTCATAAAAATAAATACCATAAAAAAGTATCATTTTCTGAAATCATATTATTTATATACATTTTACTAGTTTATTGTCTGTGACCTGTATTAGAACATAAGCTATATGAGGACAGGGACTTTGTTTCATTTACCGCTACATTTCCTGTACCTTGAAACTACACATGGCTTGCAAAATACATTCAATAGATAGGTGTAGTAAGGAATAAAATGTTAGTTCTCCTTTAGGCTTTTAAGGGCGCCTGTAGTCCCAGCTACTCGGGAGGCTGAGGCAGGAGAATGGCGTGAACCCCGGGGAGCGGAGCCTGCAGCGAGCCGAGATCGCGCCACTGCACTCCAGCCTGGGTGACAGAGCGAGACTCCGTCTCAAAAAAAAAAAAAAAAATCTCTTACGTTTCTAGTGAATGAAGACTGTTTATTAGATACCACATGAGTGGCACTCATTGCATAATCGGTTAGTAGATTTACTTTTACATCTATCTTTTGAGTGGTCCCAGCAATAATTAGTGAAACATAGTGTAAGAACCAACCATTACCCTTGTTTTATAAATGACGAAACATACTCCAAGATTATGTGAATGGAAAAGGAAACATGGGAAAATCATATTTCTGAACATGATTTGTCCAATTATAGGTTTTGCTTTAGGAAGACTCACTATTAAATGTGTGTGAATGTGTGTGTGCATGTGTGTGTATGTTTTTATTATAATAGTATATGTGCTCATTGCAAATCATTTAAAAATACATGTGAAGAAGAAATGGAAAGTCGCCAGTAATCTCATTGCTCCATGGTCACTATTGTAAACATTTGACATTTGTTAAATCTATTATTTATGTCCTGTATTCAAAGTAGTGTGGAGGTAGGCAAGATCACTGGACTAGTCAGGAAATTTGATATTCTACCTGTCTGTTACCTTAGTTTTTGACCTTGGTGTAGGGATTCCATGATTACCAACATTTAATTTTTAAAATTATTTCTTACCTTACCTTCTTCTCCAGTTTCTACTGTTATTTCTATTAAATAAATATGACTTTGTTTTCCAGTGAGATATGATACGTGATACTTTTTGAAATATTAAAAGTCACTTAAACAGTATCCATTTGTCTCTATAAAAGCCTAGCTAGGCTCTCCATGAAGGGAGCAATTCAAATAGATGGTTTGTAACATCTTTTTCAGTTTTAAAATGTGGATACTCTGATTCCATTGCACATTGATATATGAACTCATTCTTCCTTACGATTATTCCCCAAGTGGTAATTATTTTGCTTCTAGACCAGCAAGCTAATATCTCAAAAACTCTTACATGTAAATGTAGTTGTTTAAAAATATTTATGCTGTGTAATGTCAGTAATTTATGAGTTACAGACATGATATCCATTATATTTTTGCCTAATAATTCATTTTTAGGAAAAACTAAGAATAAAGTTATTCTTTGTATTTTTACTAATCTTTTCCCAACCAAGTGTTACTGAAACTGTCATCCCAAAGTCTTTTTACCTTTTAAGGTTCTCACTTTTGAGGCTGAGAACTATGAAGCTAGTATTCAAATTTGCATTCATTGTTGTAATTTCTGGCAGTATGTCCAATTTAATTCTACTGTTAGGTGCTTGTTTGTTGTACTTATGAAGAACTAAGGATTTTCTAGTAGCCCAGAGTTATGTTATTTTTTGCTTAGTGACAATTTTTACAAGAGACCTTATTATAATGAAACCAATGAAATGCATCACAGTACCTTTTTCAGAGTGCCAGTGGCTTATGAGATATTTTTTGATGTAAACTTGTTAAAGCCATGTAACTAACCAAGCTTATATCCTTACTGTAGAACTAGAGACATATTATAAATATTTATAACGAACAAAATTGGGGTAAGAATTCCTCATTTGTTCTATTTTTTGGTCAGTCAATAAATATATTTTTAAAAATTTGTGTCTGTGACTGGTTTTGGTAACAGGGTAATACTGGCCTCATAGAATGAGTTTGGAAGTATTCCTTCCTCCTCTATTTGGAAGGATGCCCTTCTCTTCTATTTTTCAGAATAGTTTGAGTGGGATTAATATTAGTTCTTTAAATGTTTGGTTAGAATTCAACAGTGAAGCTATCATTTCCCAGACTTTTCTTTACTGGGAGACTTTTATTACAACTTCAGTCTTGTAACTTGTTATTAGTCTGTTCAGGTTTTGGATTTCTTCCTGGTTCAATCTTGGTAGTTTTATGTGTGTAGCAATTCATAAATTTCTTCTAGATTTCCCAACTAATTTGCATGTAGTTGCCCACAGTAGCTGATAATGATCCTTTGAACTTTTGCAGTATCAGATGTAATGTCTCCTTTTTTATTTCTGTTTTGCTTTATTTGGATCTTCTCTCTTAGTCTGGCTAAAGATTTGTCAATTTTCGTTAGCTTTCCAAAAAATAAACTTTTCATTTCTTTGATCTTTTGTATTTTTTTATTTCAATTTTATGTATTTCTGCTCTGATCTTTATTATTTCTTTTCTTCTGTTAATTTTGGATTTGGTGTGCTCTTGATACTTCAGTCCTTTAAGATGCAGCATTTGATTGTCTATTTGATATTTTTCCTCTTTTTTGATATTGGCACTTATAAACATCCCTCTTAGTACAACTTTTCTTGTATCCCTTAGATTTTGGTATGTTGTGTTCCTATTATTATTTGTTTCAAGAAATTTTTCAATTTCCTTCTTAATTTCTTCATTGACCCACTTGTCATTCAGGAGCGTATTGTTTGATTTCCATGTATCTGTATAGTTTCTGAAACTTCTCTTGGTAGTTCTAGTTTTATTCCATTGTTGTCAGAGAAGATGCTTTATATTATTTCATTTTTTTGGAATATTTCAAGATTTGTTTTGTGACCTAACATATGGTCTGTCTTTTCAACTGATCCATGTGCTAAGGAAAATAATGTGTATTCTGCAGCTTCTGGATGAAATGTTCTGTAAATATCTATTAGCTCAATTTGGTCTGTAGTGAAGATTAATTCTGATGTTTCTTTGTTTTCTTTCTGGAAGATGTGTCCAATGCTGAAAGTGAGGTTTTGAAGTCTGCAGATATTATGGAGCCTATAGCTGTCTTTAGCTGTAGTAATATTTCCTTTATATATCTGGGTGCTCCAGTGATGGGTGAATATATATTGAAATTATTATATCATCTTGCTTAACTGACCCCCTTATCTTTATATAGTGACCTTCTTTGTCTCTTTTTATAGTTAGTTTTTGTCTTGAAATTTCTTTTGTCTGATATAAGTGTAGTGACTTTTGCTCTTTTTTTGTTTTTCTTTGGCATGGGATATCTTTTTCCATCTGTTTGTTTTCAGTCTTTGTGTGTCTCTATAGGTGAAGTGTGTTTCTTTTAGGCAACAGATCAATTGGTCTTGTCTTTTCATCCTTTTAGTCTGTGTCTTTTGAGTGGAGAGTTTAGTGTATTTACATTCACTGTTATTATTAAGTAAGGATCTACTCTTGCCATTTTGTTTTTGGTTTTCTGGTTGTTTTGTGGTCTTCTTTCTTGCATTCTTGTCTTCCTCTAGTGAAGATGATTTTCTCTGGTGATTTAGTTTCTTGATTTTTATTTTTTTGTGTGTCCATTGTATGTTTTTTGGTTTGAGGTTACCATGAGCCTTGCAAATGCTATCTTATCACTCATTATTTTAACCTGATAACATGACACTATTTGCATAAGCAAACAAACAAGCAAAAAGAAAACTAGTAGAAACTTGCCTTAACTTCATTTCCTTGCTTTTTAACTTTTTGTCGTTTCTGTTTATATCTTCTACTGCCTATGTCTTGAAAAGTTGTTGTAGTTATTATTGTTGTTTAATTCATCATTTAGTCTTTCTACCTAGGATAAGAGTAGTTTGCAAACCACAGTAACAGTGTTTATAATATTCTGTATTTTTCTGTGTACTTATATTACCAGTAAGTTTTGTATTTTCAGGTGATCATTTATTGCTCATTAATGCCCTTTTCTTTCTGATTGGAGTACCCCCTTTAGCATTTCTTGTAGGACAGGTCTGCTGTTGTTGAAATCCCTTAGCTTTTATTTGTTTGGGAAAGTCTTTATTTCCTCTTCATGGTCAAATGATATTTTCACTGGATATGTTATTCTAGGGTAAAAGTTTTTTTCCCTCAGCAATGTAAATATGTCATGCCACTGTCTCCTGGCATATAAGGTTTTCACTGAAAAGTCTGCTGCCAGATGTATTGGGGCTCCTTTGTATGTTATTGTTTCTTTTCTCTTGCAGCTTTTAGGATTCTTATTTTATTCTTGACCTTTGGGCGTTTGATTATTAAATGTCTTGAGGTAGACTTCTTTGGGTTAAATCTGCTTGGTATTCTATAACTTTCTTGTATTTGGATATTTTCTCTAGATTTGGGTAGTTCTCTGTTATTTGAAGGTTTACTCAAAATAAACTTTCTCACCCTGTTCTCTACCTCTTTTTCAAGGCCAATACCTCTTAGATTTGCCCTTTTGAGGCTATTCCCTAGATCATGTAAGCATGTGTCATTGGTTTTTATTCTTTTTTCTCCTCTGTGTGTTTTCAAATAGCCTTTCTTCAGAAGCTCATTAATTCTTTCCTCTGCTTGATCCAATTTGCTCTTGAAGGACTTGATGAATTCTTAAGTATGCCAATTGCATTTTTGAGCTCCAGCATTTCTGCTCGATTTTTTAAAATTATTTCAATATCTTTGTTAAATTTATCTGATAGAATTCTGAATCCCTTCTCTGTGTTATCTTGAATTTCTTTGAGTTTCCTCAACGCAGCTATTTTGAATTCTCCATGTGAAAGGTCACATATCTTTGTTTCTCGAGGATTGATTCTTGGTGCCTTATTTAGTTCGTTTGGTGAGGTCATGTTTTTCTGGATGGTGTTAATGCTAGTAGATGTTCCTCGGGGCCCGAGCATTGAAGAGTTAGGTATTTATTGTACTCTTCATTGCCTGAGCTTATTTGTAGCCATCCTTCTTGGGAAGGCTTTCCAGTGACACTGGTTCTTGCAGACTTGTAGAGGTACTGCCTTGATGGCCTTGGATAAGATCTGGGGTGATTCTCTGGATTACCAGGCAGAGTCTCTTTTTCTCTTCCCTTACTTTCTCCCAAGAACACAGAGTCTCTCTCTCTCTCTGTTCTGAGACACCTAAAGCTGGGGCTGGTATGATGTATGATACAAGCACCCCTATGACCACCACCACCACCACTTCAGGTACTGGGTCACACCTGAAGCAAGCACAGTGCTGGGTCTTGCCCAAGGCCTGCCTTAATCACTCCTTGGCTATAGCCTATATTCACTCAAGGCCCTGGGGCTCTACAATTGGCAGGTAGAAAAGTCGGCTGGGCCTGTGTCCTTCTCTTCAGGGTGGCAAAGTCCCCCTGGCCACCAGTGGGTCCACAGATGCCATAGAGGAGTCAGGGACTAGAGTCAAAAAACTTAGAAATCTACTTGGCATTCTGTTGTACTGTGGCTGAGCTGGCACTCAAACCACAAGACACAATCCTTCCCACTCTTTCCACTTTTTCCCCTTTCCAAAAGCTGAGGAGCCTTACCCCGTAGCCACCGCCACACCTGGCCATGAGGAGTACTGCCAAAGTACCACCGATGTTCCCTTAAGGACCAAAGGCTCTTATATCAGCTTGTGGTGAATGCTGCCTGGCCTGGGACTCACCCGTCAGGGCAGTGGGCTCCCCTTTGGCCAAGGGCAGGTCTAGAAATGCTGTCCAAGAGTCAAGTCCTAGAATTGGGAACCCAAAAGCCCACTTGGTGCTCTACCCCACAGTGGTGGTGTTGGTACCTAAGATGCAAAACAAAGTCCCCTTTACTCTTCCTTCTGTTTTTATCAAGTGGAAGGAGTTTTGCCCCATAGCCACCACAGCTGGTAATGTGCATAGTCTCACCTGAAGCCAACAAGTCTCAGAAGCTCACCAAGGTCCTCAACGTAGTACCCGGGTATCACTGCTGGTTATTCAGGACCCAAGGGCTCTTCAGTTAGCAGATGATGAATGCTGCCAGGACTGGGTCCTTTCCTTCAAGGCAGTGGGTTTCCTTCTGGCTCAGGGTGTATCTAGAAATGTCATCCCAGAGCTAGAGCCTGGAACAAGGGCCTCATGACCTCAAGGTGCCCTGTCCTTCTGTGGCAGAGCTGATAAGCAAGATGCAAGACAAACTCCTCCCAACTCTTCCCTCTCCTCTTCTCAAGTGGAAGGAAGGGGTTTCTTTTGGATCCACAAGCTGTGCAGTCTCAGGTTAGGGGAGAGGTGATGCCAACATTCCCTTAGCTGCCCCAGCTGGTATCTCAGTATGTCCCATGCCACTTCAGTCCATTGTCTTTGGGCCTAGTTCAGCACTAGGACTCACCTATGAGGTGCAGTCCTTATGGCCTAGACTACCTTTCCAATTTACTTAGACAACAAGAGCACTGTGGCCTTTGGTACTGAGGTTTGCGGGCAGTCAGGTTTGGACTGCTGGTATCAGTGATTGCCCTCTGGCTAAGGCTGGTTGACATGCCTTCTTTTGTGTGGACTTCAGCTTAGTTTGGTCAGGTTTTCCTTTTTGCTGCAACAAAATGGCACTGAGTTCAGTGCCTCACAATTGCTCTGTTCTCCCTTCACCAGCACCCAGAGGTGCTCTTGGCACCAAGCCACACTGCTGGGGTCAGGGAGGGGTGGCATCGGAGACTCGGAACTGTTTTTCTGTCTTTTCAGTGTCTCTTTCAGTGATACGAGGTTAAAACGAGGTACTGTGAGTGCTCACCTGATTTTTAGCTCTTAGGAAGATGCTTTTTCCTGTGTAGTTGTTTGTTAACTTAGTATCCTTGTGGTAGGGGTAGGAGGATGATCTGTGGAGTTTTCTGTTCTGCCGTCTTGTCTCACCTCCCTCCTAAAAAAATATTCTTAAATGAGATTGTAATGTTTATATGAACTTGCACGAAGACAGACGTCTTGTGCTTGGATCCTGGGTCTCTTACCGGTTTTGTAACATTCTTCAACATACTTATAACTCTGTGCCTATGATGCCTTCTCTGTAAAATGAAGATAAGAATAGTGTCATAATGGATGTAAAACCTTTAAAACAGGACTAAACGCCATGTAAGGTTAGGTGGTGGTATTGTTACTATTTATCTTATTTATATCATATTCTGTGGTGACCTGTCCGTATTTGCGAATACCTTTCAGTGATAGGAAATTAATTCTACTTCTTGATCCTAATTCTACTCCCTGTCTGTTCCTAATCTTGTTTTCCTTTGCTTCCTCTTTTCTCATCTACTCATATTTTATGCCTTCCTTCATGCTTTACATAACTTGTAGCCACCTTCAGTGTTTTTTTGGAATAAAGTAGTGTATGCATACATACATATAAATCTTTGTTCCTAGAATTTAGCACTGTTAGTGCATGGTCTTTATCTTGGATGTTCATATATTCTAGTTCCCAGAACAGTAACTTCTAGACCTTAATAAATTATTTATTGAATGAACAAAGGAATTAATTACTTTGAATTTGTGAGGTGTTGTATATGATTATTATTTTATTCCTAAATCTTATCATTCTTTAGACCAAAAGGATATCCAGTTTGACAGTGTTCTTTTTTAAGAATGATGCTTATAACTGAATATAATAGTTCTTATGGGATTCGATCAACAGAGAGTAACAGAGTATTATTATGTTATTTTATTCTGTGTGTATTTGTCTATTACTGTACTTAAAATACCAAACGGGAGGGGCAGTATGACTTTGGACTCATTTGCCATAATATTGAAGTCAAATGTGTTGCTGTTAAATCAGCTTTCTTTACCCAATTCACATTTGTGCTTAAAAAAAAAAGCATTACAAGACCTTGCATATTTCTGTTCAACTTATTTTTAACATTCATTTCATTATTACAACATTTATTGTAAGTTGTATCAGTTTCATGTTTCTTCATCTTCTATATATGGAGATTATGCCCCAGTTACATCTCTTTATCTGTAAGACTAGTAATATCAAAAAGGAAAATGAATTTCATGTCTTAAAATTTATCCTTAGTAAATTCTATATTTTCTGTTGATTATCACTTTTAAAGGCCAAACCCTCTTTTTAGGAATTTTTCCTGAATCCCATCCAGGAATCACATGCTGTAGTTTGCTCTGATTTACTAGATTTGAAATCACCCTTTCCCATTTATGTGAAAATTAGATTTCTGTTTGTAGGGAAAAGAAAGAGAGCTCAGACTGTTACTGTGTCTATGTAGAAAGAGAAGACATAAGAAATTCCATTTTGACCTGTACCTTGAACAATTGCTTCACTGAGATGCTGTTAATTTGTAACTTTGCCCCAGCCACTTTGCCCCAACATTGAGCTCACAAAAACATGTGTTGTATGGAATCAAGGTTTAAGAGATCTAGGGCTGTGCAGGACGTGCCTTGTTAACAAAATGTTTATAAGCAGTATGCTTGGTAAAAGTCATCGCCATTCTCTAGTCTCGATAAACCAGGGGCACAGTGCACTGTGTGGAAAGCCACAGGGACCTCTGCCCTGGAAAGCCAGGTATTGTCCAAGGTTTCTCCCCATGTGATAGTCTGAAATATGGCCTCATGGGATGAGAAAGACTTGACCGTCCCCCAGCCTGACACCCGTGTAGGGTCTGTGCTGAGTTGGATTAGTAAAAGAGGAAAGCCTCTTGCAGTTGAGATAGAGGAAGGCCACTGTCTCCTGCCTGTCCCTGGGAACTGAATGTCTCGGTATAAAACCCGATTGTACATTTGTTCAGTTCTGAGAAAGGAGAAAAACTGCCCTATGGCGGGAGGCGAGACATGTTGGCAGCAATGCTGCCTTGTTATTCTTTACTGCACTGAGATATTTGGGCAGAGAGAAACATAATCTGGCCTACGTGCACATCCAGGCATAGTACCTCCCCTTGAACTTAATTATGACATAGATTCTTCTGCTCACATGTTTTTTTGCTGACCTTCTCCTTATTATCACCCTGCTCTCTTACCGCATTCCTCTTGCTGAGATAATGAAAATAATAATCAATAAAAACTGAGGGAACTCAGAGACTGGTGCCGGTGCAGATCCTTGGTATGCTGAGTGCTGGTCTCCTGGGCCCACTGTTGTTTCTCTATGCTTTGTCTCTGTGTCTTATTTCTTTTCTCAGTCTCTCATCCCACCCGATGAGATATCCCACAGGTGTGGAGCGGCAGGCCACGCCTTCAGTGTTCGCTAGTTTCAATGCTTACAATGCCTGTCATTTATCTGTAGCTCTTATACTTTTTATAAAAAGTAATTTTACACCAAAAGCCTTGAAACTTTTTTAGAGTAGTAGATTTGAACTCTTGTTATTATTTTATTCTACTGTTATCAGTAACCTCCCATGTTAACACTATTGTTTCTTTCTGTTTACTTTCAGCTGGTTGGTGGAGAATTTGAACTGGAGATGAACTCTATTATCCAGGATGCTGAGAGTATAATACGCATGACAGAGCTTTTAGAGCACTGTGATGTAACATGTCAAGCAGAAATAGGGAGCATGTTTACAGCCATTCTATGAAAAAGTGTTTGGAATGTACAGACTAGCACAGAAGTTGGGCTAATTAAACAAGTATTGCTGAAAATGAGTGCTGTAGATGACATGAGAGCAGGTATGGGGTTGATTGTTAGGGAAGTATAACTTAAAAGTTTATAAAGTTTCACATACTTCTCTTTATATTCTATAGGTAATGTAGATTTGTTGACACTACTTTGATTTAAAATAAATGGAAATGTATGGAAATTTTACTTTTTATATTAATGGAAAACCTGAAGAGTGAAAGAAGAAAAATATACTTACTATAGTAGACAAATATAATTACTAATGTTGTTTTCTAAATTTTAGAAAATCTCAGTACCACGGAGTGCTATGAAATCTATCAGAAAAATAAACAGTATCTTTTTATGTAGTATTTCATTAAGCTTTTACATAATTAAAATGCCACAATAGGTATTACAGTTCTGTATAATGAGCATTTTATCAAATTCCCCTAGTTCTGTGCCCCTCAATCTGGCATATATGCAACTATGACAGGAGGTACTAAAAGCCTTAGATAAGCATGGTGTATCTTTTTTTTTTCCCACGTATATTTTTTGTTTTTTTTTTTTTTTTTTTTTTTTTTTTCTGTTATATGTCCTGGTTCTTCCATAACTGATAAACTTGATTTATACCGAGGAGGTGGGAAAGTGGGCGGGGCAGGGTGGACTGACCCGGGATGGGGAAGCTCCTCTCGCTGCCCCCTCGGGGCGGGCCTAGGCCCTTTGGAGGATGGGGACGCCAGGACACTCCTCCCTGAGGTTGTCTGGCCGCCTCTGCCCCTAGTGCTCAGAATCCTGCGTGCCCCTCAATTCCGGAATCCCTCCTGGGACCCCATGCCCACTGGGCACACTGCCCCTGGTACTCAGAATCCCGAAGCACCATTCGGTTCCAGAATCCCCTCCTCAGCTGCTGGGGTGGCGGGGTCCCTCCTTTCCGATGTCCCCCCCAACCCCTGAGGGGGGAGGGAAGGGAGGGGGGTCAGGTCTCCCCTCTGTGGCAGGGGGAGGTGGAGGTGGAGGTGGAATCGGAAGGGCGTGGAAGGCGGGGGCCAGGAGGGCTCAGCCGATGGTGAGTCCAGAGCCACACTGGAACTTGTTCTTGCGGTGATTCAGGAAGGCCCCAAGGGCCAGCGTCAGGGGCAGGAGCTGGAGCTTCTTCTCCAGCGTGGCACCCACGATCCAGTTGCTATCCACAGAGCCTTTGAAGAGGAGGTTGGCCTTGGGCAGGTCCAGCTGGTACCTGAAGGAGACGCTGGTATCCTGCATCCTTGTGCTGGCCTGAAAATCCACACCCACCTGCAACTGGTCACTGGCTTTGTGGTAGTATGTTGCGTGCATGCCCGCCTGGCTCAACGTTACCGTTGCCAACCAGTTGTTCAATGTGTATTTCCCAGCTAGAGACGTGACAGTGCCCTCGTCCCCAGGCCGCCGGTTGTAGACCAGCTCTCCGCCCAGGGCCAGGCAAGGCCTGATGCTCTGGAGGTAGTGGGCTTCGAGAATTCTTGAACCCACGAGGACGTCTGGGATCCCCAGGGTGACGGCTGCTGTGAGTCAGAGCCCCGATACTCCCCGTCCACCTGCCAGTTCACAAACTTCGACTGCTGGGTCTGGATGGCCATCTTGGACCTGAGACCGGGGCCCAGCTGGTGAATGACCTGAGCGTGGAGACTGCCGCTGTTGTCCATGTCACCTACCAGTACAGGGAACGCCTCTGTGGGACTCAGCTGCTTTGTCCCCACATACGTGACCCCGAAGTGGTAGTTGGACTCCCCGATTGCGCTGAGGGCTACTGTGTGGTTCACCTGGAAACGGTTACTCAACCCTTTGTTGACTGTGAGCTTGACACCCTCCATCTGAATGGGAAACAGCTCCTTACACCTCCGGTGGCACTCCTGGAATGTGCCCGGGTTGGGCAGGCAGCCGCAGGCCCCATCCTCGGCGGCCCCTGAGGCGCTGGCGGTTGCAGCCCCGGGGGTCCGTTCCGAACCTCGACTCCTAGTGGTGCCGGCGCCCAGGCCGCCTCTCAGCGGCGGCAGCGTGAAGCCCGGCGGCGAGGGCGGAGGTGGCGGCCCTGCGGGCGGCGAGCTGGCGGCCAACATGTTCCCCATGGTCGCTGGCGGTGGCGCCTGCTCCCGGCCTGGTCTCCGCTCCCACCCGGTGCGCCACGCGCAACCGAACTCGCTGCCGCCGCCGCCACCCCCGTCGCCAGCATGGTGTATCTTTTGGACATGTCCATTTTGGAAGAAACTTTTGTGTTAAAATAAACTAATATATTATGGGCTAGAACATAAAATTCACCAAGAATTTCAAGATAAAAATACTAATGTTTTGCTTGTTTGGGTTATTTCAAACAATAACTTTGAAATCTATAATTTTTTCACCACCGACCCTCTACCTCCTTGCATGCTCATTCTCCTGTGTGGCTAGATGCATTTCGGAAAAGTGTTTTGAATATTATTTCAGAGCAAGTATCATTCCAGAAAATAAGTTTAAAGTTTGAAATGTTTATTTTTTGTAACCCATGAATCTTCAGCTTAAGTATCTTCTGACATAAAAGCATTTTCATAATTATAAAAGTGCTGATATTACTCTCCACAGTATTATATCTGATCCTGCAAAGTAGTTCAGATACCAGAGAATACTCTTAAACATTTTGACTCACGCAATTAATTATGTTTAAAATTTATGTAACAAGACATTAAATGAGAAAGAATGGAATGAAAAATGGGTTAAAAGAATGCAAAATCGCAAAAAGAATGCTTTGAATTTAAATATTTCCAAAAATTTGATTTTCTGAGAAAATATATTAAAAATCATACGTAATTACCTTCAGGGTGGCAAGTATCTTTTTTTATAATGACTTAGCACCCCTGTATTGGGGACCGATGGCTAACTTGGTGAAAAATGAGATTCACACATCTGTTTCTTAAAATACCTTTTTAATACAGATATATTAATAGTAGCATTTCTATAAATTCTAGAGTTACTTAATAGGAATTTATTAATATAGACTTATGTGTACACATGTTTTATAGAACATCATATGATCCTTCAATTCTTATATCTGAGTTTAAGCTCTTAATTTTTTTTTTTTTTTGTAAATTGCCTGCTACTCTATGGAGTGCAGTTTAGAGAATGAGCCAAAATTACATGCATAGTAGTTTACTAGTACATAATTCATCAACACTGAAATGTAAAAGTGACAGTGAGGGTGATCGTACCATAGAAGTTCATATTTTGACATTGCCATTATATAAAGCTTCTTCATTCTCCTATCTTTTTCTCAGTAATAATATTAATAACACAAAATTTTTCACTTTTTGTAATTTCTAGTATTTCCTTTCAAAAGAGCTTGATGATGGAAGGATATGAGAAAAGAGAATAAATGTCAGAAAAATACCTCTGTCTTGCTTTTTAACAGAGAAATTAAACTTTAAATATTATACTAAGGAAGAACCAGTAGCCACCAAAACACTTCTAACTGTTCACATCTGAATGTATTGTAGTATGTTAAGTTCAATGGGGTACTTTTTGTTTAATAATGTAGTAAAAGTGTCACTAGAAGGTGGCTAAATTAAACATTTATAGCAAATTGATAAGAAAAGCTATCTTGTTTGATAATAAAATGCTAGTTATATTGTATGATAATAAAACTGCCTGAAATAGTTGCTTACACACTAAAATCTGAAAGGTTAGTATAGGGTTTAACTCATTTGAAATAGTGTGTATGTGTGCATGCATGTGTATGTGTGTGTATGTGTACTTTTTTTCATGGCAAGCACTTAGAATTCTTTGACTACTTTGAAATTATTTATTGGCCACCTACAGAGTATTTTCTATATCTTCAGCCATTATGTTTGGAGTAGATTACATTCCTTATTCTTGAAGAACTCTGATGGCTAGACATGCAAATACAGCTTGTTTTATAACTGATACTGTAGATTTAGGTACTCAAAACTATGGGGACACAATTGAAAAGAGAAACCAAGCTAAGTTGAAGTCCAGAAAAGCTTCACAGATGAGGAACATATTAGTCTGCTATTAAAGAATAATCGAGATTTTGTCGGAAGGAAGAATGATTTGGATAGAAGCAACGTGATGTATAGGAAGAGGAACTGTAAAAGAACAAGTGCAACAGCTGGTATATTTAGATGTACTTTGGAATGTGGGGTTGGGTACTAGAGGAGGATAAAATCGAAAGGGTTTGTTGGAGCCATAGCATGTGGGAAGTCTTGTATAACCTGAAGAAATTACAATTTTATTCTGAATGCAGAAGATTTTTGACATGGAAGGTCCATGTTGTATTTGAGAAAGGCCATTATCAGCAACGTGAAGGATCTTTTTGGGGAACAGATTAATTTTAAAGTCATAATGGGTAATTATCTTTTATGTAGAATTTGAATAAAGTCTAGGAAAATAAATAAATCCATTCGGATGTTTCTTGAAGTCAGGTGAAATAATCAGCTACTTTCTCACTTATTCCTTAGAATGGCTACATTTTATTTGATTGCTATTTTCAAAGGAGTCCTACATTATTCCTTTTCTGCTTATGAATGGACCTAAATCCTTTTTGGTTATAAATATCAGTGGTTATGTTTCTGAGTAATAAATGTCATGCTTTGCCTTTCTTGGTTTCAATGTTGTTAACATTATGAACATTATCTCTTAATGCTTGCATTTCTTCAATATTGATTCCATTAACATTCTCTAGCTCAGTCATTTTTGGCTTTAAGGATTCAATCTCCTTTAACCAAATGGATTGCTACTGAAAACCACTAGAATGAGTTGATCAACTTAACAATGTGTTGATCTGTAAGGATTGAAACCTCTGTAATTTTAGTATGCCAGTAATGCACAGTACAGCATACTTACCTATAAGAACATCAAACATTCATTGATTGCCATTCTATATGTTAGGCATTGTAAGTGTTTATATATATGTACTCATTTACTACTTGCAATACACTGAAATAAGACTGCCTGTGTTCAAGTTCTGGCTTCACCACCTACTATTCACCTTGTACTTTTGGTGTCTTCAACTATAAAATGAGGATAGGAATAGTGCCTATCCCATAGGATTTAATGAGAGAATCATATTTAAAGCCCTTTTGTAATGGCTGGGTCAGAAATGTGAGCACAGAAATATGTGCGCTATTACTATCTTTTAAGCTCTATTATAAAATACTATATATGGATAACATGAGAGCGAGTTTTAAATAAGCATCTGAACTTCCAAACATAAATGGGGTTGAACTTCAAAGTGGTCATTTTGGGAGATTATATATTAATTTCAGTGGTACCTTCATTTTTCAATGATTACACATTTTTCTACTTCATGATTAAATTTACAGCTAAGGGAATGCTTCTGTAGAAGAAAACAACCATATTTCATAGTTACATCTTTTTAATTTTTTAAACTAAAAATGTACTGCTTTGCTCGATCAACTGCAGTATTTATCAAACTTGACTATGACCAAGTTTTTTTTTTCCTTTTTCTTTTTAATTTGTATGCTATTTTCAAAGGTATACCAGAATTAGAGAGCAGGTTGTTATTTAAAATGTGAACTTTGTATAAATGTGTTCTGTATTTGCTGATTGCAAATGGTCCTTAAAGGTAGATAAAGTCTACTTGGTGGTAGGGTTTTGTTGGCAGTTAATTTGTTTTTATGTATTTCTGAGATTTTAGATTGAAATACTAAAAGCTTCCATAGTCTTTTATTTCCTAGTTTAAATTTCTTATATTTACTTATAACTCAACCTTTTATATTTTTGTTTAGTTTTTATTTGACACATATTAAACTCCTTCTACCATACAGGGAAATAAGTTTTATTTTTATAGGAATGTTTAATAGCCATTAGGTGTTTAGTTCTTTTTATCAGAGGATATTATACTATTCTCAGTTGTCTTTACAGTTTTCATGCTAGCAAAGGAGTTGGTTACTCTGCTCATTTTGTTGGCAACTGTTTTATAGTCACATCATCGAAGTCCAAAGGAAAATGTTTTCAGCATTGTGTGAAATATGATTTTCAACCACGTAAGGTAGGTAAAAGTAAATATTTTTATAACTCACTTGTTATGACAGAATTCTTAACTATCCTTTTATGACCTCTGTAGCATTCTCTTTCACTGGATTTCCTATGCTTTTAATGGTTTTCTCTTATCCTTGTTTGCATTTTCTTTTTACTTTTATGTCTAATTTTTGTCTTCTGTAAGGTCAGTGCTTTGATCTCTTGCGTGTATTTCTCTTACATTCTCTCATTATCTCAGTCTCATCTGTTCTATGGCATTCTTTCAATAGATACTTATTATTTACTGAGTATTGGACACCATTGTAGGCACTAGGGAGTTATAAATCTTTGCCTCTTTTTTAAAAAAGTTAAATGTTAAACCCCCAGATTAAGCAATGCACAGATAGTTTTCTTGGGGAGATTCACCTAATCCTAGTAGTTCTGAATCTTGTTTCCTAAGAGTGGAGGTTTTGTTAATTTCTGATGCTTTAATAATGCTGGCTTCAAGGAGTTGAATGTTGCTGTACTGTTAGTTTTGGCTCATAAAATATGTCTTTACTTAATATCCCAAATAATAGCAAAAACAAGGTCAAAACACATTTTAAAAACTGCTGTAAAGAGAAAATGCAGAGAAATGTGCAACTGTATAATTAGAATTATAAGAGATAATTCATTCATAATCGGGTGGCATTTTCTAGAGAGATTTTCCTGCCTGTGTACCGGACTCCATCTTTGTGTCAGAGTAACAAACCATCTGAAAGTCCAGATGAAAGAAAACAAGGACAGAGTGCATAGCAGTTCCCATCTCACATGTTTAAGGCTTTTTTGCCCTTCCAGGTTCAGGGTTCTTTCTTGGGTATATGACAGTGAGATTGTCAACGTTTTATAGGGCACACTGCCTCCTCCTAACAGAAATATCGCCTTACCCTTTGTGATTAATGGTACAATCATAATAGATATGATGAATCCAAACGTGGTGAGGGGGAGGTCTTTATATCTTTTTCATATCTTTTTTGTTTGTTTTCTTGTAGCTTATGATCTGATGTGTGTCTTGTCATATACAGAAAAAAAAATATTTTGGGTGGTATTTTCAAAAATTTGTTTAGATTTTATATGATTCTAATGAAAATATTTGTTTTATATTTAATGTCAGTAATTGTGGTTTCTATTAAAGAATATCAATTTAACAATAATTCATCAATATATACTTAGAAAATAGTTTAAAAAGCAATGATCTGAATAAATATATTCGTTCGTTATAATGGTGTATTCTTTCTTTTTTAATACAAATTGATTACTTTAATACCAATCACATTGCCTTTGCTCTGGACATTCTGTTTTATTAAAACTAAGATAAGACCAAGATTGTTTGCTAAAATTGCCAAATTATTTTGAATTTCAGTGGAATTGATTAGAAGTACAGATTGTTGGTATTATAATTTTTCATGTTAGGATTGTGTGTTTTTAATGAATATTCTAGGTAACTTTCTCATCAGACAGTTTTAGGAAACAGTGGTTTAAAGAATATACATGCAAACAATTAGAGTGAAGTTATAACCAAATGAAATTGTCATTAGCCAATAAAAAGCACTTTAACCCATTTGTTCTCACGTTTTCTATTTTGTGTTTTCTTCACTGTTTACTTGTGGAAAACACATTCTCCTTTGTAAAGCTCTCAATATGCAATGATACTAAGGGTCTAGTTAGGAGCAGGGCCAGAGAATGATGTGGATTTTAAAAAGTCTTCTGTGAAGATTCTCAAAAACCTTGAAAAGTCATAAGTATTTGCTTTTATTGTGTTTCATTATTCACAATAAATTTATTCTCTTATTTCTTCCTTTCTTTAATTTCCCACAGATGCCCTAGCTAAGTTGTTGTTATCCTTCCTAATAAGAGATTTACTGGCCTTTCAAAAAGAAATCTTTACATTAAAACTTTTGCTTTCCCAGCTGCACCGCTTACCAGCTGTTAGAACTTGTGAAAATGGGTATAAACCATTAGCATGTTACCTAATGGTAATATGTGCTCTAGACATATTAGCTATTATTGATATCATCTGTACTTTTTTGTCTTCAATTTATTTCCATATCTTCAACTTGTAATATATATCTTGTGGATTCTTAATATGGATCTTTTTTTCCCCTTATTCCTGGTTGTGTCCTTCTTCTATAAATTTCTTTTTGAGTCTCAAACTAAATGCAGACTTCACTATATATACATAATATCAGTATGCACAGCTAGTTTCCAAGTTTATTTTTATTTTCTTTAGTCGACATATATAAGGTCAAAAGTTAGGCTTTTTTTAACCATTGAAAAACTCACTTGTGTCTGTTATCTGTAGAGTACAGTTTGATGTACCAAGGAAAGAGAAAAGTTACTTTTCTTATAAATAAGTACTCTGGTCTTAACTGAGATCAGTTCATTAATTCATCAGTGCATTCATTTATTTATTCATTTAATTTTATCATATATCATTGTTACAACCAAAAGCAAACCTTGATAAACTCCAAATCTGATTAATTTTTCTGTATTAATGATCTTAAGTTAATGGTACCCTTACCCCTCTAAGTGAAAATTGGAAGCCATCTTAGACTCCCCTGTTGTATGTTAACACTTCCTATCAGTTCTGTTAGTTAATTCCCATCCTCATTTTAAAATTACTAATGACTTTGTCTTAGTTCAGCGGCTTATGGTGTCTTACCTCAACCTTTGCAGTGGTTTTTCAGTTTTATCTTTGTCCACACTTGCCTACCTATCTCACCTCCACATTGCTGCCAGGTATTTTCCTTCACTATGAAGCTGATCGTTTAACTTTCCTGCTCAAAATTATTTAGTTATACCACATTATGCAAAAAACAAAGGCCAGTTTCCTAAAGGTCTGTTTATAATCTGGTCTTTGCCTGTTTTTGTTTTTGTTTTTGTTTTTCCTTCTAAACCTACACACTGAAGAAAGTTTTATCAAGCATCTGTGCTGTATCATATTAAGATTCCACCTGGAATGTTTTTTTTACCCCTGTCTACTGAACAATTCCTTTTCATCCTTCAAGCATAGTCTTATGGTTCATTTTATGCTTTTAGTGAATACTTCTATGATAGTCTTTCTTCTCTATTTGTCTTTCCTTCCCTGTTACTTATAGTAATTACTTTTATTACTCTCAAATCTGTATTTTAGATATTCTCGATTGTTCTCATAACTGTTTCTCTAGTGAAACTTCCTTGAGTGTGCGTATGTTGTCTGTCTTTATATATCCATGATCCAAGGTTGGGACAGGGTACTTGGCATAAAGTAGGCTCTTAGTACATTTTTTGAATGAATGAATGACTCTGAAAGGTAAATAATAATCAACTTTAGCATAAATGAACCTCATCATGAGGACATAGTAGATAAAATTAAAATAGTAGTTTAGTGAATGGTATGTTATGTATGGGTGCCAAATACATTGGGAACTTTTCTTCATAGTTTTCATACATTATCTGTTTATAATATTCTCAAGGAATCCACAAAGTAGGCATTATTATTCCCCTTTTTCAGAGATGAAAATAGGTTCAGAGATACTAAGTAATTTGCCAAAAGCCATAGAGCTAGTAATTTGGGAACCCAATTCATGTCTTTAGGAAGTAAAATTTATCCTGCCCAGTACATTAAGTTATCTGAAGTAGTAAGAACTCAGTAAGTATTGTTTGAATGAGTACTTTTTTAATTGTAAGTACACCAATAAGTATGATAATACATCTAGTATTTATCTTAAAATTGTCTTTGGGCAGGAAATCTTTGCCTATATATAGGTATTTATTTGTGTCTCTTCTCTTTAGAAATGTAGGAAGAGAAACGAAGTGGAATAGGGCAACTTTACTACCAGGCTGCAGTTGGACAGCGCCTGTGTTCTTTTTTTTTTTTTTTTTTTTATTATTATACTTTAAGTTTTAGGGTACATGTGCACGTTGTGCAGGTTAGCTCCATGCTAGACAAACATTTACAATTACAAGCTAAATATCTTTTAGTATGTTCAGAAGCCATTGTATTTCTTTTTCGTTGTAAATTTGCTGTTTAGGCCACCTGTTCATGTTTCTAATGAATAGCTTTCCTTTTCTTGTTGATTTATAAGAGTTCCTAATAATTAAGGCAGGTTAACTTTGTCTATTATAAAAGTGGCATATCTTTCTCTGAAAAAAAAAAAGAAATGTAAAGTTTTCTTTACATTTTACTTTACTCTACTTTATCTTTTACTCTAGAATATAAAGATTGTGTCTTCTGTGTTATTTAGATAGCATTCTGGTTGGATAGTTTCAAACTCAGTGAAGGTAATATGTGCAAACTTTAATTCTTATACATGTAAAATTCTATAAGATTTTCCTTAAATTTATTTGAAGCTCTTTTTTTATGGTTTCTTCTTGATAATTTTGTAATATTTAGAAACAATGGTTAAATGACTACTTTAAAGATTTTCTCTTCTAATTTTAATCAGGGCTAACATATATGTCAGTTTCGAATCAAGTAAAAGACTTAGTTTGCAATAAATTAACGATTACCTGGAATGAAAAACCTGAAAAAAGGGTGGGCATTTTAGACAGTTAAATGTCTGGACCTGACCTTGCTTTTATAGAAGCACACTGTTGTTTTGTATTACTGACTTTTTTGAGTTCTTTAACACACTATTTTTTTTTCTTTTTCTTTTTCCTTGTTTTTTTTTTTTTTTTTTTTTTTGAGACAGAGTCTTGCTCTGTCACCCAGGCTGGAGTGCAGTGGTGCAGTCTTGGCTCACTGCAACCTCTGCCTCCCAGGTTCAAGTGATTCTTGTGCCTCAGCCTCCCGAGTAGCTGGGATTACAGGCAGATGCCACCACGCCTGGCTAATTTTTGTATTTTTAGTAGAGACGGGATTTCACCATGTTGGCCAGGCTGGTCTCAAACTTCTGACATCAGTTGATCTGCGCACCTTGGCCTCCCAAAGTGCTGGCATTACAGGCATGAGCCACCGTGCCCAGCCTATTTTTATTTTCTAAATTGAAATGGACAAAATTGAATTTTTCTCAAAGTATTTTAGATACCTTGAAATGACTAATATTTTAGTGATTAAGGATTATTATAACTTTTTATTTCTCAAAATATATATGAAATAATTGAATAGTGCATTCAAGTAATCTGTAGAACAAAGTTTGTATTTTATATTTTGGTGGGAGGGAGAAACCAGTTAATTTTCCCCTCTTAACTTCAGAAAGCATACTTGTTCAAATGTTTATAGATCATTTGTATTTTTCTATACTTTAGAAAAAAATAGTTCTATATTCTCTATTTTAGGGTATTAACTCTCAAGAGAATAAAGGTTGTTTCAGAAATCAAACCATCCATATTAAAACAGATACTTAAAATGCTATTTGACAGCAGTAACTATAAAATGGGCACTTAATATGAACTCATTCATTGATTCTTAAGAACAAAGACTCTAGGTAAGATATAGCATGCACATATATGAGTTAGTTTTAAATGTGCAGTACACCTGGCTAGGGAAATATATAAAGGTTCTGTTTAAATCACATTGGGAATTGTGAAGTCTCAAACTACTTGGAGCTGAAAGAGAATTACACATTATACTCAAAGTGTTTATAATTCTGAAGGAGTACTTGTCTTGTATGGAAGCTTGGTTTATTTATTGAACTCAATTTAAATAATTAATGTGAAGATTGTGTTATGGAAAGGAAAAACATTTAAAAAAGTCCCTCTTTGGCCTTTGTATTTTTGCATTGGTATTTCTCTTTTTATTTTTATGTCATATATATATATACGCACACACACACACATATGTATATATATATATAGAGAGAGAGAGAGAGGAAAGTTTGAATTTACCTATATTAAAAGATCTTTTTTTCTCAGTGACTTTAATAACCATAATAATATTGAAGAATAATAATGCTATTATTTTTATGTCAAGGTAATAATACTTGCTATCATATATTTTCCATATCATTTTTGTTTTTGTCTTACTAGCTCTAGAAATGAATTTGTGCTTGTCCAGCTACTTCTTCTTTCATGGGTCTTTTTGTTGGGTTTGCATCCTGGTTCTTCCATTGTTGATCTTGCATAGGAATATTTTTGTAATTCACATTTTTTATTAATATGCTGCCTGCTTTTCTTTCCTACTTCTTTGAGTTGTTTCATAAAATACTTGTAGTGTCTTTTTAAGCTCTAGTAGAATGATATTAAATACAGTGACAAGCAAACAAATGAAATATAAAAAGGTAGAATATCAAGAAAATACAAATCCAATATGATTGCTAATGTGAAATTTCAGAATTGATGGGAGCTTCCTGGCAACATCAAGGAAAAAGGCTGAATATAAGCAATTTTGTAATTCTATTCACAAAGAAGCAAACTGTGTCCTGAACAGTTTTGCAAACTCTGTAGTTGGTAGTATTCTTTTCACACGTCTTTCTTGTCATTCTTTTTAACAACAGTCATCTTGTCATTCTTTTTAACCCGGTCATCATGTGTGCACAGCTCATGTGACATAGTATAGTATCCTTAGTATCCTAACACACAGTAGAGTACCTAAAGTCAGAACTTTTAAGAGAGATACCTGTAAATTTGGGCATTACATCAGATAGTATTTTATTACGTTTTGAAAGTTCTCAGCTTACTGCACCCTTGTTGTAAGTGGGGATGGATGATAAATCCACAGGTACATGCATTTTCTCAATTTGTAAATATTGTAAGTACAATTGCACCATGACAGGCATCAGCAAATTTTTTTTATATTAAAAAGCTTTTTTTTTCTTTTTAGAAATTCAGAGAACATAGAGAAGGAGGAACGCAAATGATCAGACTGTGTTTTGACGGAAAAGCTGAGTAGTTCACACATTATAGTCACAATTATCTTGGTAAAGTCACTCTCTGTGAGAGAAGGGGTGGAGGTCTACAGTGGAATTTTTAAGGTGTAGATAATATAATAACTAATGGACATTTGGATAAATCACAAATGGAGTTTAAATTACGTAGTGTTGTATAATAACATAGTATTTATATTTATTGCCTTAAGTTATATGGAACTTTCTTTCATTGTAATGGTCAGACAAAATTTATGATTCTGAGCTTAGTGTGGATAGCATGTCAACATATGGGCTTCGAAGTTAATAAAATAAGTTAATTCTACCTTCAAATAATGTCATCAAACTAAATATTCAATAGAGTCTGTCACAAATGATTTTGACTTGTTGGTCACTGTAGTGCTAGGTAAATTTTTTTCTGTCGAATATTTGGTTTTGAGCATTGCATCTTATCAGTAAATATTCTGTACTTGGTTATTTTCTGGAAACGGTAAATAAGTTAGGGTATGACTTATTAACTAAATAAACCATTCAGTTTGGAAAATACAGAAATACAGAAAATATTTAAAATACAGAAAATCTCACTGTAGATTTGTCTAGTATAGTAAAATTTACTACCAGATAGGTTTACTGTGGATCTCTATTTGGGGTTATTTAATGTCTTCAAGATTCTGTATGAGGTGGCCCTTTGACAAAAGCTTGCAAATCAGATTTTAACAAAGTTTTTATATTTCATAATTATTACTAGACATTTTCTCATTGTTCTCTTAATCCCGTGTAGCAAGCAGTTAGTCTTCATGGCCAGATATTTGAAAATTTAGCTTTGAGTTCTCTCTTTCATTTATGAATATGATAGCATAATGGTTTTTATAATTTGCTATATCATAATAAAGTTCTAACTGATAAGAGAAAAAGTATAACACAACCTCCAAAATTAAAAATCACTTCAGAGGATTTCCAATACTTGTGTGGAGGGGTGAGCTCCTAACAAACTGATCTTCTCACAAATAACCATTTGTAAACTCTGCACATAATATAGATAACATCTATCTGAGGGTTGTGGAGATTGAATAAAAGCAGGCAAGCTTTGGAGGGGAATCAAAATATGGAACAGTCAGTCTACATGGACTGATATCCCCATTTTTTGCTTTTATAGGAAATTTTCTGGCCAGAAAGTTTCTCCATAATATTGTACAGAGTTATAGTCACACTATTTAGCATATAATCCAAAAGTACTTATTCTAAAAATGGTCAGGAAAATGTGACTTATTCTCAAGGGAAGAGAAAATCATCATATACCAACTCTAAGATAACCCACATGTTGGAAATATCACATGAGGTCTATTGTAACTAGCGAGGTAGAGAAAAGTTTACTTATAATGAATTAAAAGATAGGAAGTACCAGCCGTGAAATAAAACAAAATCAGATGGCAATTCTAGAGCTGAAAAATATATCAGAATTAAAAATAGGCTCTATGGGCTTATTAGCAGAATTAATATTATAGAGAAGTAAATGAACTTGAATATAGATTGATAGAAAATCTGAAGAGACTTATGAAAGATTGGGGTGAAAAAATAGAACCATAGAGATGTATGGGGGCAGTTTTGAAAGGTCTAATAGGCACAGTATAAGAGAAAGAGCCAGAAAAAATATTTGACTAAATGATGATAGAAAACTTCTCAGATTTGGTAAAAGGATTACGTTTATAGATTGAAGAAACTCTGAAAATTCCAACCAAAATAAACGCAAAGAGAACCAAAGTAGGCATTTACAGTCAAAGTGTGGAAAACCGAAGATAAAGAGAAAATCTTGAAAGCAGGCAGAGGAAAACTAGATACTGATAAGGGAACAATAATTTGAATTTCTGTACACATCTCATCAGAAAGCAGGGAAGCCATAGAGGTGGAACAAAATCTTTAAAGTTCTGAAAGGAAGAAAAAAATCTGTCAACCTAGAATTTTTTATCCAGTGAAAATATTCTTTAGGTCTTTTGAAAGAAAATTTTAAAAATTTGTTGTTATTTGACTCTCATTACTGACTAAAGAAGAAAACCTGGATGATTCAGTGTATATACATGTAATACGTATGATAACTCACAGAAAGATTTGGGGAGAGGCTATAAATGCACCTATGTAGTTGAAAAGTTATGTATTTTGCAATGTGTCTTGATAGAATGTTGACGACAATTCAATGGCTAAAACAAAATTATCAAAGTCAAAATTGCATGTCTTTTCTTGAATGATAGGTATGTATCTGGTATTTCATTTACCCACAGCATATGCTGTAGACCCCTCTTTCAAATTAAAGATAACAAAAGCCCAATTGAAAGGAAAACAAAATACATCAATGCTAACTAAATACAAATAATTAGCCTTCACTAATTCATCCATTCATTCTTTTATTAAACAGTTGGGCACTGTTCTAGATGCTAGGGACATAACAATCAAACAAAACCAACAAAAACCCCTTGCCTGTATTTTGGAGAAGTAGGGTTTGCAGTATCATGGGAGAAGACATAACAAAACAAAAGAAAAATATATAGTGTGTATATGGTGATAAGAGCTATGAGACACACAAAGCAGGTAAAAAAGATGGAAGTTGATGCTAGCCAAGTGGATATCTGGGGAAGAGCTTTAAGGGTAAATGCCAGAGCAAGAATGAAGGCCATTAGCAGAAGCTTACTTCACAGATTAAAGAACACTGTGACTATGTTTTCCTGTGACTGTCACAGAAGGAGCAAGGGGGAGAGTCAAAGAAGATTAATTCAGAGAACAACTATATGCTTTCAGAGGATTGTTATGACTTTATTTTTGCTCTTGAGTGAGAGCGACAGCCATTGAAAAGTTTTGGGTGTACTGGCCTGATACCAATTTGAAAGGGATCACTCTGGTTACTATGGTAAATAGGGAGAAAAGGTGGAAATAGGGAGACTAGTTAGGGGGCTGCTGCAGTTATTTAGTGAAAGAGCTCTGGAAAGTATTGAGACTTGATTAGATTTTTGATAAAGCATATCTAAAATATCTAAGACTCTCAAAGGTCAGCTTTTGGATATACTTTGGAGGTAGTGCCAGTAGGATTTTCTGTCACTGTGAACATGGGGTAAGGGAGCAAGAGAGGACTGACAGGAGCAAGTAACCCCATGAATTTCAGCCTGAACAACTGAGCTGATGGAGTTGTCATTTGCTGAGATGGGAGGACTATGAAGAAATAAGTTTTGGCAGAGAAGATCAAATATTAGGTTGTGGACATAGGTTATGGGCATAGTTGTTTGAGATGCCCAATAAACATCTAAATGGAAAAATGAAGTAAGTCTGGAGTTTAGAGGTGACATCTAGGTTGGAGATAGAAATTTGGCATTGGCAGGATATGGACAGGATTTAAAGGTAAAGGACTGGATTTACGTGCCAATGAAGTGAGTTCAGAGAAAAAGATAACTGAGAAATGAGTCCTTGGGAAAGCCACTGTTTGTAGGTTGAGGAGATGCAGAGGAAGCAGCAAAGGAGAAAGAGGAGAGCAAGGGAATAAGGAGAAAAAGCAGGAGAGTGTGGTGTTTTAACTTGACCTACTTGAAGTTAAATCTCCTTTCTTCATTGAGGATACTGTCAAATACACACAGGATAATAGATTAGAAAATCCCATAATTATACATAAAGAACAGCCTCAGAATAATAATATCAATAATGCCCAATTGTTATAATTACTGAAAATACAGTTAATTTGTTTTTGCATGCGTTCTCTTCATTCTCCCTCTTGCCATTTTTAAAATAGTTGAGGTAGGTTACAAGGTGAATTATGTTCCCCTAAAATTCATTGAAATTCTCACCCTCAGTAGCCTGAAATGTGACTGTTTTTGGAGACGGGTCTTTAAAGAGGTAATTAAGATTAAGTGAGGTCATTTTGGTTATTGGGTCCTAATCCAGTATAACTGTATCCTTATAAAGAGGAGGAAATTAGGACTCAGACACATGCAAAAGAAAGACCATGTGAAGACACAGGGAAGAAAAGGTAGTTAGGTTGTCTTCAAACCAAGGAGAGAGTCTTCAGAAGAAAACCCTGCTTACACGCATATGTTAGACTTACAGCCTCCAGAACTATGAGAAAATAAACAACTTTTATTTAAGCCATCCAGACTCCGGTACTTTGTCATAGCAGATCCAGCAAGCTCATACAAGGTCTTATCTACATTGTGAGCACACACAGTTATTACATACCATTCTCTCTTAACTCTTATTTAATCATAGTCCTATAAGTACCTGTGTGTTTAGGGCTCATATTATTTCCTTATATTGATGTGTTTTGGCTGTGTTTTAGCTCTTTCTGTAGTAGATTCCTCAGGAAGAGTTCATGGAAACAGTATTTCTTGAGAAATGCATTTTGATACTAGTTTGTAAGGTGCTTTATATTTTTTACTTGAAAGTCATTTTGCCTGGCTATAAAATCCTTGACTTTTCTTTCTCTCTTTGGATGTCTTAAATATGCTACTAATTTTTCCCTGGCATGAGGTATTAGTATTGAAAGTCTGTTGACAATGTAATATCTTCTCCATTACAAGACACTCAGTCTTGTTAGATGTTCAAAGGACTTTTTTTTCTTTTTCCTTAAATCTAATAATTTTGGTAGATATGTCTTGGTGTTGGTCGTTCTGAGTTAATTTCTCAGGTATATGGTGTGCACTTTCATATGTAGTTTGCATCTTTTCATATTTTAAGAAATTGTTCTTATACTATACTTTTAGAATTTCTTCTGTTTCCTTGCTTTGGTTTTCTTCTCCAGAGACTTGACTATGCATGTTTATTTACTTTGCTTATCTTTAATATTCCTCTTAAATCACTTATTTTATTTCACTTTCTCTTAAATCTTTATCTCCTTCTTTATTTCTCTCTCATTTTTAAATTTAAAAGTAAAATAAAAATTACAGAAAAGCTACAAGCACTATGCCAGTTTTTTTCCTGAACTATGAGAGTAACTACTGACATGATGCTCCATCATTCCTGAATGTTATGTTGCTACAAACAAGAACATTCTTTCACATAATTATTCTGTAACATAAAATCAAGAGATTAGCAATGATTTGTTACTACCATTTAATTCTCAGACCCCGTTAAAATTTTGCTATTTGTTGTATATTTTATAGTAAAAAGATCCAGTTTACTGCGTTTACATTATAATGCATCAAACAGCTTCTCAGTCTTTCCTTCATTTTCCATATGGATGC
This sequence comes from Homo sapiens, assembly GCF_000001405.40. Classification (NCBI taxonomy): domain Eukaryota; kingdom Metazoa; phylum Chordata; class Mammalia; order Primates; family Hominidae; genus Homo; species Homo sapiens. Next base: position 19,251,173 of record NC_000014.9, on the reverse strand, counting down.
CCTCTTAACCTGAGGCAGGTGTTGGCTTCTTTTCTGGTTACCTTCCATCATGGATGCCCTCTTAACCCTTCCTCAGTTCTAGCACAATACACTTAGCTAGGCTGTTGAGCTGATGCCTTCCCTATATCCTTCTGGAGCCCCGGGTTTCTTTACCTCCTGCTGGGCAGCCCTCTTATTCAGATGCTACCTTCTCTCTAGAACTCTTGACACCCCACCCTGGCTTACTCCTTTAGGCAATGTGCTCCCTGCCCTGCTGGTGTTGTGCCTTCCCTTGCCTGGTTGCTTCCCTTTGTGCGTATTTCTCATCTTCCTCAGGCTACAACAAACTGAGCCAGGCAACCCTCTGTGAGGATGCCCTTCTCTGGCTGCCCAGGCTCCAACATGTCAAGCCACACACCAAATGAATGAGTTTCAACCCCCACTCTAGGTCCAGCTGCCTCCGATGGTTTGCCCTCTCCTCCAGGCGGAAGCCTTCTCACCCTTTTCAGGCTCTGAATCTCTACACAGAGAAGCCTTTAGTGTACCTAACCTTCCTTACCTTGCACATACTCAGAAACTTTATGTCAAAGCACAACCCACTTGCCTCTTCCTTGTTGTTTCAGGTAGACGCCTTATCACTTTTTTGGAATTCTGACTTCATGAACTGGGCAGCTCTCCTACCTACCCTTCCTACCCTTCTTATGCTCTGACGTCCTGCAACAAATTGCACTATGTTGTTGGCTGTAGGTTTTTTATAGATGCTTTTTTCTTGCTAGTTAGAAGTTCCATTCTATTCCTAGTTTGTTCAATGCTTCTTATAAAAAGTGTTAGTTTCTGTCAAAGACATTTTGTGTATCTGTTGAGATAATAATATTAATATGCTAATCAGTCTAGGTACAGGCTTGTTAGTAGTGTTGACCTTTTCAAAGAACTGGCTTTTGATTTTATTGTGTTTTCACAGTTGTTTTCTTATTGTCTATTTCATTAAGTTCTTCTATAATTCTTTTTATTTTTTTCTTTCTGCTTGTTTTATGTTTAGTTTGCTTTTTTGCTTCCAGGGTCATAAGGTGGGAGGTTTAGTTGTTGATTTGAAGTCCTCTTTTTAAATACAAACATTTACACGTATAAGTTTCTAAGTGCCTTAACTGCATATATTTTGGTATTTGTGCCTTTATTCATCTCAAAATATTTTGTAATTTCCCTTTTGATTATTTCTTCTTTGACACATCAGTTATTTAGGAATGTGTTTATTTCCACATATTTGTGAATTCCTCAAATTCCCATATATTATTGGTTTCTAACATTCCAGTTTGGACAGATCATATACTTTGTATTATATCTGTCTTCATAAATTTATTGAGGTTTATTTTATGACCTGAGTTTGGTCTATCCAGGAGAATGTTTTGTGTGTACGTATTTTTTGGAAACAGGGTCTCTCCTTCTGTCACCTAAGCTGGAGTGCAGTGGTGCAGTCCTAGCACACTGGAGCCTTAGACTCCTGGGCTCAAGTGATCCTCCTGCCTCAGCCTCCTGAGTATCTGGGACTATAGGCACAAGCTACTGTGTCTGACTAATTTTTCAGTTTTTTACAGAGACAGGGTCTTGCTAGCTCAGGCTAGTTTTGAACTCCTGGCCTCAAGTGATCCTCCTACCTCAGCCTCCCAAAGTCTTGGGATTACAGGCATAAGCCACTGAGCCAAGCTATGTGTACTTTAGAAGAATGTGTATTCTGCTGCTTTGGGATGGTGTGTTCTAGAGTTGTCTGTTAGTTCTGTTTGGTTTTTGTTCAAGTCTTCAGTTTCCTTCTTGATTTTATGAATGGAAAGTTGAGTATTGAAGTGCCCAACTATTATTGTTAACTTGTCTATTTCTCCCTTCATTTCTTCAGATGTTGCTTCACGTATTTTGACACTCTGCTGTTAGGTGCATATATGTTTACAATTGCTATATCCTCCTCATGATTGGCCCTTTTATCATTATCCAATGTCTTTTTAATATCTAGTAATATATCTTGTTTTAAAGTCTGTTTTGTGTGATATTAGCACAGCCATTCCAGCTTTCTTGTGATTTATTGATATTTTTCCCATTTAATTTACTTTAAATATGTTTTTATCTTTGAATATTCTATAAACAGTATGTTATTGAATCTTACTTTATTATCCAGTCTGACAATCTCTGCCTTTTGATTGGATTGGTTATTTCATTGATCTTTAATGTGATTATTGATAGGTTTCCATGTGTCATTTTACTTTTTGTTAGCTATGTGTCTCATGTTCTTTTTATTTCTTTATTTCTTCTTTACCACTTTCTTTGGATTATGTGCTTATTTTCTTATACAGCATTTTCAATTTTTAAATAATTTTTTTTCACTGAAAAAAACATTTCCTTAGTGATTGCACTAGGGCTTACCATATACATCTTAACTCACTGGAATCAGCCTCAGATTTATACTAATTTTATCCTAGTGAGTTATATAAATGTTACTTCTATATAGCTCTATTTGTTTTCTCCGTTTTTTGTGACATTGTTACACATATAGTATCTGTATATGTTATGAACCCAACATGACATAATTATTACTTCATATAATTGTGTATTTTAAAGAAGCTGAGAGAAGAAAGGCGATACAGTATATGTTTGTAGATTTTATTATATTGATCTTCTGATTTATCATTTATGAATCTCTTCATTTGTTTCTGCAGATTCAATTACCACTTGGAGTCATTTCCTTAGCTCAGTATAACTTTGCTTCCATCCACCTTCTTTGTTATGCTGAAGTGGTCCGTATTGAAAAGCATGCATAATACTCTACTCATTTGAGTATAATTGGTACAAAATATATTCATACCTTCTTTTCTTCTTTTGAAATAATTATAACAGTTTTAATGAAGTGTAATTTACATGCCATACAACTCATTAATATTAAGTGTACAAGTCAATTATTTTTTATAAACTTACAAAGTTGTGCAGACATCACTACAATTTAATTTTAGAACATTTCTATCACCCCAGAAGGATCCTACCTGCCTATTTGCAATCACTCTTCATTCTCATCCGTGTCCTATTCATACAGTTTTAGATAACAATTCTTCCTCTGAAAACCCTTTTGAAAGAAATAATACAATAAATATTGATATTTATATAAAGGCTTATATTTTTATGTAAAATTTTTTCTTTTTAAATGTTTTTTAAAGTCAGGGTCTCACTGTGTCACCCAGGGTGGAGTGCAGTGGTATGATCATGACTCATTGTGGCCTCAAAATCCTGGGCTCAGTGATCCTTCCACTTCACCTCCTGAAGAGCTGGGACTACAGGCATGTGACACCACACTCGGCTAATTTTTAATTTTTTGGTAGAGATGGGGTCTCTCTCTGTGTTGCCCAGGTTGATCTCAAACTCCTGGCCTCAAGTGGTCCCCCACCTTGGCCTCTCAAAGTGCTAAGATTACAGGTGTGTGCCATTGTGCACATCTGCCTTTATATATAAATTTAAAGACATAGAAATAACCTAATACTACAAAGAAGGGGAGATAAGAAAATTAGTTTTATTTAATGGATTCCATGTTTATATTTAAATTACATTATACACTTTTTTAACCTGAAAGTGTTAGATTTCATTACATAAACTTGTTTTCCTCCTACAAACCAAAATAGGGTATGGTATGTATCATGGACTCAGAAAAACTAAGACCAATGTATTTCCAAATAAGAATAGGTTTTATTAAACATCTTACATTTCCACAAAGGTATTTTAAATCCTTTAAGATAATATATTAAAACTTGTTAATTCCAGTGTAAGCAAGATGAACAAAATGAAAGCAGGAGTTTTGTTCTAGACAATGGGATGTACAAATGTTTCAGCATTTGTAAAATGCAGACACGGAAAGCTGATTTAGTGTTTAACAACATATCTTGTGTGTTTTAATTCAGTCATTGTTTTTTTGAATGCAGATATGCTGAGTTCTTAAGCATTCTAGTGATAACACTACCCTCCTCATTCAAAAAAAAAGTATTATCAATGAAATACTTCAGACTACAGCATACACAAATTTTTAATTATTCATGTTGCTCTTGTCTTGGCACATGCCTAATAATTAATAGTTTGCATCCAGTTTTGTATTAGTCTCTACACACTAGTCCAGAAGTAAAAACTGACATGATTGGTCTTCACAGTGTTAAAATGTTTTAATTAAATTGTAAAATATAGTGCTTTTAGATAAAAATTCGGATTTCATGTTTCTCTTGAAAAATATGGAAGAACTAGCAACATTGAACAACTGACTTGAACTGAGGAGTAGGGGCCACTTTTAGAAAGGACAAACATTCTCTAGTTTGAGGAAGTCCCCATCTGGCCAAATTCGCTTACATGCATATCTGTGTGCCTCCTGTGAGAACTTGAGTTTGGGACATTTGATTTAACCCTATTATAACATTGAGTGAGAAAATTGGAGCCACATCAGCTAAAAGACTTCCTAAGCTGAAAAAGATTAGTGGCAGAGTCAGGATTTTAAGATGATTTCACTAGTGATACATTGAATATGGACTATAAATCAAAAGACTTAGAATTACATGCTGGCCCCTTCCCTTCTAAATCTTAATTTCTTAACATTAAGCTTTCATAGTTGTAAGTTGAAAGTAATAGTAATATTGATATGTGATGATTGCAAAGGTTAAATATCATTTATCATTATTAGACTCATATCTGCAGAGCAATTTTAACCACGTCTAACAATACCTTTCTTGTTATAGATGGCATATGTTTAGTTGTCTTTCATAAAAAGTAATAACATGTTTTAACAAACTTATCTTCTGAGTTTAGTATGTATATTGTGATATTATTGTTGAGTAGCATTGGTATTTCATAGGTTGATTTTATTTTTAGTAAAGATATGAATATTTTTGCATATTAACTTTTTATAGCCTCAAATGATAGTCTTTTTTGTAAGTAATTCATGTGTCAGGCACTGTTTATTTACATAAATACTTTTTAAAGTATTAACAAGAAAAATTAAACTTATGCTATGATGTAGTCAAGTACAATCCTATTATATATAAAATCAGGTTTGATATTTTTTTCTAATGAAATGATTTTGCCAGTAATCAAAAACTTTAAATTAGAAAATGAAGATCTGAGCATCTTTATTGGCATAATAAAACTTAACTCTCATTGAATTGAAGTGACTATAACGAAGTAAGTAACACCACTGAATAGTCCCTGACACATGAAAGGTACACAAGTACTTTCTTATTGCAAATGTTTCTCTGCTTTAAAACTTTGGCTTTTTAATTGTTGCTTTTAAAAACAGTGTTTAACTTAGTTTTATTTTTTCAGAGTACCTTCAAGTTTAAATCTAAGAGTGATATTCATTTGGCAGAACATCATAAACAGGTTTTATATGATGGGAAACTTGCAAGTAGCATTGCCTTTACATATAATTGCTAAGGCCACTGATACTCAACTCTGCCTGGAATCATCACCAAAAGAGGATGCATCAATTTTTGTGCATTCCCAACATGCTCTAATGCTTCCGGTGGGTGAATCATGGCTTTGTTTTCATGTTCTTGTCAGAATTTAACAATATTTTTATTTTATATATCAAACATTGCTCATCTATAAATCTGTGACTTTTTGTTTCTTTTTGGCTTTTGCAGATCTTTTAAGTGAAACTTTAAAGAATGTCTATCTTTTCTGTAGCAATATGCTCTACCCTGGCCTTGTCTCCTTAGTAGGAAATCTGTCATACCTATTATCTTATATATTATACAGCCTTTCAAATTAAATCAATTAACTGAATCAGTTAGTTGTTAGATATAAAAACATACTTTGCTTTAAGATTGTATTACTAATATTCTGTAACATTAAAATTACTTGTCTTTAAATCCATCAATAGTATTTCTGATTTTAAAATAACATTTGATTTTAACTTCATATTTTTAGTGTAAAAAAAAATCTTAGGTTGACCTAAGATTTGAAATTTAAAAGTGATTAGCAAAGGTACTCACTTTTTTGTCTTACATGTGTATAAAAATTATAATTGAAGGCTTAAAAAATTTCCAACTATGTTATTTAATTCCCTTATAAACGTATTTGGACCAAGGAAATAGTGATGAAAATCATTCTATAGAAGTTTAATAAACATTTTTGTTTTTAGACATAGGATGTGAAAGGGATAGTAACACATTCAATTCATAGTGCAATTCATTCAATTGGACAGATTCAAGTGCTTTTTCCACTGTTTCCCCAGTTGGATAATTGGCAGCTCAATGACAGTCAAGTGGAAACAACTGTCTGGTAAGTTTTCTTTACATGTACAATTGCTGGTATTTTATACACACTTAGACTATACATGATGTACTCAGTGCTGTGTAAATGTATTACAGTATTTGGGTTCTGCCCTTAAAGTGCTAATACATTTTTTAGAACTAATGCAGATAGATATTTATACAATAAATAAAGAAAACCCTGACATTTAGGTTGTTATACCATAAAGGAATGCCTTTTGTGACAATAAATAGAAAATCCTTAACAAAGATAGCATAGTGATTATAATATGTAGTTGAGGTAAAATATGAATCCTGACCTTATCATTTGCATATACTCATGGTTCGAATTGTCCATGAAACCCTGTCAGGTTGAAGAAAATTACTAGGGTAAAATTATTCAGAAGAATAATATTTATTAGCAATTACATAATTTATATCATAAAGACTGGTATTATTTTATGATGCTTTTGTCGTGGCATAAGTCTAGCATAATATTAATTGACATCAACCCTTATTTATATATAGTTTATGTTTGAGGACTCAAATCTAACTAGTGGCAAATCCAAATTTATGTAAAAATTAAATCTCTTCTAATGAGTGTAATTTCATGTGCATTTTTATAGCTTCTCTTTTATTTAAAAAAACCTTATGTGCCAGACTCTAATTTACTGTTATATCTTAGAATTATATATACAAGAATTTAAAAATGAACTCTAGTAGCTATTTTGACTATACACATTGCCATGCTTGGGGATTTTAATGGGCAAGTTATATAGATAAGCATTAATTTTTATTCCAAAAGTAACATAGTAGTGCTTCATCAGTATATATACATATACATGAGCTCCTTCATGGGTTATCTAATTTTGAATTGATGGTGAATCTAGTGAATGAAGGTATGGGAAAAATTTAAGGTACAATGAAGTGTAATACATGCTTTTTCTCATAATTATTATCTAAATTAGGTATTAATGAAATTCAATTTTAGTATTTCTAATAATATTATTTCTGTTTTGGGAACATCTTTATGTAAAGTATAAATCTAAATATAGATAAGAAATTTGTACATTTATAACATTACCTCCCGTCTACGGGTCTTGCCGCCGTTTATATCAATATTGTGTAAAGGTTGGAGTTTTGAAAGTAAAAAACTTTGATGTGAAAAGGAATCCTGAGGTTATGTCCTGCTGTGATACTATTTTGTTTGTGAGATCTCAAATAATCTAATTGGAAGGTAGCTCAGCTTAGTGGAAAAATCAAACTTAAAATTTCTTTCCTTTATTTAAATTCGAAATGTTTTGCTATTTATCATCTCAGTGAACTAAGACACATTATGATCAGTAATTTAAAATCTAGTCAGTACTATGAAAAGAAGTGGGAGATGAAGTAGCCACTAGAAAAATCCATGTATAATTTAAATATTTCTTATGAAATAATATGAAATACATATATTATCAAATCTTACTGCTAAAACCATATGTAATAGGTTATCTGGTTCATTAATACAAGATGCATGGTTACTTTTTACTGTCCTTCCTCAAAACTCATTTAATAGGTATATCATATCTTGGTATTTAAATTGTATTTATTTCATCATGGAGATAAAAGAGAGTGTGAGGAGTCAGCATACTTATTTTCATTTTGATTTTAGTTCTTTTATATCATTCATCCTAATGTTTCCCTGTATTAACTAATTCCAACTTTTTCAGTGATGCCTATTACGTCTTTAGTTTCTTTATTTATTTATTTAAGATGGACTCTTACTCTTTTGTCCAGGCTGGAGTGCAGTGCTGTGATCTCTTGACTCACTGCAACCTCGGTTTCCCAGACTCAAGCAATTCTCCTGACTCAGCCTCCCAAGTAGCTGGTGAGGCATCTGGGGCAGAGAAAAAAAAAAAAAAAAAAAAAAAAAAACCTCGCGTGCAGAGGAGTGGGGCCTGGGTCCCTCACAGACGAAAGTGCCTTCCCATCAGCCCCTTCGCTGGGCCCAGTGGACCCTGGCGTCCCTGGTTCCACCCCAGGATGCGCCTCAGGCCGCTAGGGGTACCTCAAGGCGGACAAAAGGCCCATGAGGGGAAGGTGAGGTTTGAGGGAGGATAGGTGAGGCACCTGTGGCAGGAAAAAAAAAAAAAAAAAAAAAAGCGCCACGGAGAAGGGGGGGCCTGTGTCCCCCATGCACGAAAATGCCTTCCCATCAGCCCCTGCGCTGGGCCCCGTGGACACTGGCAACACTGTTTCGAGCACAGGGTGTGTCTCGGGCCTGATAGGGGTACCCCAAGGAGGGCAGAAGGCCAATGAGGGGAAGGTGAGGGACCTGGGGCAGAGAGAAAAAAAAAAACGCACCTTAGAGAAGCGGGGCCTGGGTACCCACGGACGAAGGTACCTTCCCATCAGCCCCTGCGCTGGGCCCCGGCGACCCTGGCGTCCATGGTTCGAGTCAAGGGAGCGCCTTGGGCCGCTAGGAATACCCCAAGTCGGACAGAAAGCCCATGATGGGAAGTTAACGTTTGAGAGAGGAGAGGTGAGGCATCTGTGGCAGAAAAGAAAAGAAAAGAAAGCAAAACAACAACAACAAAAAAAGCCGCGCCTAGGAGAAGCTGGGCCTGGGTCCCCCACGGAAGAAAATGCCTTCCCATCAACCCCTGCGCTGGGCCCTGTGGACCCTGGTTCGAGCCCCGGGTGCGCCTTGGGCCCGCTAGGGGTACCCCAAGACGGGCAGAAATCCCATGAGGGGCAGTTGAGGTTTGAGGAAGGTGAGGTGAGGCACCCGGGGCAGAAAAAAAAAAAAAAAAACCGCACCACGGAGAAGCGGAGCCTGGGTCCCCAACGGACGAAAGTGTCTTCCCATTAGCCCTTGCGCTGGGCCCAGGGGACCCTGGCGTTCCTGGTTCGAGACCAGGGTGCGCTTCAGGCGCCGCTAGGGGTACCGAAAAGCGGACAGAAGGCCCATGAGGGGAAGGTGATGCACCTGGGGCAGAGAAAAACCCAACAACCGCGCCGCAGATAAGCGGGGCCTGGGTCCCCTACAGAAGAAACTGTCTTCCCATCAGCGCTTGCGCTGCACCCCGGGGACCCTGGTATCCCTGGCTCAAGCCCAGGGTGCGCCTCGGCCTGCTAGGGGTACCCCAAGGCAGACGGAAGGCCCATGAGGGAAAGGTGAGACACCTGGGGCAGAGAAAAAAAATAAAAAACTGCGGCGCCCAGAAGTGGCGCCTGGGTCCCCCACAGACCAACGTCCCTACCCATCAGCCCTACACTGGGCCCCGGAGACCCTAGCGTCCCTGGCTCGAAACCAGGGTGCGCCTCTGGACCGCTAGGGGTATCTCAAGGCGGGCAGAAAGCCCATGAGGGAAAGGTGAGGCACCTGGGGAAAAGCAAAAAACAAAACAAAAGAACAACAACAAAAAATCACCGCAGAGAAGCAGAGCCTGGGTCCCCAAGGAAGAAAGTGTCTTCCCATCAGCCCTTGCGCTGGGCCCCAGGGAACCTGGTGTCCCAGTTTCGAACCCAGGGTGTGCGTCTGGCCACTAGGGGTACCCCAAGTCTGACAGAACGCCCATGAGGGGAAGGTGAGGTTTGAGGGAGGAGAGGTGAAGCAACTGTGGCAGAAAAAAAAAAAAAAAAAAACACCACGCCGCGGAGAAGCGGGGCCTGGGTCCCCAAGGGACGAAAGTGCCTTCCCAGCAGCCCCTGCGCTAGGTCCCGTGGACCCTGGCGACCCTGGGTAGAGCCCAGGGTGCGCCTCGTGACCAATAGGGGTATCCCAAAGCGGGCAGAATGCTCATTAGGGGAAGGTGAGGCCCCTGGGGCAGAGAAAAAAAAAAAACAAACCCTGCCGCGGAGAAGCGGGGCCTGTGTCCCCCACGGACGAAAGTGTCTTCCCATCAGCCCCTGAGCTGGGCCCAGGGGACCCTGGCATCCCTGGTTCAAGACCAGGGTGCACTTCAGGCCTCTTGGGGTACCCCATGGTGGGCAGAAAGCCTATGAGGGGAAGGTGAGGTTTGAGGGAGGAGAGGTAAGGCACCTGTGGCAGAAAAGAAAAAAAAAAAAACCGCGCCACAGAGAAGCAGGGCCAGGGTCCCCCACGGACGAAAGTGCCTTCTCATCAGCCCCTGCGCTGGGCCCCGGGGACACTGTCATCCCTGGCTCGAATCCAGGGTGCGCCTCTGGCCTGCTAGGGGTTACCCAAAGCGGGCAGAAGGCCCATGAGGGAAAGGTGAATCACCTGGGGCAGAAAAAAAAAAAAAAAAAAAAAAAAAAAACCGCGCTGCGGAGAAGCGGGACCTTGGTCCCCCACCAGTGAAAGTGTCTTCCCATCGACCCTTGCGCTGGGCCCCGGGGTCCCCGGCGACCCTTATTCGAGCCCAACACCTGCCTGGGGCCGCTAGGTGTTCCCCAAAGCGGGCAGAAGGCCCATGAGGGGAAGGTGACCCACCTGGGGCAGAGGAAAAAAAAAAAAACACGCCTCGGAGAAGCGGGGCCTGGGTCCCCCACGGAAGAAAGTGTCTCCCCATCAGCCCTTGCGCTGTGCCCCGGGGACCCTGGCATCCCTGGTTCGAGCCCAGGGTGTGCCTCGGGCCGCTAGGGGTACCCCAAGGTGGACAGAAGGCCCATGAGGGGAAGGTGAGGCACCTGGGGCAGAGAAAAAAAAAAAGAACTGCACCGCCGAGAACCGGGGACTGGGTCCCCCACGGACGAAAGTGTATTCCCATGAACCCTTGCGTTGAGCCCCAGGGACCCTGGCGTCCCTGTTTCGAGTCCAGTGTGCGCCTAGGGCGGCTAGGGATACCCCAAGTCGGACAGAAGGCCCATGAGGGGAAGTGAGGTTTCAGGGAGTAGAGGTGAGGCACCTGTGGCAGGTGTCCATCTGTAAACTGTTTATCCATGTGAGCCCTGATGTCCACCAGGGGCTGGATGTCACCCTGGGGCTAGATGTTCGCCTGGAGCCTGGTGCCCACCTGGGGCCTGATATCCAGGAGAGGCTTAGTTATCCACCTATGGCCATCTGGAGCCAGATGCCCACCTGAGGTTTGGTGTAAACCTAAGGCCTGATATCTACCTGGGGCTTGGGTGTTCATGTGGGGCCTGATGTCCACCTAAGACTATGTGTTCACCTGGAGCCTGGGTGACCATCTGGGTTATGACGTTCAGCTGGGGCCCAGAGTTCAGCTGGGGACTGGGTCAACCTTCTGCCTGATGCACACCTGGGGACTAGGTACCCACCTGGGCTCCCGTGTTCACTGCAGCCTGATGTCTTACCTGGGGCCATGTGTTTACCTAGGACCAATGCATCCACCTGGGGTCTGAGTGCCCTCATGGAGCCTGGAGTTTTCCTGGGGCCTGGGGTCTGCCTTAGGCTTAAGTGTACATCTGTGGCCTGATGTTCCCCTTGGGATGGATGTCCACCTGGGGACAGATATTCAGTAGGGGCCTGAGTGTCCACCTGGTTTGTGATGTCTACCTGGGGCCTGGTGTTCATCTGAGGTTTGATATCCACCTGGGGCCTGGACATTTGTCTGGAACCTGATGTACAGCTGGTGCCTGAAGTTCATGAATGCCTGGTGTCCCCCTGGGGCCAGGTAGTCAACACAGGGCCTGAAGACTTTCTAGAGTTCAGTGTTCACCTGGGGCCTGAAGTCCACCTAGGGCTTGGGTGTCCAAATAGGGCCTGGTGTCAGCTTGAGATTTGTGTATTTACCTAGGGACTGGTTTTCCACTTGGGGTTTGATTTTTTACTTGGTTTTTGTGTTAATCTGGGGTCTAGTGTCCACCTGGGGCCTAGGTATCCACCTAGGGACTATTGTCCAGCTGGAGACTAATGACTACCTATGGCCTGGTAATCACCTAAGGCTTTGTTTCACTTAGGTACTTGGTGCCAAACTGTTGCCTGCTGTTCACCTGGGCTATGGTGTCCACCTGGGGTCTGGATGTCAGCCTGGGGCTTGTTGTATACCTGTATCTTAGATATCCAGATAGGGGTCTGTTTTCTACTTAGGTGCAGCAGTCCATCTGGTGCTTGAGTGTCGACCTAAGGCCTGATGTCTGTGTTGGACCTAGGGTTCACCTGAGGCCTGATATCCACCTGGGGCCTCAATGTCCAAATGTGGCCTGATGCCCATCTGGGCACTGGGTGTCCACCTGCAACATGGATGTCCACTGGTACTTTATGTCCACCAGGGGCCTAATGTCCACCTAAGACCTGGTGTTCACCTGGGGTCTAATGTTCAGCTGAAGACAGGATGTCCACCTGGAGCCGAGGAATCCACCCAGGGACTGGTGTTGAACTGGGGCCTGATGACTACCCGGGGACAAGGTACACACCAAGCTTGATGTCCACCTGTCACCAGATGTCCACCTGAGTCCTGATGTCCATCTTGATCCTGGGTGTCCACTTTAGGCCTGATGTCCAGCTGGGGCCTAGGTGCCCACTGGGGGCTTCCTGTTAACCTGGGGACTGGTGTCATTCTGGGGCCTAATGACCACGTGGGTTGTGTTATTCACCTAGGGCCTGGTGTCCACTTGGGGCTTGAGTGTAACCCTGGACCTGGCACCCACATAGGACTTGGGTATCAAACTGGCCCCTTGGTGTCCAGTTAAGACATCATGTGAACCTGGCGCCTGAGTGTCCACTTGGGGCCAAATGACTACTGGGGGCCTGAATGTCAACCTAGAATCTGAGGTTTACTAGGGGCCTAGGTATCCACCTGGGGCCCAATGTCCACCTGAGCCTGGGTGTCAACCTGGGGCCTGGTGTAAACCTCTAGTTCAGTGTCCACCTTGGGCTTGATGTCAACCTGGAGCCTGATGTCCACCTGAGTACTGATGTTCACCTTTGACCTGATGTCCACCTGTGGACTGTTTATCCACCCATGGCCTGATGTTCACCTGGGGCTGAATGTCCAACTGTGACCTGTTGTGCACCTGGAACCTAGGCATCCGCCTGCAGCCTGATGTTCAGCTGGGCTGGGACCCGGAGTTCACCTGAGGCATGATGTCCACCTGAAGCTTGATGTTCACCTGGGGGCTGGGTGTCCACTTGGGGCCCAATATCCACCTGGAGACTAGGTGCCCACCTGGGATCTGGTGTTCCCTCAAGATTGGTGTTCAGCTGTGGCCTAATGACCACCTGGGTCATGGTGTGTACCTTGGACTGGGTGCTCACCTGGAGCCAGTGTTCACTGGGGGCCTAGTGTGCACCTGAGACTGGGGGATGCACCTGGGGTCTGATGTCTACCTGGTGCCTAGGTATCCATTTGGGGCCTAATGTTCATCTGGAATCTGATATCCACCTGGGGCCTTGTAATTACCTGGGGTCTGGGCATCCACCTAGGGCTTGAGTATCCTTCTGGGGCCTTGAGTTTTACTGGGGACTCGTGTCTGCCTTGGACCTGGGTGTACATCTGTTGCCTAATGTACACCTTGAGAGTGATGTCAACCTGGGGACAGTTGTCCTCTTGGGGTCTGAGTGTGTACCTGGTGCCTGATGTCTGCCTGGGGACTTGTGTTCACTTGAGACCTGATATCCACCTGGGGCCTGGGTGTCCACGAAGGGCTGATGTTCAGCTGGAGACTGGATATCCACCTGGGGCTTAGGGATCTATCCAGAAACTGATGTCAAACTGGGACCTGATGTCTACTACCTGGGGACTAGGTATCCATGTGAGGCTTGATGTTCATCCGCGGCCAGACGTCCATCTGATGCTTGATGTCCGCCTCAGTCCTGGGTGTCTACTGGAGACCTCATGTCCAACTAGAGCTTAGGAACCTACTGGGGGCCTCGTGTAAACCTGGGGACTGGTATGCAGCTGGGTCCTAATGATCCCCTGGGTCATATTATTCACCTAGTGCCTGGTGACACTTAGGGCTTGAGTGTCAACCTTAGGTCTTGTTTTCATCTTTGACCTGGTGTCCACCTGGGACTTGGGTATCGACCTGAGGACTTGGTGTCCAATTGAGGTGTCATGACCACCTGGGGACTGAATGTCAATCTGGAGTCTGATGTAAACCTCTAGTTCAGTATACACCTGGGCATGGTCTTCACTTGGGGCCTGCTGTCTACCTGGGCCTTGCTGTCAACCTGGGGCCCGATGTAAACCTCTAGTTCAGTATCCACCTGGGGCCAGATGTCTTCCTAGAGACTTATATTCACTTTTGACCTGATGTCCACCTGGGGACTTGCTATGCATCCATGGTCTGATATTCACCTGGGGACAGATGTTCAACTGTGGCCAGAAGTGCACCTGGGGTCTGGGCTTCCACCTAGAGCCTGATGTTTAGCAGGGGCTAGAGTTTACATGGAGAATGATGTCCACCTGAAGTTTGATGTTTACCCGGGACCTGATACCTGCCTGGTGCCCAAGTATTCTCATGTGCCTAATGTCCACTAGTTGGCCTGGTGTTCATCTGAGGGCTTGGTGTCAACCAGTGGCTTTACGTACACCTGGATTCTAGTGTCTTCGTTGGGCCTTATGCCTACCAGGAGTCTGGTGTACCCCTGGGGTCTAGTATCCACCTGGAGTCTGGGTGTCCACCTGGAGCCTAATGTTGAGGTTAGACTGAGTGTCAGCCTGAGGCCTGATGTCTACTTAGGGTATAGGTATTCACCTGGGGCTTGTTGTTTACCTGGGGACTAATGTCAACCTTGAGCCTAGGTATCCACCTGGGGAATAGTATCCAGTTGCAGCCAGATGTCCACCTATGGCCTGAAGCATGTTTGTTATCCTAAGACCTTGTATTAGTCCATTTTCACACTGTTATAAAAAACTACCTGATATTGGGCAACCTATGAGGAAAAGAGGTTTAACTGACCCACAGTTCTTCAGGCTTAATAGGGAGCATGACTGGGCATGCTCGGGACACTTACAATCATGATGTAAAGCCAAGAGAAAGCAAGCCCTTTTTACCATGGGGGAGGAGGAGGGAGAGAGAAGGGGGATGTGCTACACACTTTCAAACAAACAGATCTCATAAGAACTCTATCACGAGAACAGCAAGTGGGAAGTCTGCCCCCATGATTCAATCACCTCTCACCAGGCCCCTTCTTCAACCCATGTGGATTACAATTCAACATGAGATTTGGGTGGAGACATAGAGCCAATATCAGGCCTGATGCCCACCTGGAGTCGTGTCTACCTGAGGCCTAATGTAGACATGAGGCCTGGGCATCCACCTAGGACCTCATGTTAAGATAGGGGCTGGAGTTCTTTTGGTGTCTAGTGTATACCTGGGGCCCAGATGTAAAACTAGAGCCTGATGTTTCGGATGGAAACCTGGGCCCCAGGTGCTCATCAGATCCTAGGTGAAAACTCAGGCTTCAGGTGCACGTCAGACTCCAAGTGGACACATAGGCCCCAGGTTGACACTAAGATTTCAGGTAGACTCTGGGTCCCAGAAAAACACCCCGCCCTAGGTGGACAGCTGAACCTGAGTAGACTTCAGGCCCCAGATTGACATCTGGCCCCAGGTAGATTCCTAGGCCCAAGGTGAATACTCAGTCTCCAGCCCTAGGGGAATTCAGTCTTAGGTGACTAAGGACTGGTGTTCCTCTGGGGCCTCATGTCTACCTGGGCCCTGGGAGTGCACATGGAGCCAGATGTCTATAAAGGGCCTGAGTGTCCACTAGGGCCTGAGGTTCACCAGAAGCATAGACACCCACCTAGGACCTCGTGTTCACCTAAAACCTGGTGTTCACCTGGGGCCTGGGTGACAACCTGGGATCTGATGTTCACCTGAGGCCCAGAGTTCAGCTGCTGCCTATGTCAGCCTGGCACCTGATGCACACGAGAGGACTAGGTGCCCACCTGAGGACTGGTGTTCTTGGGGAACTGGTGTTCAGCTGTGGATTGATGACCAACTGGGTCCTGGTGTCCTCCTGGAACCTGATGTCCACCTGGGACTGCATGCTTACCTAGGGTCTGGTGTTCCTCTGGGACCTGGTGTACCCCTCAGACCTGGGGTCCACCTGGGCCTAGTATCCACTTGGGGCCTCATATCCATCTGGAACATCATGTCCATTTGAGGCCTTGTAGTTACCTAGGGACTGGGTGTCCTTCTGACCCTTGAGTGTCCTCCTGGGGCCTGGGGTTCTCCTGGGGCCTGGGTGTACATCTCTGGCCTGATGTCCACCTTGGGATGGATGTCCACCTGGGGACAGATGTTCACTTGTGGCCTGAGTGTCCATCTCGTGACTAATGTCTACCTGGGGCCTGGTGTTTGCCTGAGGCCTGATATCCACCTGGGGCCTGGGCATCCATTTGAGGCCTGATGTCTACCTAAGACCCGGTGTTTAAGTGGGGCACAGACTTCTTCCTGGAGCCCGACATTCATCTGGAGCCTGAAGTTCACCTATGCCTGTTGTCTACCTGAGGCCTATGTGTCAACCTAGGGCCTGAAGACCACCCTGAGTTCAGTGTTCACCTGGGGCCTGACATCTGCCTGGAGTCTGGGTGTCCACATAGGGCCTGATGATGGCTTGGGACCAAAGTATTTACCTAGGGCCTGGGTGTCTACTTAGAGCCTGACTTCTACATGGTTCATTGTGTCAACCTGGGACCTGATGTCCACTTAGGGCCTAGGTAAGCTCCTTATGACTAAAGCCCACATGGGGGCTGAAGCCAGCTCACACCTTGTGTTAACCTAGGGCTTAGTGTCCACCTGAGGCCTGCCTGGGACCTGGTGACCCCCTGGGGTCAAGGTATCCACCTTGGGCCTGATGACCAATTGGGGCTTAAGGATCTACCTAGAGACTGGTGTCAACCTGGAACCTGATGTCCACTTGGGGTCTGGTGTACACCTTGGGCCTGATGCCCACCTGGGCATGGGTGTACACTTTGGGCCTAGTGTGCACCTGAAGCCTGGGTGTCAACCTGGGTCTTGATGCACACCTTTAGTCAGGTGTTTAATTGGGGCCTGATGAAATACTGGAGCCTGATTTACACCTGTGTACTGGGTCTCCACCTGGGGCCTGATGTCCACCTGCAGCCAGATATCCACCTGGCACCAGAGGTCTACCAGGAATCTGGGTGTCCACCTTGAAAATGATGTATTCCAAGAGACTAGGCATGCACATTGGGCCTGGGGTCCACCTGGGTCCTGATGTCTACCTGAGGCTGGTATTGAACTGGGGCCTGTGTGTTCACTTGGAGCCTGATGTTCATTTGGAACCTGGTGTTCACCTAGGACATGGGTATCCACCTGGATCCTGATTTTCAGGTGGGGAGTGGCTATAGACCTGGGACCTGATGGCCACCTATGCTATAAGTAACCCAACCACCTGGGGCCTGGTGTTCACCTGTGGCCTGATATCCACCTGGTACCTGTGTGTCAATCTAGTGCCTGGTGTTCACTTGAGGACTAGGTAGACACCTGAGGCTTGGCGTTCACCAGAGACCTGGTGTTCATCTTGCACCCAGTGTCCACCTGGACCCTGTGTATCAACCTGTGGCCTAGGTGGCCACTTGGAGCTTTAT
Organism: Homo sapiens; assembly: GCF_000001405.40. Taxonomy (NCBI): domain Eukaryota; kingdom Metazoa; phylum Chordata; class Mammalia; order Primates; family Hominidae; genus Homo; species Homo sapiens. The sequence continues at coordinate 19,233,463 of NC_000014.9, read as the reverse complement.
GTGCACCTGGGTCCTGAGAGTTTCCTAGGATCTGATGACAACTGGGGCCCAGCGATCCACCTGGGACATCAGGCTCCAAGTGTACGCCCAGGCTCCATATGGGAACCAGGCCAGGAGAATGCCAGCCCTTATGTGAACATCAGGTCCTAGATGGATGCCCAGGTCCCATATGTACATCAGGTCCCAGGTATACACTGGACTCCAGGTGGACACCAGCACTCAGTTGGATACACACACTCAAGGTGGACACCAGGCCCCACGTGAATTCCTACACTCCAGGTGAACATCAGGTCCCAAGTGGATACCTGGACCCCAGGTGGATACCAGTCTCTAAATTAATACCAGGCCTCAGATGGTCCTTCGGAGCCATGTGGGCATTAGTCGTCAGGAAGTTACCTAGGCCCAAAGTGGACATCAGGCCCCATGTTGACACAAGATCCAGTTGGAAGTCAGGCCCCAGGTGGACACCCAGGCCCTAGGTAAATACTTAGGTTCCAAGTTGACAGCAGGCCCTATGTGAACACTCAGAACTCAGGTGGACATGAGGCCTCAGGTGGACATCTGAGTTCATCTGGAACCTCGTGTTACAGGCCCCATGTAAACACCGGGCCTTAGGTGGATACCCAATCTCTAGGTGGACATCAGAGCTCAGATTGACACAAAGACCCCAGTAGACATAATGTACCAATGAATATCCAGGCCCCTGGTAAATACCCAGGCCCCACATTGACACCAGGGTCTATGTGGACACACAGGCCCTGGGTAGAAAACAGTCCCAAGGCGGACACTGGACTGGACATCAGGTCCCAGGTTGACAACCATGCTTCAAGTTGACACCAGGCCCCAAGTGAACATCTGGCCCCAGCTGGACACTAGTCCTCTTGTGAATACCTAAGCTCAAGGTTGACATCAGGCCCCATGTGAACACTAGACCCCAGCTAAACACTTATGCCCTAAGTGGACATCAGGCCTCAGGTGGTTACCCAGTCCCAAGGTGAACATCAGGACCCCGATGGGCACCAGTTATCAAGTGGATTCCTAGGCCCCAGGTGAATATCAAGTCCTAGGTGGATACCAGGCCCCAGGTGGATACCAGGATCCTGGTAGACATCAGGTCCCAAGAGGACCCTAGAACCCAGGAGTACATTAGGCCACATTAACACGAAGGCCCCAGATGAATACCAGGCCAATTGTGGACATCAGGCCTGAGAAGGGTCCTCAGGCTCCAGGTGGACATCGGGTGCCAGGTGAACATCCAGCACTCAGATGAACGTTAAGCTTCAGGTAGACATCATGCCTCAGGTGAACTCCAGGCCCCAGCTAAACATCAGGCCCCAGGTGGATGCCCAGGTTCCGGGTGCACATCTGGCCACAGTTGGACATTCAACCCCAGGTGACCATCAGGCCATGGGTGAATACACGGTTTCCAGGTGGACATCAGATCAAAGGGGAACATCAGTCCTCCAGTGGACATCAGGCCCAAGGTGAACACTGAACTAGAGGTTTACATCAGGCCACACGTTGACACCTAGTCCCAGGTGGACATCAGGCCCCAGGTGGATACCTAGGCTCCCAGTGAATTTGACACCAGGTTGACATTCAGGCCCCCAGTGGTCATCTGGCCTCATGTGAACACTCAGACCCCAGGTGCACATGATGTCTCAACTGGACACCAAATCCCTAGTTTGATACCCAAGGCCCAGGTGGACACCAGGTCCAAGGCTGACACTCAAGCCCTAAATGAATACCAAAGTCTAGGTGAATAATTCAACCCAGGTGTTCATTAGGACCGAGCTGGATACCAGTCCCCAGGTTAACACAAGGCCCCCGGTGGGCACCTAGGCACCAGCTGGACATCACGTCCTATGTAAACACCCGGGTCTCAGGTGAAAACCATGCCCCAGGTGGACATCAGGCACTAGGTGGACACGGGGCCACAGGTGGACATCTAGCCATTGGGCGACATCCAGCCCCAGGTGGACATAACCGTTTCCATGGATAAACCATTCCCAGGTGGATATCAGGCCTCAAGAGGATGGCAGTCACCAGGTAGCCATCAGGACTCAGATAGACACCAAGGTCCCACATGTACAGCAGGCCCCAACTGAACCCCAGACTCATGTGGACATCAGGCCACAGGTAGACACCAAGCCTTAGGTAGATACCTAACTTCAGGTGGACATCAGACCCCAGGTGGACACCCAGTCCCCGGGTGGGCAATCAGGCCCCAGGCCCACATCAGGCCTTAAGTGGACACCCAGGCCCCAAGTTGATATCTGGCTCCCAGGTGATCACCAAGCCCCAGGTAGACACTAGCCCATAGGTGAGCAACAGGATGCGGTAGATCATCAGGCCACAGCTGGATACCAGTCCCCGGTGAACACAAGGCCCCAGTGGGACACAGATCTAAGGCAGACATCAGGCCCCAGGTGGACATACAGGCCTGAGGTGGAATTCACCCTGAGGGGGACATTCGGCCCCAGGTGCGCATCAGGCCTCAGGTGAATAACCAGTCCCCAGGTGGACATTAGCCTGCAGGTCAACCACAGTCCCCAGGTTGATACCTGATCTCCAAGTGGCTACCCAATCTGCAGGGTAACATTAGGCCCCTGTAGGATCCCAGGCTGCAAGTGGATTCCTAGGCCCCTGGTGAACATCAGGTGCAGGTGTCCAAGCAGGTCCTGGGTGGACATAACTGTGTACAGGTAAGGAGTTGACCTGTGGGGAGGGTGAGCAGTCAGCAGCCCACTGGGGTCCTGAGAAGGTTTTCTGGAAGGAGGAGGCCGAGGGGATGGAAACTTAAAGAAGCGACCTCACTTCCTTGCCAACAGACCCTAACAGAAATAAGAATTCTGGTAACCAGGCCAGGCACATTGGCTCACACCTGTAATCCCAGCACTTTGGGAGGCTGAGGCAGGAGGATCATGAAATCAGGAGATCAAGACCAGCCTGACCAACATGGTAAAACCACATGTCTGCTAAAAATACAAAAAACAAACAAGGTCAGCAAATCGAGACCATCCTGGCTAACACAGTGAAACCCCGTCTCTACTAAAAATACAAAAAGTATCCGGGCGTAGTGGTGGGTGCCAGTAGTCCCAGCTACTCGGGAGGCTGAGGCAGGAGAATGGCATGAACCCGGGACGCGGAGCTTGCAGTGAGCCAAGATCTCGCCACTGCACTCCATCCAGCCTGGGCGACAGAGCGAGACTCTGTCTCAGAAAAAGAAAAAACGAAAACAAACAAACACAAAAAAACTAGTCAGGTGTGGTGCTGTGTGTCTCATGTCTGTAATCCCAGCTACTCAGCAGACGGAGGCAGGAGAAGTGATTGAACCCAGTAGGCAGATGTTGCACTGAGCCGAGATCATGCCACTGCACTCCAGCCTGGCCAACAGAATGAGACTATGTCTCAAAAAAAAAAAAAAAAAAAAAAAAGAATTCTGATAACCAGGCACCCACATCCTAGAGTTAGCCCCGTAGCCAGCTCACTTGGTGGGAGACGCTCAAGAGAGCAAGATGTTCTTGTGCTGCATCCCCACATCTCCAGGCTCTGGCTTCAGGAATAGCAGGAGTGAGAGCCTTTCTTTGCTGATGACGCCCTTGTAGGCTCATCCCTCACCCCAGATGCCTCTGGCCATTTGGCAGAAGCCCCCCCCGACCCCCCCCACCAGGTACCACAGGACAGGAGTCACCAGGTAGACATCAGGCCCCAGATGGAGCTAGCAGGCCAGGCCTCACCAGTGATCCCACCAGGGCCACATCTGCACATTGTCCTTTTCCAGCCGGAGCCTCTGGAGCTCATTGAGACACAGGCACATGGTGAGGTCACCTGCAGTCTGGAAGTCTTTCCAGGGACAATGTTTTCAGGCTGAAATTCCTTTAAATTCAATGAGGTTGTTTTCATGTTTGTAAATTCCAGTGGAAAGCGAGTGATATTGGTGACCTCTCTCCTTTTTCAGCTGCTGCTTCAGGTGCAGAAATACAGCTATTTCCAGTGCCAGCTGTTGAGCCAGTGCCAGCACCAGGGGCAGATTCCCCTCCAGGGACAGCGCTGGAGCTAGAGGAAGCTCCAGAGCCCTCCTTCTGCTGCCCTGGGACTGCCCAGGACCAGCCCAGTGAGGAGCTGCCTGACTTCATGGCACCTCCTGTAGAGCCACGGGCCTCAGCCCTGGAGCTGAAAGTGTGGCTGGAGCTAGAGGTGGTAGAGAGGGGTGACCAGCACAGCTCCAGCCAGAAGCTCCCACACTGCTCCCAGTCCTGGGCACAGTGGAAGCTATGGAGGCAGAGACCAGGATGTGCAACCTGGGCTCCTCTGCCTCACTGAAGAGGGACTTCTCTCATTCAGCAGAGCAGCAGCCCTGCTGCTGAAGAGCCTGCTGCTACTGCTGCTGGGGGTATTTGCATGCCTGCAGGAGGTGCTGGAGAGCAAGAAAAGGAGCCTGTGAGCAGGGGTTCCAGCAGGTCCTCCTGCTCCCAGAGGTGACCTCCTCCTCCAGGCATGGAGGTTTGCCCTCAGCTAGGCATCTGGGCCATTTGCCTCTACTGTGCTGCCCAGGATGGCCTCTTCTTGACAGGCAGATAGGATGGCCTCTTCTTGACAGGTGGAGGGGGCCAGGGGCATCTCCAAAGGAAGCTTTTAAACTCAGCAGATTCACCCCAGAATCTCCATGCCTGCACCTGCCCAAGGATTTATTCATAGCTTAACTAAGAATTTCAAATTTCTCCCATTAACACTGAAATAAAGTTTGACTTTTTGAAACTTCCATGACTTCTTTCCCTCCCTAATATTGTAGATGGTGTTTTTGAGGCGATGTTGAAAACCTCTGATAGTTGCATGTTTTGTTGTGTTTTTTTCTGTGATTAAATTGCCATCTGATCAAGTGATATTGAAAACCCTTCAGGTATGGCTTTTAGAAGACTTTGACCTATTTTTGCTTTTGTTGACTCTCCCTCCAGCTTTGCGGAAAGAGGGATCATGTAGGTTCATTTCTCAGGCAGATCAGTCACCTTTTGCCATCAAAGTTTTAGCATCCATTTCCAAAATTTGGTGTACAAGTTGGTATTTTGGTGTTTTTAGCTAATCTGGGGTCAAAACAGAATGCCATAGATGAGGAAGCTTGTAAACAAATTTGTTTCTCTCAGTTCTGGAGATGGCAAAATTCAAGATCAAGTGGTTAGCAGATTCCAAGTCTGGTGTGGGCTTGCTTTGTGGTTCATAGACAGCCATGTTTCTACCATGTCCTCACATGACAGAAGGGATGAGGGAGCTCTCTATGGTGCCTTCAATAGGGGCTACTAATCCCACTCATGTGGTCCCTACCTTCATGATCTAATCATTCCCCAAGGCCCTACCTCCAAATATCATCACATAGGGAATTAGATTTCAACCCTTGAATTTGAGGGGGACAATAACATTTGGTCTATAGCATCAGGTTACCCAGAGCCTTATGCAATCAGAGGAAATCCAAAATCACCTATAAGTATTCGCTGCTCCCCTCTGGGCTTAGGGAAATCTTTAATTGCAGCTCTTGATTCAGCTTGGTCCAAGCTTAACTTCTACATTTGCCTGCATAACTTGTTCATGGGACAGAAGGAAGTATAGAGAAAACTGACCATTTGGAGTTTTAGGACAATTGATGGAAGAGGGCTTGGCATCTGGATGAGAAGTGGAGGGAGAATAGAACAAAGGCACAGAAGGAGAGAGCACAATGAGAAAGGGAAAGAGGGACATCTGGACATAAGGGCCAACTGGAGGGCAGGGAAGGTAATTTTCCTTACATTTTAAACTCAGACCACATATCACATCAGAATCACCTGAGGGAGACATTTTCAATGCATATTCCTGAGTTTCTTCTCTTGGAAATTTTTATTTCTTAAATCTTGAGTTGTGCTGATTTATCCATATTTATCATAAGAATTTTAGATAATTCTTACTTTAGGAGGCCCAGGCAGTGGATCACTTGAGGTCAGGAATTCAAAACCAGCCTGGCCAATATGGTGAAACCTCATCTCTACTAAAAATACAAAAATTAGCCAGGCATGGTGGTGCACGCGTGTAGTCCCAGCTACTTGGGAGGCTGAGGCAGGAGAATCACTTGAGTCAGGGAGGCAGAGACGACAGTGAGCTGAAATCATGCCACTGCACTCCAGCCTGGGCAACAGTGAGACTCCATCTCAAAAAAAAAATTGTGGATAATTCTGATGCAGTTAGAAAACAAAGCAGAGCTTGACAGCCACTGGGCTGGGACGTATATCAAGAAGACATTTGATTATGTAAAATAACTGCAAAACAAACTGAAGGGGAATTATTTTAAAATGCTTGAATATAATTATATAATTCAACTCTTCCTATGTACATAGTTTGACCACATATTTCATGTCTGCTATACTAAGATTGGAAATGTGTAGAGGTTTTTTTAAAAATCAGGTAGAAGCACAGAAAAAAGGAGTTGGAGAGAAAAGAAAACTAGCTATTGTCTGGTAACAAGAGAAGAGAAGGGAAACGAAGTAGTATATTTTTGTTCATTGTTTGATGGCATCTAAATTATGATCCCAAATATTTTTTTCTAAGAAATCCAATAATACAAGTATTCAGAGTGGAGTACCAACATTGATTTACTGGGAAAGAGAAGTGTACTCTGTTTTGCTGCATAATGTTGAGGGAGAAGGAAAGGAAAATTAGTTGAGTAAACAAGTAAGAGACTGGTTCTCAGGGAAGCTGTCTGCCTGAAAAATCACAACTACTGCACCTACAGGTAAGCCCTGCACAGATGAGCATGCAGGGTCCAGCACAGAAGCCTTCTGTTCTTTGTGTAATTGGCAAGCTCCCAGGAAAAATTTTCCTCTCTTTTTCAGGCATAAACATGGTGGCCTCTGTGGGAACATGCACAGGGAGGAGGGGAGCTTACCTAAAACAAACCCACAGTTATATAAACAAGAGAAGCCCACTTTGTGCTTGACTAGAGACATACCCACAGCTGGTTATATAAAGGGAATTGTGCAGACAGTTTTTTATACATAGCTGAGAGGAGTTTCTTATAAAAGCTTTTTGATTCAACTGTAAAAACGGCAATCCACTTGGACGCCCTTGTCTGCTGCAGAGAGCTTCCTCCTTTTGCTTATTAAACTTTCACTCCCACCTCACCCGTGTATCCCCGTTCCTTAATCATCTCGGTGGTGAGATGAAGAACTCCAGGTGATACCTCACAAGAGAGACTGCTACATTGTGTTGCCTTGGCGAGACTGCAACTTTAAGAAGTGTGACTTTTATTGCTGCTGAATTATTTTATCTCCTACCCAATTGAAAATAAAGGATATAAAGTGCTTAGGTTGAACCCAAAGTCCTCTGCTCTAGGTAACATCTTCAGCAGCCACATTAGTAGAGGGATGGCTGGTAATGGTGGAGTAGATGTCTGTTTGCTTCTGACAGGGTGTCTGCTTATGTGTTAAACAAAAGAGTATGGTATATATTTCATTAAGAAATCTGCTAAAAAATGAAGTAAAACAGGTTCATCTTCTTGAAAGGCACAGTATTTGCTATGGCAGCAAGACCAAAAGGCTTAAGTAGCAAAAATGCGCGTAGTAGTTACAAACATTTTCATATAAACAAAACAATGTGAGCATCTGTATATGACAATAACTCATGCAAAAAATATTTTTTAACTGAGACAGAAATCATTTTATACATAACAAAAGTTATCACTGTATTCTGAGGTAACATATTGTTTGTATATAGATGTTGTAAATAATAACTTATTTAAGTTATTCATCATTTATACAACAAATAATTCTTTGGAATCTACAAAATGCTGGTTTTGTTCTAGGTACTGAATGTACAAATTGATTTAAAATATGTGTTCTTAGAGTGCGGTAGATTAAAAAATACAAAATAGACTGAACACAGTGGCTCATGCCTGTAGTCCCAGCAGTTTGGGAGGCCGAGGCAGGTGGATCACTTGAGGTCAGGAGTTCGAGACCAGCCTGACCAACATGGTGAAACCCTGTCTCTACTAAAAATACACAAGTAGCCGAGGGTGGTGGCACATGCCTGTAGTCCCAGCTACTCAGGAGACAGAGGCAGGACAATCGCTTGAACCCGGGAGGTGGAGGCGGCAGTGGGCCGAGATTCCACCATTGCACTCCAGCCTAGGCAACAAGAGCAAAACTCTGTCTAATATATATACATACATTTTGTATATATACATATGTGTGTGTATATATATACATATATGTATATATGTATATGTATTATATACATATATATCTGTCTAATAAATATACACATATACATATATATACACACATATATATTAGAGGTTGTACTGCTGAAAACAAGAGCTATTAATAAAAAAATTTCAGGAAACTGTGATTATTTTCAATAGAAGTGGATATTTTAATACAGGTCTCTTGTTTTTTCTTGTGGAAATAAATGACAAGATGGAATTTCTGGGTGTTTGGTATCTGAATATTTAAGTATAGCAGGTATGGTCAGTTTTTCAAAGGCATTTTACCATCTTACTTGTCCATCAGCAACTCATAAGATATTATGTGGAACAACGTCCTCTCCAACAACCTCTAGTATCAGTCTTTGTAAAGTTTTTCAATTAAATGTGTGTTTTTTTGTTTTTGTTTTTGTTTTTTGAGACAGTCTCACCCTGTCACCCAGGCTGTAGTGCTGTGGTGTTATCTTGGCCCACTGCAGTCTCTGCCTTCCAGATTCAAGTGATTCTCCTGCCTTGGCCTCTCAAGTAGCTGGGACTACAGATGCCCCCCACCACACCCAGCTAATTTTTGTATTTTTAGTAAAGACAGGGTTTCACCATGTTGGCCAGGCTGCTCTCAATCCTGACCTCAGATGGTCCACCTGTCTCAGCCTCCCAAAGTGCTGCGATTACAGTCATGAGCCACCGCACTTGGCTGGGTTTTCGTTTTCTTTCTTTTATATATATATATATACACACACACACACACACACACACACACATATATGTATATATACACGTATATGTATGTATATATGTATATATACACGTATATGTATGTATATATGTATATATACGTATATATATATATATACACACACACATACTTTAAGTTCTGGGATAAATGTACAGAATGTGCAGGTTTGTTACACAGGTATACATGTGTCATGCTGGTTTGCTGCAAAATGGGTGTCAGTTTTGCAGGTAATTGTTATATTATTAAAAGATAACGGAATACCTAGCTAAAAAAAATGCGAGGAGGCATTGATGGGCCCATGTTTACTGAGCACATCCTGACTCCAGAATTAGAAATCCAATTTATGCCTCTGCAGTCCAATAAAATTTTTCCTTAAGAATCCAAAGATCAGACTTTCATTTCAGCAAACACTCCAATATGGTTTCTCACCTACTCACTCCAACGAAGCTGCTCGTATCAAAACATAAGTGCTATCCATATTGTTAAATTATAAATTGAACCATAACTCCTCGGATTTCATCTTAATTTATGTATCAGCAGCATTTCACATGGTTGATCTCTACCTCCCCTTTGTAAAACTTTTTTTATAGAATTCCAGAAAACTTAACCTACTTTCCCTCCACCATGTTTTTGATAATTACCCCTAGTCCTTTTTTGCAGGTTTCATCTTTAGTATTTTTTAAATGTTAGAGGATGATTAGGCTCACGACTTTGACTGCTTATCTTTCTTTGCTTTCTTACTGATTTTTGTGTCATTAATTTCCTGATATTTCATATTACACCTAAACACTGGACACTACACACAACACTCCCTGACTTATCCATGTGGATGTCAGTTAGGAATCTCAAAATTAATATGTCTATGTGGAGCCACTGAAACTCCCCAAATTTGCTCTTCCCCATTCTGTTTAATGGCAACTCCCATTGTATAGTTTCTCAGCTCAGTATTCTTGGTGCCCCCTTTTAATTCTGTCTCTGTAGCCCTGTCACTCTCTTTCTGTATCTGTCTGATTCTCTCCTTCTCTCTCCTCTCTCTCTGCTCGCTGTCATTCTTGCTCTCTCTCCCTGCTTCACACACACACAAACACACACAGACAGACACATGTACACACACACACACACACACACACACACACACACACACACATATTTTCAGATCTGATGTGTATGGAATTCCTGCCAGCTTTACCTTTAAAGTGTAGTAATTCCAAATGTTGTTTCCAAATTCACCTTCCCACCCCCACCACTTGGTAACTATAGTGCTTCCCTCACAAGGCCAAGTGCAGAGTTTTCTTGGGGAAATAATGAGAACTATTATACATTCTTGTTTCAAGGACCCTTAAAATTATAAGATTACCATATTTGATACTAATTTAAGCTTCTGTCATTGCCCCTTTTTCAATCCAGTCTCCACACAGCTACCACAGTGTGCAAGTAGAAGTCTCAGCCATATCACCACACTCCTGCTTTAATGTCCCTACTCCATTGCTTCTTTTCTCCTTCAGAAGAGTTTAAGCTTAATGAAGCTGGGCAACTTCACATATTTTTCCACGAGCTGGAGATCACTTGGTGTAAGGTAAGCGATCAGTAAATATTTTTAAATAACAGAATCCAGGAATAATAGTTTTGTTTCTTTGAGAGTACATTTACTTTTAAAAATCAAGAAAATAGATTGGTCAAGAGAATTCTGCTTGTTTTGATTTTGTTATCACTCGATTAGATTAACTGTGTTAGTATAAATGTCAGTTTGGAAAGCTATAAGCATTTCCTAAACTTTAAAATGAAAGGCATGGAATTTAAATATCTGCTCCTTTTATTTGAGCAACCAAAAACACAACTTTTTAAATATATTTTATGTATGTATGAAATCTAAATTTATTTTTCTCTCTTTATCCCTGAATACGTTTTAAAGTTATTCATGTCCTCATTTTTTATAATCCACTTTAGTAACATTTTAAAATATTTTTTCAACTTCATCAAGAATATCTTTGTGTTCCACTGAATAGCTTGCCAAATAATAAAACATTAGCAGTATAATTTCCTCATAAACATTATTTAATTTGTTTGGTTAACCATAGATTTCCTACTCTCAACTCATAATTTCATTCAAGCATAATATATTCTACTTGAGCTTTGCGGGGTTTTCATACCATGTATTTGTCATTGAAATTGGTTTTTGATATTTGAACCACTAGTTTTGAACCAACTGTATTGTTGGTTAGTCTGGTCTGTAGAATCTTTCTTTGTTTTGATTCTGTGGTTTATTCAATACAGAGTAGCTGTGCTACTGTAAATTTTGAGGTCAAAAGCTGAAAACATTTTATGTATTTTAAAACAAAGTGGATGGCATTTAAATATCTATTCCTTAAAATTTGGAAGAAAGGTTAACACCATATAAACCCAGAGCCTGTATTTTTAGATTAGTAGCATGTAGAACTTTTCAATTTCTTCTAAAGTTGAAAAAAATAAACATTTTGTATTCATAGAATGCTTGATAACAGAAGGTAAATACTTAATTTTCACTTAAAAGAAATTTGGTTACATTGAAAGGAAATTTGGCTAATATAAGTAAGTTAGATACATTTCTAATTAAAACAGTAATTTAAGATAAATAATGCTCAAAGAACCGTGGTCGTTGCATTTATTCCAGAGAGAGGACATTGATCCTGATCTGGCTGTAATAACATAGTAGGTAGAACTGCTTGCATGGACACCCAAGCAAGGAAGGGAAGCTGGTGTCTCAAGGGGTCCCCGCTGAGATGGAAAGGGGTCAGGGCCCAGACTGTTGATGTCACCTGGACCCAACCACCATGTCTCAGAAGAAGAAATGACCCTCCCGTCCTGGTGCCGCCCCAAACAAGGAGCTTAGCAGTGTTGCACACAGGATAGTCCTTGCAGGAGACATGTTTGACAAGCTGCTGAGGTGCCTGATGGGGCCAGGCTCTTGTCATGAAATGAGTTTGCATCCTGAGGAAGACTTTTTATTGGAAACCTGGCAGGGATCCAATTTCCCCTTTGTCTTAACCCCGTAGGATCACAGTAGACAGGGAGGAGGTCACCCAGCTGGCTGTTCCTGCTTGGCCCCCACTTCCCAGACCCTTCCAGGCAGGGAGAGCCGCTGAGCTCACTCCATGGGCTGCCCACATGGGGTCTGGACCCAGCCGCCCTCCTGTGCCTGGCAGGCAGCTCCTGGGCCATCAGAGGACCCATTGTGTGGTGATCAGTGGCCCATCGCCTGCCCTCGTGGTGGGTGCAGTTCACAGGTGCTGCCCCAGGCCTGGCACAGTGGCCTTTTCAGCCTGTCCCAGGATAGGGGACATGAATGATCCTTGCCTGTGCCCCTTCGGACTACGTGAGTTTGGACACTCACTGCAGAAGTCCCTCCAGGTCCCTTTTCAACTGAGTTGTGGGGGACTTGCTTAGTCCTCACGCCCAGGGTCAGGAGAGGGGTGCAGAGTCTGCACCCTAAATCCCCTAGGGCTAGAGGGAGCTCTCCCAGGTGACCTCTGTCCTGTTCAGTGACATGAGTCCTCCCAGATGACCTCAGCCCTCTCAGGTGACATGCTTCCATGGTGACTCTGGCTCTTGCAGGAAGTGGGCTACCACAGGGACATGAGCTGCCTAACTGCCATCCTCCTCCTGTATCTGCCAGAGGAAGACACCTTCTGGGCACTGGATCAGCTGATGGCCGAGGAGAGGCACTCCCTGCAGGGTAGGCGGACAGCTTCCCCCAGGGCCTCACGCAGCCAGGCCATGGGACGGCCACCCTGGCTGGGCGATCCTGACTTCTGGGCAAGGCAGCTTCCTTGCTTTCCAGCTTGTTAGGAGCCTTCAAGACATCCCTGCTGAGGGTCCCACGGGAGCCCAGAGCTGAACAGGGACCCTTTCACTTCAAGGCAGACACCTTTCATCCCCAACAGCAGAGGGTGCTGCAGCCTCCCCCTGGCCACCCTGTGTGTCCCAGAGCCACAGCTCTCTAGCCCTGAGTTCATGCAGGTGACTGTCACTTCCCCAAGAGTCCTCCTACCTCCCAGCTGGCCACACTCCCAGCTGCTCCCCCAGCCCACAGATGGGCCAATGAAGTCAAGATGGCAGTGTCTGCCCATCCCATGTCCCCCAGCCGGACCCCATGTCCGGGAGATGGCCATGTAGCCCCTCGGCACCCACCCCGTTCCCTCCACTGGCCACTGCCTGCCGCAGCCCTGCCTCACAGCCTCAAAGGCAGGCCTGCCCTCCGGGCACCTCTACCCAGGATGCTGCTGTGCAGTGCCTCCAGCTAGGGCCCATCTCCCTAGAGCTGAGGCCACATGGTAGGGTCACCTGATGGAAGGGAGGAAGGCCTCAGGGTCCGGGGTCCCCTGCCACTGCCCAGCTCTTCCAGCTGACGGCTCCACATCTTGGGAGTGGGCTCTGATGCATGATGGGTCAGGGGCTTCTCAGTTTTCTACAGCCCAAATACTGCCCAGCTCCGGAGGCTCCTATCCCACCAGGAGCAGGTATAACACAAATCCTCCCCAAAGATCATGCGGTACCTGCTGAGTGGAAGACACCCTCAACTCTTTCCTAGAGGCCCAGGGTTCCATGGGGCAGGGAAACAGGGAAAGATGGAGCTACTGGAGGGTCTGACAAGAGGCTGAGTCCCAGCCAGGGCCTCGCCCAAGGTGAGGATTCTCCATGGGTTTGGGGTTGGGTTTTCTTTTCCTGCCCTGGAGGAGGAGGCAGAGGTACTAGGATGGGGGCTGAGCTCCAGCTGAGCAGGGTTAAAGGAAGTGTGTCCACCAGGCATCTGTGCATGGGGGAGTTGTTGGGGAAGCACTGGCCACTGCCCAGTGTTCTGCCCCCGGGCAGCTCAGGGGGCCCTGAGCACCTATGGTCCAGGAAGGGCCGTGCATTGAGGTTTATTGAGTTGGCTCCTCTGGTGCTTCGTTGATGGGGGTAAGGAGGCAAATGGAGACCCCAGGCCAGGGACCCTCCTGTCCCACAGTGCCCAGTTCCCCCAGGAGGACCTGGCTCACCCCAAGCCCACAGGAAGCACAGGGAAGTTTCTGCATGCCACAGAAACCAGGCTCTCCCCAAGAGGGGGCATCACACAGCAGGGGCCAGGCCTCAGGCCCAGTGCTATTTTCACATTATTCATTTTATAAGGTGATATGGTTTGGCTGTGTTGCCACCCAAATGTCATCTTGAACTGTAATTTCCATAAGCCTCATGTGTCACGGGAGGGACCCAGTGAGAGGTAACTGAATCATGGCGGCAGTTTCCCCCATGCTGTTCTCATGATAGTCAGTGAGTTCTCATGTGATCTGATGGTTTTATAAGCATCTGGCATTTCCCTTTCTTGAGGTGATGAATGCCCCATTTATACCCTGATGTGATTATTACACATTGCATGCCTGTGTCAAACTATCTCATGTACCCCATAAATATATACACCTACTATGTACTCATAGAAATTAAAAATAAAAATAAATTTAAAATAAACAGTGGGAGCTTTTAAAGGTGAGGTTTGCCCTCCAGCACTGGTCCCTGACAGGTGTGACCTTCACGTCATCTTTCCACATGATCCAGGCCCCCATCTGCAGAGGCCAACAGTTCCCAGAGTGACCTTCCTCAGAAAACAGGGTCTTGGAGGAGACAGAGGAGGGGGCCTTGTCCTCCCCACTGCACAGCCCCTCGTGGGGATTGGAAAGTGAGGGTCTCTGCCCACAAGTTGGCAGCCACCCTAAGCTCTTTTGTGGGAGGAATCATAGGGAATATAGGTCAGCGCTGGGACAGCATTTCCTGATCCTGACTTGGAGAAGGTGTTAAAATCTTGACATTCCCGACTCCTCCTTTGTGAGAGCCCCTGCTCTGCAGGTCTCACAGGGTTGTTGTGAGGGTCACCTGTGGTGATGGGTTTGGAAGTGCTTTGTGAATGACACAGTGGGCCTTCCCATTCCTGTCATTGGCCATTCGACCTTCAATACTAATTGCCTGGGGATCTCCAGGCCCCAAGGTCTAATCCTGGAAGGGTATGAGGTGTCCCTAGTGGAATATTCTACACCTCCTGGGAGGTCCCTCACTTCCACTTTCACCCAACATAACCCCTGCTCCTGTTCCCTCAGCCTGGAGAGCTTGCCCAGGAGCACAGGGTAGTACTGGACTGACCTCTTTGGAAAGGGTGATTACATCCTCATTTCAGCTCTCCCTCTTCCTAGCTTTCCACATAGAATTCCAGGGCTCCATGCAGCATTTGCTGGACATAAGAGGGAAAACTTTTAGGGCAGGGATCTGCCCTGGGTGGGGACAGAGGAGTATCGTGGAGTCTGGGTGTCAGGAATGTGAGCCCTGCCCAGCTGGCCAGCCCCTGTCCCCATGCTGCTCCATGCATGATGTTTCCTGCACAAGCTTCCTTTAGAGGGAAGCTTCCAGAGTGACTGCAGTGAGGTCCATGCTGTTGGGGGTGACAGAGCAGCCCTGGAGGTGGCCAAAGAGAAGCAGGCAGAGGAAGCTTCTCCAAGCAGGCTTGGAAAGAAATTTCCGCATATCACTTACGTCACTCTTGCCACTAGAAGGACAATTTTTACGGTGGAGTGGAAGAAAATGAATATGCTGTGGGAGAGAATGGATCCATCCAGAAGAGCAAGGCGGGAGGGGAAATGAGCCCATTGCCAGAATTTTGCGTCTTTTGAAGACATTTGCCAGAATTCTACTTTTGAAGGCTGCCCCTTTTGACAGTCAGTTACTGAAGAAGCTGTGGGACATTTTCAAAGCCTTTTATATTAAAAAAAGACACAACATACTGCTGTGGGTCTGTGTGCAGGGACCAGGAAGGGCACAGCTGCCACGGTTCTGTGTCGCAGATGCTGTGGGAAGTGCCTTAACACACACAGATGTGCTTCATGCAACCGGGTGAGGAACATCTCTAAAACAGTTTACAGTCAAGAAAATTCAGTGCCAAGTAGGTTGAATTCGTTATCCAAGATCACACATATGTCCTGACAGATTCGGGGTTCAATGAAGAATTATGTATCATGAATTATAGGGCTGTATTTTAATTTTGCATTTTAAATTCCTGCAGTTTTCTTCCATCACTTTTCACCATGCATTGTATACTTGGAATTGCTTTTTGTGGCTTCTTGATCTTCTTTACTTGTATGTTATTGATTTTCTACAAGTTTAAACATATATGATTAAAGAGTATTTCTTAATGTTTTAATAATTACCCTAGAATAAAATATATTTACTTTGATAGGTGTATGTGTTGGATATTACAGTGTATTGTGTACATTTTCAAACACATTGTGTTATACCGGAAGCATTATTCAACAGTGGTCTTTTTTTTTTTTTTTACCTGAACTATGTCCAGAAAATCTTTACACCACAGTACAAAAAGATCGATTTCATTTTGTTAACAGATGGATGTGCCATAGTGCAATTAACTGTTTAATTATCCTGTTATCCTGTTGTGGACATTTAAGTTCAAACAATGCAGTAATAAACATGCAAGAGTGCTTTCAGACATTAAAGAATATGGCTCTAATTTAGGGACCTAGTGCCTGTAATCCCAGCACTTTGGGAGGTCGAGGTGGGTGGATCACCTGAGGTCAGAAGTTTGAGACCAGCCTGGCCAACATGGCAAAACCCCGTTTCTACAAAAAATACAAAAATTAGCTGGGTATGGTGATGCGCACTTGTAGCCCCAGCTACTCGGGAGGCTGAGGTAGGGCAATTGCCTGAACCCACGAGGCGGAGGTTGCAGTGAGCTGAGATCATGTCACTGGACTCCAGTCTGGGGGACAGAGTCTCACTCTGTCCCAATAATAAATAAATAAATAAATAAATAAATAAATAAATAAATAATCTAGAAGTACAATTGCTTAGCCAAATTGCTTATGCATTTTGAATGACGAGAGTTGCTGCCTAATTTCTGTTACAAAGGCTATGGTAATTTACACTCAAAACGCAGAATTGGTTGGTTGTTGTTACATACGGAGTCTTACTGTTGCTGAGACTGGAGTGCAGTGGTGTAATCCTAGATCGTTGTAGTCTCCAACGCCTAGGCTCAAGCAATCCTCCCACCTCAGCCTCCCTCCCAAGTAACTAGGATTACAGGTGCATGCCATCACACCCGGCTAATTTTATTTTTAGATATGGGATCTTGCTATGTTGCCCAGGTTGGTCTTGAAATCCTGGCCTCAAGGTGACCTCAGCCTCCAGTGTAGCTGACATTACAGGCATGAGACACTGTACCTGGCTGAAGAAGTGCCTCTATCCTGACACTTGTGTCCCCACGGGATCCTGCAGAATTCAGAACCCTGTCCACACAGGGGAAAACTCTCTGTTGCGGTCCTGATGACTGAGGAGGGAGCTTACCCATGGCTCTCCTGGTCATTCTTATTTAATAGTGAGCGCAGAACCTCACATCTTCTGGAATGTTCCCATATGATTTTGTGAGAGAAAAGAGAATAGAGACCCCAACCCCAAGCTCACTGTGTCAAAGGGAAAATTAAGCTTGGGAACTGAGTTACGCAATACTGCCTTCCTTGTTCTCAAACACATAGCTATAACTTCACAACCCTGTGTCATAGCCTCATCCATAAGCCAGGTTCCCACAGTGACAGAAGGCTGCATGTCTCCTCAGATGTCCTCCCTCACAATTTGCTGTGAGCCCCTAAATCTTTCAGAATGCACATCCCACCTATAAACTAGCCCTAAAAGTGAGTGGGCTCAATTTCACCCTGACGGTCTCAATTACCAGGTTATTTTCATAGTTCTGGGACAAGGTCAGGACCAGAAATCATCCCTCTGCCTGTCCTGAGATGAATGAATCGTTGGCTTTTCCTCTACTCCACTCCCTCTATTCACATGCTTACTTTATCTTATGTAAAATGAAGATTTACTGAATGTGAGATGAACGCATAATTAACTGTTTCCTCTGCTCCCTCCTTTCCCATGTAAAATGTAGATATCCTGATGCTAATCAGAGCCACACAAGAATGCAAACATTTGCTTCACTGCCTACCTTCAGTCTCACGGGAGTTCTCTGGATTTCTTGTATCAGCTGGTGGAACTCTCTAGCAAGATTGAGGACACTTTCCTGAATTATATCCTCAAAAATGTTTTCCAAGTTGCTTACTTTCACTTCTTCTCTGTTAGAAATGCCAATAAGTCAGCCAGGCACAGTGGCTCATGCCAGTCATCCCAGCACTTTGGGAGGCCAAAGTGGGAGTATCACCCGAGACCAGAAGTTTGAGACCTACCTGGCCAGCATGGCAAAACCTCATCTCTACTAAAAATACAAAAATTAGCCAGGCATGGTGGCATACGCCTGTAATCTCAGATACTTGGGAGGCTGAGGCACAAGAATTGCTTGAACCCAGGAGGTGGAGGTTTCAGTGAGCCAAGATCATGCCACTTCACTACAGACTGGGTAACAGTGTGAGATTCTGTCTCAAAAAAAAATGCCAATAGTAAGTCATAGATTTTGTTCCTTTACATAATCCTATATTTCTCAAAAGTGTGGTTCATTATTTTTAAATTCCTTTTTTATTTTTGTCTGACTGGGTTGATTCAAAGGTCTGGTCTTTGAGCTCTTAAATTAGTTCTTCTATTTGGCCTAGTCTGTTGCTAAGGCTGCCAACTCTTTTTGAAATTCCTATAGTAAATTTTTCAATTCAAGAAGCTCTGCTTGGTTCTTTTTCAATATAGCTATCTTGTCATTCAAATCCAGGATCGTTGTTATGGGGTTGTTGTTGGATTCCAACTTTCTGTTGGATTTTGGTGAATTTTTTTGCCACTTATATCCTGAATACTATACAAGTCATTTCAGACATTTCATTCTGGTTAGGACTCATTGCTAGTTTGCTGGTGTAATCCTTTGGAGGTGATGGAAAATTCTGGCTTTTTGTATTGCCAGAGTGCTTGTGCTGGTTTCTTCTCATCTGAGAGACTTGATGCTTCTTTTGTTGAATTTGATATCATTTGGAAGGAGTTTTTTTTTTTTTAATTTTTCATTCTGTCTTTCTCTTAAGGGTGTGACTGTGGTGTATGTTGTATAGGATCAATTTGCTTCATTTCTGGGTACTTTCAGAGGACCAATGCTCTGTACAAGTTCCTTGGTTGTAGATAGGCTCCTGTGGTGGCTTGGTGTGGTGATGTATCTTTGTTTGGTGGTGTAATTCAGGCTTCAGTCCAGTAGACAGTGCTTAAGAGTAACAGCTGGCTGCAGGGTCTTCTCCTCTGTGTACTTGTCCTCGACAGGTGCAGAAGTGACAAAGTGCCAAAAGCACCCTGTCCCCATGTGTACTAGTCTTCAGCAGGGGCAGAGCTGCTGGAGAAACCTAAGAAGCAGCCTCTTTCAGCCCACGTTCCTTGGGCCCCAACAGGATGACCACTGCTGGGTCTGCAGCAGTGCACTAGGAAGGTGACAGAGGGCAAGAGATGACCACCTCTCTACATCTGTTCCCAGGCTTTGGTGTGCCCCTTTCAGCAGCTGATGTCATGATCATGTTTCCTTTGACTCAAGGGCTGTGTTCGGCAAGCTGTATTCCTCCTTCCCTTAGGACTGGTCCTCACCAAAGTTTAGGTCTCCTGGGGAAACGGGTTCACCTCCCTCCTGTTTCTTGGAGCTGATGAGGTACTCTCTCAACTGACCAAGGGAGCAGGCTGGGACACCCAGCAATGACACACACAGACCAGTCCCAGGTTGCGAAACTGTTCTTGGCTGCAAGTCTCACCATCCCTGAGAAACCTCTGCTTTAGCAACTCTCTTCCCACTACAGTCCTGCAAGAGGAGAGAGCCTAATTCCAACACCTACTGCTGGGGCACTTTCCACACTCAACACTCAATTCTGGCTGTGGAGGCTGCTCCCCTGCTCCAGAGCAAGCACTTCAATTCCTAGCCCAAGATTAAAGTGTCTGCAGTGGCCACCATTGCCAGGCACCAAAGAATGATTGACTTTGTACGAGCCCAGATTAAAAATGGCATCCTTCTCTCAGTCCCAGGTCTGCGGAAATGCCTGCAGCTTTTCTGAGTGTCTTTCCTCTTTCCCCATCTCTCAGCCACTTTTGTGCCAGCTCTAAGCACATAAGTGCTTTCTTGGGAGAAACAGACTGCTCTCCCTTAATCTGGGTTGCACAGATCCCCAGTGGAAAGGTGAGTCACAGAGGGAGACTGGATGTTCTTCTCTCGTACTGCAGTTTCACTCCCTTTTATGAACAAAATGCTATCGCAGAGGCTGCTTTCCCACCTCCCCCTCCACAGGGTCTGGAGTGTTCTTCTCTATTCCTGTGAATTCCTATTTTTCTTCTTGAATTGAAGCTCACAAAGTTTATCTTTATGCTTATTTTTCTACTTCCAAGTGGCTGAGGCACACCGAAAGCCCCTAATCCATCATTCTAGGAAAAAAGGATGGTTTGAATAAAAGAATGCTCATATAAAATATATATTAATTAACCCAAACATATTTTGTTTGACATGAGTTAGGCGAATCTTTGATACATTAATTAAGTTTAAATTTGTTAAATAAAATTAGAAATATCTTCGAATTTGCCAAGGTATGTTTCTCTCCTGGGATTACTGGTCAGTTTTATTTTTTTCCTCGGATAGATGTTTTAAGCCATAAATCTTGACATAGACCTGATGTAGACCTCCATACCTTTCCCAGATGTGGGACGGAGCAACTGGGACAGGTCCATCCTAGCACTAAGGGATGATTAAGCCTAACTTGTAGTCGTTGTACAACTATAAACATGGTTGATGCTTTAAGAGAAAGATCTTGATGGAAAGGGGTAAATGTAAAAATTGATCATATGAATTGGGTCATTCTTGTCACACCAAATAAAACCATCAAGAAGCCAGGGGGAGGAGGCATTCAGGGCAAAAACACCACTCCAAGCACGTAATTCTCTGCATGCCTGGCTGCTGAAATTACCTGCTTTAAGCTGAAACCAGTTTTATCGAATGGTTACTGAAACAACCTCTTGCAACACTAAGACTAGTTTTACCCACCACTGTCCCTCACCTATCAGAGCCTGCCAGCTCTCAAAAACCTTACTGGTGCCAGTGAACTTTCTCAAAGAGAAATACATACCGTTTTTCTCTCTGTCTCCCTTTTTATAAAACCTCTAACTTTCTCTTTATGTTTCGGACATACTAAAGACACCCATTCTGCATGTATCTGTCAAATTGTAATACTTGTATCTCAAATAAAACATTTTAATTTCAGATGTTTGTCTCTACATTTATTTGGCTTTGACAATCTGATATTATGTAGCATTATTTCCAGTCTCCCAAATAATGTCAAAATTTTGTTATGTTAGATAGGAATATCTTGTTATTCAACTTGAAGGTAAACTGCTTGATTAATGCATGTAATTCCTTGACAGATTGTCAGCACCTCTAAGACAACATGTAGATATTGCTCATTATTAACTCATTTCATCTTTTCATGATAAATTACATAAATCTAATTTTCATTTTTAAAATGCAAGCCATTATGCCTTGTATTATGACATTCTTGCATTACTATAGAGGAATACCTAAGCACTACATAATTTATACAGAAAAGAAAGGTTGACTTGGCTCACAGTTCTGCAGGCTGTACAGGAAGCTTTGCATTGGCAGTTGCTTGGCTTCAAGAAGGGTCCTCAGGGAGGTTTTACACATGGCAGAAGGTGAAGCAAAAGAAGGTATGTCACATGGCCAGAGCAGGAGCAAGCAGGGAGAGGTGCCACACACTTTTAAACAGCCAGATGTCATGAGAACTCACTCACTCTTGCAAGGACAGTGCCAAGAGGATGGTACTAAACATGAGAAATCAGCCCTCATGACCCCATCACCTCCCACCAGACCCCAACTCCAACACTGGGAATTACAATTCAACATGTGACTTAAAGGGTACAACATCCAAACTATTTCATTCCATCCCTGGCCCTTCAAATCTCATGTCCTTCTCACATTGCAAAATACAATCATCCCTTCTCAATAGTCCCCCAAAAGTCTCAACCTGTTTCGGCATCACTCGAAAGTGCAGTTTCTTCTGAGACAAGGCAAGTCCCTTCCACTGATGCGCCTGTAAAATCAAAACAAGTTATTTACTTCTAAGATAAAATTTGGGTACAGGCATTGGGTAAACATTCCCACTACAAAAGAGAGAAATTGGCCAAAAGAAAGGGGCTACAGGCCCCACACAAGTTCAAATCCCAGCAAGGCAGTCATTAAATCTCGAAGTTCCAAAATAATCTCCTTTGAAACCATGTCCCACATCCTGGGAACATAGAGCATTCCCAGGATGCACAGGGTGGGCTCCCAAGGCCTTGGGCAGCTCTGCTCCCACAGCTTTTCTACACTGAAGACATGAGCTGCTGGTGGCTCTATCATTCTGGGATCTGGAGGGCAGCAGCCCCCCTCCCACAGCTCCACTAGGCAGCCCCCGCCCCCCCAGTCAGGACCCCGTGTGGGGCCTCCAACCCCACATTTCCACTTGGCACTGTCCTAGAAGAGGTCCTCTTTGAGGGCTCCAGCCGGGCATAGGCTTCTCCCTGGGCATCCAGCCTTTCTCATACATCCTCTGAAATTTAGGCAGAGAATGACAAGCCTCCTTCACTCTTGCACTTTGCTCACCTGCAGGCTTAACACCACATGGAAGCCACCAAGGCTTATAGTTTGCACCCTCTGAGGCCATGGCCTGAGCTCATCTGGAGCCCTTTGAACCAAGGCTGGAGCTAGAAGGGCCAGGATGCAAGGAACTCCCTCCTGGGGGTGGTACAGGGCAGTGGTGCCCTGGCCCTGGTCCAAGCGGAACAGGAATTAAAAGAAATTAAAGAATGTGTAAGCAGAAACTCAGTTGTATGTAAGAAAACCCAAATCCCCCCTGAGAAAGAGAAAGAGCTGGAGCCCTTTAAAAATTAACTGCCTGTTTTTCTGTGGCTAGTGAGCCTCATCTCTCTTCCTTTCCCAGGCATTGTGAAGACTCTATTTCTCTAGCTGTGCAGCTGCAAGGTCACTAGACAGATAAACTCAAGTCGTAAAACATGTTTTTCCTTGAAAAGTAAGAAATGATATAATGCATGTCTCAATTAATTGAATAACTGTCTTTGTTTCTCGCTTCTGTAATATGCTTCCCCCTGCACAGATCTCCCCACTCCCCACCACCCCACAAAATGCTTAAAAGGTAACTTAAGTCTTTGTTCAGGACTCAGTCCTTTGGATGTTAATCTGACTGGGCTGGTGCACCTAAATAATAAATACCCTCCTCAACCCCATCGGTCTCTCTGATTCCTTAAAAAATCCCGCTACAGCCTGGGCATGGTTGCTCACGCCTCTAATCCCAGCACTTTGGGAGGTCAAGGCGGGCAGATCACAAGGTCAGGAGACTGAGACCATCCTAGCTAAGACAGTGAAAACCCGTCTCTACTAAAAATACAAAAAATTAGCCAGGCATGGTGGCAGGCGCCTGTAGTCCCAACTACTTGGGGGGCTGAGGCAGGAGAATGGCATGAACCTGGGAGGCAGAGCTTGCAGTGAGCTGAGATTGTGCCACTGCACTCCAGCCTGGGTGACAGAGTGAGACTCCATCTCAGAATAAATAAGTAAATAAATTAATTAATTTTTAAAATCCCACTACACAGGAAACCATTCTTTCATCCTGGACCTCTAGGTCTCTGCTGGGATGAGCTGCTGCAAAGATTTCTGAAATGCCTTCAAGGCCTTTTTTTAATTGTCTTGGCTATCAGCACCTAGCTTTTTTTCAGTTATGCAAATGTCTCTAATAAGTGGTTGCCTGTTTAGTGCCACAGCCTGTTTAGATTCTTCCCCTGAAAATGCTTTACCTTCCTTTGCCAAATGGGCAGGCTGCAAATTTTCTATACTTGTATGGTCTGCTCTTCCCATTTAATTGTAAATTCCAACTTTAAGTCATTTTTTGCTCCTGCATCTGAGTGTTCAAACTTCCTCAGATCCCTAGTACATGAACAGACTGCAGCCAAGTTCTTTGCAAAGGCATAACAGGCATGACCTTTTTTCGAAGTCCCAGTAAGTTCCTCATTTCCATCTGAGACCGCATCAGCCTATCCTTCACTGTCCATATCACTATCAGCATTTTGGTCACAACCATTTAACTAGTCTCTAAGACATTCAGAACTTTCCTTCATCTTCCTGTATTCTGAGCCTTACAAACTCTTCCAACTCCTGCCCGTTGCCTAGTTCCAAAGTCACTTCCACATTTTCAAGTATCTTTATAGCAATGCCCCATGTCTCAGTACCAATTTTCTTGCATTGCTATAAAGAAATACCTGAGACTGGGTAATTTATAAAGAAAAGAGGTTTGAAAAGAAGTTTGTATAGCTGCAGGCTGTACAAGCATGGTTCTGGCATCTGCCTAGCTTCTGGTGAGGCCTCAGGAGGCTTTTATTCATGGCAGAAGATGAAGAAGGAGCAGGCAGGCACATCACCTGGCAAGGCAGGGGAAACACCACACACTTTTAAACAAATAGATCTTGCAAGAATTCACTCACCATCACAAGGACAGCACCAGGGAGATGATGCTAGACCATTCCTGAGAAATCCATCCCCATGATCCAATCACCTGCCTCCAGACCTACCACCAACGTTGGGGATAACACAATGCAACATGAGATTTAGAGGGAACAACATCTGAGGTATCTCATGCCTCATGTTGTGACTTTTATATGACTTCCGTAAGATTACACTGACTTTACACATCATATTGCAGTTTTTGCTAGCTCTCCTGTAATAAGAAAATGGGATTCATCAGCAATGCCTTCTAAGTCTGGCTCTGTTTTCCCATGCAGACTTTTCCCTGAGCTCTGCTTGTAAGTCTTGCTAGAACCCCACCCTAGGCAGCAACCCCCAGTCTGAGATTGCCCTTGACAGTGGCTGAGGTTTGCATTGTTGGGATTAGAAAAAACAAAGGGAAGATAGACCAAAACAGATTTAAATGCAGATCCCATTTGTTGAAGTTTTAAGTAATTTTAAATGTTTATTTTCACCAGCTTCCCACTCCCTTTGTACTCTCCTCACCCAAAAAAGGTGACTTGATATTCTAGTAAAAAGCCAAACTGTGCTTTAGAGAAACCCACTTGTTACTTCTTCAAATCCATATAATTCTGCCAAAGTGAATTTTTCTTAATATGCTCTGGCAGGATCAGAAAACTAATTATTTACACTAGAGTCACTTAACCTTTCCTCTTGGTCATTTGCATGTAAATTATTTTTATATGTATAAAATTTGCTTACTCATGAAAGCTCTTAACTATGTATATTTTTTGTTTTTGTGGTATCTTAACATATTCTAGTCTTGTCTTGAATTCCATAAGATTTTGGGGTAAAGAACTCTATTGCAACAAGTTTCCAAATCAAAGTGGGAAAGAGGAACATTAGGTTAAGCATTAGGTCATCAGGTACGTAGGACAGCTAATACCATTATCAGAATGGTAGTGATAGCCAGTTTGCATTTTGCATATTAGTTGTAACAAAAATATTCAGCATATTAGTGACAAAACCAAAGTTATTGTGAATCAGTTTGTAATTTATTTTTTGAGATAGGGTCTTACTCTGTCACCCAAGCTCAAGTGCAGAGGCGTGATCTTGGCTCACTGCAGCCTCAACCACCTAGGCTCAAGAGATTCTCCCAGCCCAGCCTCCTTAGTACAGGTGAGTGCCACCACACCCAGCTATTTTTTCTCTAGTTTTTGTAGAGATTGGGTCTCACTTTGTTGCCCAGGCTGTTCTCAAACTCCTGGGCTCAAGCAATCCTTCTGCCTCAACCTCCCAAATGGTGCTGGGATTACAGGTTTGAGCCACCGCACCTGGCCAGTTTATAATGTTCATAATGGCTTTTGGAGCAGGAACCAGTGGGTGCTGCTTCTTGTCTGCAAGATGAGGAGCCTCCTCTCCCCAGAAGTGAGGCATCTTTTACCACAAGGGAGGCTTTGCCCAAACAGTCACCGAAAGGCTGAGATTGGGGAGAGAAGAAAACAGGAGTGAATATTTCCCTGGAACCTAACTGCTCCCCAGTTCAATTCTACTGCAGACATTCAGAATGAAGGGGACATTCAGCTGAGGAACAGGAGTGCACTGGCTGTTAAAATCTCAGATTGTAACAACAATTTTGCTTCATTTTCCCTAAATAACTTTTAAACAATTGTTCTTAGGTGGTTTTCTAAACTTCGGGTAATATCTGTGAATTAGTAAATATTCTTTAAAAGATGAGATAATATTTTTATTTTGTTTAATTATATGTGTTCTTAAACTAATTTTGTGGGAAAAATAATTTCTTTCCTTCCCTGTTATACCAAATACAGTCTTTAGCTCAAGACACAAGTAATTCCAGGAAAACTGGAATTTAAGTTCAATATGTTACACTAAGTATATTTGAAAGTGCATGCATTTTTATTTTAGTTTAAAAAATAAATTTGCTTTATGCCTAGAAAAATCAGCAGACCAGACCTCCCTGGATACGCCTTCTGCTGCACTCATCCTCTTGAATGCCCAGCTCCAGGGAGGTCCATCCCCAGGCCTGATGGCTATCCCCATCTCTTCATCTCTGATAACATTTTGGCTTGATTTGCAGCTCATACAGTGAAGGCTTTGTAGCCCTGGGAAATTTCTACTAAACAGAAAAGTGGTTTTGTGAAGGTCAAGTTTTTTCAGTTGTGGTGATGAAAAAACCAAATTCTGCCAAAGTATTTAGATAGCTTTATTCTAAGCCAATATGAGTGACCATGGCCTAGGGTTACACAGTCTTAAGAGCTTCTGAGAGAGAGAGCCCAAGGTGGTCAGCTTACAGTTTGATTTTGTACATTTCATGGAGACACAAGTTGCAAATTAAATTGTAAATCAATAAGTGGAAGGTATACATTGGTTCATCCTGAAAAGGCAAGACATCTCAACGAGGGGTCTTACAAGTCATAGGTGAGTTTTAGGAATTCTTTAGTTGACAGTTGGTCAAGGGAGTTAAACCATTGTGTAAAGACATGAAGTCAGTAGAAAGGAACACTTGAGTTAAGATAAGGGGGTCTGCCATGTGTTATGTGATGCTATCGCAGGGTCAGCTTGGAAAATAAGCCACATTATACCAGGTTAATTGAAAAAAAAATCACGAGATTTTATGGCTTGTGGAGTGTGAATCTCCAGGCCCCTTAGACAGGATTTTTGGCAAGAGAATAAAAGGTCAGAGTTGAGGCCTCAGTCCCCACTATTGGCCAAAGATCATTTTATGGAATGTATGTGAAGGCCAACAACCAGCAGGAAGTCCCACAATGCTAGGAAATCTCATTCCCAGGGTTGTTTATTTGGTCATCTGTCATTGGTGATGATAGTTTCAATATTAGTGAGTTCAGATCACAGAAGAAGGACACAATCTGACCTGATTTAATAGCCAATTGTTTAAGTGGTGAGAGGGAGTAAGGCCTAGGGTTCAATCTGAAAAGCCAACTGGATCAGATCTATCCTACAATTTATGATGATTTATGGGTATTTGATTGCATCCTTTTCTTTTCCTACAATAGGCATGGCATTGACAAGAGACATATAATGATAAAATAGCAATACATGTATAAAAATAGTGAAGATTGGGCATACAAGAAAGTTATAGATAGAATCAGAGGACAGTAAACAACACAACTAGCCAAAAAAGTCCCCACATGCATCATCATATTCTTTAATGAAACTTGCAACATGCATAGCTTCCTTGTCAATAGACTTTTGAAGTTTATGATCAATCTTATTTGAGGATTGTAGGACCAACACCAAATCAGAGTGCAGTAAATTTAATTTCTCTTCTGGCCAACTGGTCTCAATAAGGATAACATCCTGCGGGGGTGGAATAGGCCATCCTTGCCCTGCTATAAAGAAACTCCATGAGATTGGGTAATGTATAAGAAAAGAGGCTGTAATCCCAGCACTTTGGGAGGCCAAAGCCGGTGAATCATGAGGTCAGGAGTTCAAGACTAGCCTGGCTAACATGGTGAAACCCCATCTCTATTAAAAATACAAAAAATTAGCTGGGTGTAGTGGCAGGTGCCTGTAATCCCAAGCTACTTGGGAGGTGGAGGCAGGAGAATCACTTAAACCCGGGAGGCGGAGGTTTCAGTGAGCCAATATCGTACCACTTACTGCACTCCAGCCCAGGCAACAGAGTGAGACTCCATCAAAAAAGAAGAAGGAAAGATGAAAGAAAACAAAAAGAAAGAAAGAAAAAAAGAAAGAAAGAAAGAAAGAAAGAAGAAAGAAAGAAAGAGAAAGAAAGAAAGAAAGAAAGAAAGAAAGAAAGAAAGAAAGAAAGAAAGAAAGAAAGACAAAGAAAAAGAAAAAGAAAAAAGAGAGTTAATTGGCTCATGGTTCTGCAGGCTGTATAGGAAGCATAGTGCTGGCATCCATTTCTGGGGAGGTCTCAGAAAGTTCACAATTCTGGCAGAAGGCAAAGGAGGAGCAGGCATGTCACATGGTGAAAGCAGGAGCAAGTTTACTTTTTTGGCAGGGGCGGGGCTGCCACATACCTGTAAATGTCCAGATCTCATGAGAACTCAGAGCAAGAGCTCACTCATCACCAAGGGGATGGCCCAGGCCATTCATGAAGATTCACCCCCATGATCGAAACACCTCCCACTAGGCCCCACCTCCAAAACTAGAGATCACATTTCAACATGATATTTGGGCAGGGACAGATATTCAAACTCTATCGGGATGGTATGTGTTAGGCCAATCTTGCCTTGCTACAAAGAAATACCTTCAACTGGGTAAATATAAAGAAAATATGTTTAATGGGTTCACAAGCTTTAATGCAAGCTGTACAAGCATGGTGCTATCATCCATTCAGCTTCTGGGGAGGCCTCAGGGAGCCTTTACTCTTGGCAAAAGTTAAAAAGTGGGAGCTTCCACATCACATGGCAAAGCAGAAGCAAGAGAGAGAGTTGTGGGGGAGGTGCAACATCCTTAAACAGCAAGATCTCATGAGTACTCACTCACTATTGCAAGGATAGCACCAAGCCATGAGGTATCTGTCCCCCTGGCCCAAATGCCTCCCATTAGGTCCCACCACCAGCATTGGGAATTAAAATTGCATGAGATTTGGCAGGGACAAACATCCAAACTATATCATTCCACCCCAGGACAAGCCCCAAATCTCATGTTTTTCTCACATTGCAAAATACCATCATGCCTTCCCAATAGTCCTCCAAAGCCTTAACTCATTTCAGCATTAACTCAAAAGTCCCAAGTCCAAGTTCTCATCTGAGGCAAGGCAAGTCTTTTCCACCTATGAGCCTGTAAAATCAAAAACAAGTTATTTACTTCAAGACACAATTGGGGTACAGGCATTGTGGTACAGGCATTCCCATCCCCAAAGGGGTAACTTGGCCAAAAGAAAGAGGTTACATGCCCCACATGAGTTTGAAATCTACCAGGGCAGTCGTTAAATCTTAAACCTCAAAAATAATCCCCTTTGACTATGTGTCCCACATCCAGGGTACACTGGTGCAGGGGGTAGGCTCCCAAGGTCTTGGGCAAACTCTGTCCCTGCATCTCTGCAGGGTACAGCCCCCACAGCTGCTTTCAGGGGTTGGGGTTAAGTGCCTACAATTTTCCCAGGCACAGAGTGCAAGATGCCAGTGGATCCACTATTCTGGAATCTGGAAGATGATGGTCCCTTCTTACAGCTCCTCTAGAAAGTACCCCATTGAAGACTGTGTGGGGGTCCAACCCCACATTTCCACTTGGCACTGCCCCAGGAGAGGTTCTCTGTGATGGCTCCACCCGTGCAGCAGGCTTCTGCCTAAACACCCAGGCTTTCTCATACGTCCTCTGAAATATAGGCAGAGAATGCCAAGCCATCACTCTTGCACTCTGCATGCCCATAGGCTTAACACCACATGGAAGTTTCCGAGGCTTATAGCTTGCACCCTCTGAAGCAGTAGCCTGAGCTGTATCGGGGGTCTTCTGAGTTGAGACTGCTGCTGAAGTGGCCAGGATGTGGGGAGCAGTGTCCCGGGGCTGTGTGGAGCAGTAAAGTCCTGGCCCTCAAAAGCATTCTTTCCTCTTAGGCCTCAAGGTCTGTGATGTGATGGACTGCCATGGAGATCTCTGGAATGCATGTAAGGCCTTTTCCCCATTGTCTTGGCTATCAGCATCTGGCTTTCATTTTAATTATGCAACTCTCTAGCAAGTGTTTGCTCCACAGCCTGCTCAAATTCTTCTCCTGGAAAAAGCTTTTTTCTTTCTTTGTCACATGGCCAGACTGCAAATTTTCCAAATTTTTCTGGTCTGCTTCCTGTTTAAACATAAATTCCAGCTTTAAGTCATTTCTTTGCTCCTGGATCTGAGTATAGAAGCACTGAGGCCACACCTTGAATGCTTTCCTGCTTAAAAATGTCTTCCATCAGGCACCCTAAATCATCATTCTTAAGTTTGAACTTCCACAAATTCCTAGGGCATGAACAGAATGCAGCCATTTAACCAGTCTCTAAGAAATTTCAAACTTTTCCTCATCTTTCTGTCTTCTTCTGAGCCCCCCAAACTCTTCCAACCTCTGCCTGTTACTCACTTCCAAAGTCACTTCCACATTTTCATGTATCTTTATAGCAAAACACCACTCTTCAGTACCAATTTTCTGTGTTAGGCCATTCTTTCATTGCTATAAAGAAATACCTGAGGCTGGGTAATTTATAAAGAAAAAATGTTTAATTGGTTCACAATTCTACAGGCTGTACAAATGTGGTGCTGGTATCTGCTCGGCTTTCGGGGAGGCCTCAGGGAGCTTTTACTCATAACAGAAGGTGAGGCAGAAGCTTGCACATCACAAGGCAAAAGTGGGAGCAAAAGAGAGTGGGAGGGAGGTGCCACACCCTTAAACAACCAGATCTCACAAGTACTCATTCACTATTGCAAGGACAGGACCGATTCATGAGAGATCTGCCCCCATGACCAAAGCACCTCCCACAAGACCCCACCTCCAACACTGAGGATTATATTTCAACATGAGATTTGGACAAGGTCATTAAGTGCCTCTTTGCCACTGGGGAAATGCTGATCAAAATCAGTGCTGAGCAGTGGAGCTGACAAGTCCCCCTCGCAGACATTCTCGCTGCACTGGGTACGCATCTGCCCAGGAGTGGGGAACACAGGGGCTGGACACAAGTCCTCCTTCTGACACTGTGTATTCCTTTATGTAAAATGGGAGAAAGATACTTAGACCAGGACAGCTTCTCACGTCCCTTCCACTCCAAACTCCCTGACCTACGACCCGGTTTCCTGCATGAGGCCTGGTGTGTAAAAGGCTCCCCTCTGCTGTACCCATGTGGCTCTTTGCTTGCATAGAGGAGGAACAAAGGAGTGATTCTGGTTTCATAAAATAACTTATACAGTTGGCCTCCCTTAATTTGTGCGTGTCACTGGCAGCTGTTTATTGAGCACTGATGGGATGCCAGGCCCTGTTTCAGGCAGGATTGTCTTAGGTCCCCGTGTGCCAAAATCTACATTTTACAGGGCTTAACTACAGATTTCTACACCCTCCTAGTGATGTGATACCATTTCACCACTAATCTGAAAAGGGAGCTCCCTCTGTAGTCTGTGTTTGCCCACCTAGGACTTCGGGGGGCCCAGGGCTGCTTCCCCCCATGCTGCTCTGCTCCTCCAGGAGGCCCAGCCTCCCTGTAGGTGATTGGGAGAGAAAAGATTCCCTTGCGGTGACTCAGGTGAGAGGGCTCAGAGCCCTGCAGCCTGGTGCTGAACCCGGGTGTTAGTTCAGAAATCAAAGCCTGTGCTTTGAGTTCTTTGAGATTAAGCTCACGCAGGGTTACACAGCAAGGAGGGAGACTGGGGTTCAAGACCCAGTCCTGTCTTTTTGCTGCTCACAGGCTGGTGGGAAGAGACCATTACTGTTCCCCGCAGGAGCCCAGTAGCAAAGTGCCAGGACCCTGGACCTGTGTGGGGCCCTGGGATGCCCCCCCTCTCAGCAGGGAAAGCGGGCCTCAGTGGTGTGTGGTTTGCTCCCTACAGCAGCACCCCTGCAGAATCCTGGGGTGCGGTGTGCTTTCCTTGAGGGGAGGAGTGTTGAGGATTGCCTGGCTGCCTGGAGAAGAGGGTGAGAGGGGCAGCAAGAAAGGCAGGGTCTCCAATGGACCTTATTCCTCAGGCACTGGGAGCCCTTGTAGGTTCTTGACAAGAGGAAGAGCCATGTGAGGCAAGTGGACTTACCTGTGGGGTGTCTGGGTGATTTCTGCTCATAGTCGACTCTGAAGAAATGGTCAGAGATGAAAAGATAAGGTGTTTGGACAGCTGCCTGAACCCTGATGTAAAGAGTAGGATTCAAATATGACTCTGAAAAGGCAAGTGCCTGCAGGTCAGAGGGGAGGTGGGCAGGTCTGGCCAGCAACAGCCTTTGGAGCTGGGCCACCTGGACCCTCAGTCCAGCAGTCCCCAGGGAGAGAAAAGCTGGGGTGGATGGCACTTGCTGACTGCTTCCTTTGGCCCTGCCCCATGGGACACGCAAAGACTATGGGCTGATTCCAGCACAGCCCTTCAGGATGCACCCACTCTGCCAGTCCCCCTGAGGCAAATGCACTGACCCCTGACACCTGGGGCTGGTGCTGGCCACTCTGGACACAGTGCAGTGGGAGTGGGAGAAGGAGGCCCCCAGCAGCTCACTGGTTAGCAACTGACCTTGGTGTAAGAAGGGGCGCTCACAGACCGGGATGGCAGAGGCCATGTTTGCCACTGTCCTAAAGCCTAAAGCAGCCTGTGGAATGTGGGTGGGGTGAACTGGCTGAGTGGCTGTATCATAGGGCCTGTTGGAGAGAGTCCTTTGCTGAGGAGCAGAGGAAGGAGGCCATGGCAGTCACCCAGGCAAGGGAAGCTGGATCAAGTGGGTGGAGCAGTGGGGCAGCCAGGGCAGGAGCATGAGGAGGTAAATCCAGGTGCCTGATCTGAGGACCAGGCAGAGTAGCAGTGGACAAAGACACCAGGCCCTGAGTTGGCCACTTGCCCTCCAAGGGTCTGAGCTGGGCTTTTCAGCTTCCAGGGGTGTGGGAATTGCAGGGAGGGGTCTTCTACCCAGGGCCCTCACCCATGGCCAGGCCCTCTGGAAGAAGTGGGCAGCCCCTCTGCAGCCCAGGAGTCCACCCTCCCCAGGGAGCCAGCAGAGGCTGGTTGTAGAGAGGAGCTCTGGAAGTGAGGGAATGATGGACTTTCTGGGCTAACCCTATGTTCCCTCCCTCCTTCTGTGTCCTCTGTGCAGGCCACAGCCCAGGAAGCCAAGGCCCTCCTGGATGCAGGGCATCCTGGGAAGGGCACTGGGCTACTGACTACTGGCCATCCTGGCTGGTGGCAACAGTGCCTGTCACCTGCATCTGCTGGCTGCCTGATCAAACTGCATGAGTTTGGAGGCTTTGGGGGCCTGGACAATGTGCTGTAGGAAGGTTCAGGGGATGACAACCTCCCAAGATGGATAGAGACTTCTGCAATTGGGGTTGCCTGCTGCTGAGCCTGAAGGACAAGGTGAGGGCAAAGAGGCCTTTGCCCAGGCCCTTAAGCTGGGGCTCACTTTGGCCGAGAATAGCCTGTGCTGGGCCCCAACAGTACAGGTGTTTCTGTGTCATGGACAATGCTGCCTGGAGGAGCAGTGCTACACAGAGGCTTGGATGACAGCCGAGATCTTTCTCCTGGTGGACCCCGGTCACCATGGCCTGAAGAGGCTGAAGGCCAGAATCCAAAGAGAGGCATCGTCAGATTGCCAGCTCCACTGATGGGAGACAAACAACCTCTCAGGCCTAATCATAGGCCCACCCTAACATTTTCATCCAACGCCCAGGCTCAGGAATACACCTGGCTCCCTCAAACTGGGAATGTGCCAACCTGCCCTCCCAGCCTTTCCAGCCCCAGGGTGGGTCGGTGCTGGACAACCAGCCTCATACCTTTTTGTCTTGGGAAGCAAAGGGGCAGCTTCCTGCTTACATGGAGGGAATGTCCTAGGAGACTTACAGTTTCTTCTACCATGAATAACCTCATCCTTGAAGTTGGAGCCCTCTTGACCCATACCTGGGGTTCAGACCCAGAAGCAGCATCCCCGGGCCTTGTTCCTGACCTGGAATCCTGCAGGATGGAATTTAGGCCCCCACCCTGTGGCCCTTGAGGAGGTAGTGCCATGCCCTCCTTGGGCATGAAGCTGACTTTGATTTTGATCCTGGCCTGAGCCTAGGGCCAGCGTGCAACAGAGCCTAGGAAAGCATCCTTCCCCAAAGATAGAACTCCCAAATGGGCCCAGCCAGCTGAGACCCATGGAGCTGACCTTTCAAAGTGCATTCATGGGGTCCTCCATGGAGAATCCAGTGCCTGAGCCATCACCTACAGCCCCGGCGGTTGATCTTACAGTCCTCTGCAGCCCGGCTTCCAAGCAGAGACCACCAAGGGTTCCCCTAATGAGCAGGGTTCCCTGGTTTTCACTGGTCTCATCTCCCCACAAAACTGTCAGAATGTAAATTGGTGCTTCCAAAGAGCATGAGAACAACGTGTTCTTTGTGGATTCACCATCCTGTGCAGTCTCACTTGCTGCAAGTGCTTGGGAAACCTCTCTTGCATAGGGCAGAGGATGTCAGCCCCATTACTGTGGGTTTCACAGATGTGAGGGCCAAGCTGGAGGGTTTTCTCTCATGTCCATGAGGAGAGATGTGCTGGGTAGGCAGGCTTGGCATGAATCCTGTCTCTGAGCTCCTTCCTGGGTCTGCCTGCAGGGACAGGGCCACAGCCACCTGTCCTGGCTTCTCTCTCCTTCTGCCAGCCACTGTAATTCGCCTCCTCACTTGTTGGCCTCCTTCTCTACCCCTTCCTTCCATGGTCTTGAACCCAGGAACAAACCCCCTGCCCTTACCTCCAACTCAGCTCTAGAATCATCTGACAGACCCCTGAGCCAGTCCATGGGCTCAGGCAGGGAGATGGCCCTGGTCCTCGACCTGCAACATGCCTCACCCCATGCCTCTGGTACCTGCCTACTCCAGGCAGCAGGTTAGGGGCCGGGTAGGGTTGGTGGCCCTCTTCCTCCTGAGGCCCCACCCACTATACATCATCCCTTCATGGTGAGGGAGCCTTCAGCCCTCAATGCCACCTTCATCTTGGCTGGTGCCACCTGGGACCTGCTGGGCTGTAGCCACAAGAGGCTGAGCAAAAGGTGAGTGCCTCCCACAAGGACGACCAAGGGGATGTGGACACCACAGAGTGGGAGAAGGCTCTGAGGGAGGCCCTTCAGCCCTGCTTCACCTCCTCACTTTCCCCACTTGGAATTTTCAAACAGTTTCTGCTCTTCCGTGATTTCCTAATGCACATTCCTCACCAAGTTACTCCTTTGTCTGGCCACCCACCATCTCTCCATCTGTCCTTATGTCTGTGTTTCCATCCATGCACTCATTGGCCCAACAAACACCTGCTGACAACCCAGGAGCCAGGTGTAGGACCAGGTGCAGGGGTACAGGCAAGTCCCTTTTGTCAGCTGGGTGTCGTGGAACCAAGGGAATGAGGCCAGGGCTGGTACAGAGGGGCTGAGTTGCAGCAGAAGACCCAGCCCCTGAGCTGCAGCACAGAGTGGAGGTAGTGGGGAGCTGTCACCTGGGTATGCCACACTTTCCCCTGTGCCATCACTCCTGCCATCCTCCTCAGCTGGGGTGTCCTGCCCAATCCGTCCATGCAAGGCCATGTCAGAGCTCATCACGCTAATTGCACACATGGCCAGCCAAACCAAAACTCCTTCAGAGCCTTCTGGGCCTCTCCCAGCCCCTGGTGTTTCTCCCTCACCAGGGAGCAGCACCTTTTGCCAGTGACTCATCTGGCAGGTATCTCAAGTCAGCCCTTGCCTGGCCTGGCACCTTGCTGTGGTCTGAATGGGCTCAACTGGCTGAAAGTATTATCAATAGAAAGGAATGTTCAGGTTCTTCAATTTTAGAGTGCCCTGGCCTAGAAGAAAGCCCATTCAGATGGTTCTGGGACCTTAGAATTTAATTTTTTGTTTACAGGCTGATGTATTTTCTCCCTAAAATATATAAAAGCAAGCTGGATCCTGACCACCTTGGGCACATGCTGTCAGGACCTCCTGAGGCAGTGTCATGGGCATGTCCTTAAACTAGGCAGAACAAACTTTCTTAATTAACTGAGACCTGTCTCAGGTGTTTTTGGAAGTGGAGGTC
The DNA here is from genome assembly GCF_000001405.40 of Homo sapiens. Lineage (NCBI taxonomy): Eukaryota > Metazoa > Chordata > Mammalia > Primates > Hominidae > Homo > Homo sapiens. The sequence goes on along the minus strand of NC_000014.9, from coordinate 19,197,332 downwards.
AGATATGCCTCATTTTACGTCTCCACAGAACTTAAGTCTGATAAGAACTATTTACAACCTGTTATCTTGGAAGCCTGCTACCTGAAGGCTTCATCTGCATGACATAAACTTGGTCTCCACAACCTCTTGTCACAATGCAGACATTCCTTTCTATTGACAACTCTTTCAACCAATTGTCAATCAGAAAAATTTTAAATCTACTTATAACCTGGAAACCCCTGCTTTGAGTGGTTCTGGCTTTCTGGACAAAACCAATGTATTTTTTAAAAATGTATTTGACTGAAGTCTCATATCTCCCTAAAATGTACAAAACTAAGATGCACTGTGACCACCTTGGGCACATGTTCTCAGGGTCTTCTGAGGGCTGTGTCATGGACCATGGTCACTCATATTTGGCTCAGAACAAATCTCTTCACATACTGTACAGATTTTGACAGTTTGTTTGTTTGTTTGTTTGTTTTTTGAGATAGAGTCTTGCTCTGTTGCCCAGGCTGGAGTGCAATGGCAAAATCTCAGGTCACTGCAACCTCAGCCTCCTGGGTTCAAGCGATTCTCCTGCCTCAGTCTCTGCAGTAGCTAAGATTACAGGTGCCCACCACCAAGCTGGGCTAATTTTTGTATTTTAGTAGGGACGGGGTTTCACCATGTTGGCCAGGCTGGTGTCGAACTCCTGACCTCAGGTGATCTACCCGCCTCAGCCTCCCAAAGTGCTGGGATTACAGGCATGAGCCACTGTGCCTGACTGACTTTGACTGTTTTCATTGACAAATCAATACATATAAGATTTGCACTGGTTTGATCTCAGGGTGCAAAGTGGGGGCTTCCAGGTCATAGGTAGATTTAAACATACCCTGATTGGCAATTGGTTGAAAGAGTTATTATCAATAGAAAGGAATGTCTGGGGTAAGATAAGGGGTTGTGGAGACTAAAGTTTTATTATGCAGATGAAGCCTCCAGGTAGCAGGGTTCAGAGAGAATAGATCGGAAAGAAACCTAAGATCTGAAAATCTGTGTTGATGTTAATGCTGGTTGGCTTTTCCTGAATTCTGAAAGGGAAGAGGGCATAATGAGGCATATCCAAACCTCCCTTCCCATCATGGCCCAAACCAATTTTCAGGTTAACTTTGGAATGCCCTGGTCCAGAGGAGGGGTCCATTCAGATGATCAGGACATCTTCAGAATTTTATTTTTGGTTTACATAACTTAGGAATGAGGATTAAACTCTGACCTTTTTTTCTTCTCTTGCCCAGATTTCTATCTAATGTGTCCGGGGAATCATGCTCTATAAACCATAAAATCTTGTTAGACAGTTTTTTGTTTTTTTAGGTTAACCCTGTATAATGTGGCTTACTTTCCAACCTGACTCTGGTATAGCATCATACGACAACAGACTCTGAAGGAAAATGAAAGTATTTTACCCCAAAATATATTTTTTGACATATTTTGAAATGGCTGTCACAGGGCCAACACATTAAAATGGCCCTGCAAGGATTTCTTTTGTGGAGGAAATTTTGCACATGTAGAGAATCTCCATTAATGCAGTCAGGCCTTCCTTTTCTAGGCCTTTCCTGGATCTAGGAGAGATTAACTGAGAGTCTGACACCTTTAATGTCTGAAAAGAGACATTCACCATCTATTCTCTTGGAGGGCTACCACCTAACAGCCTTCATCCCCATAACAAGGGCCTTGGCCCCCACAAGTCACTAGACATTCCTTTCTAGTGATTTCAGGTTTTACAAATAGCTGAAATGTGCCCCTGGGTGACAAGGGGCCAATTGGGAGTGTCTGGGGGTGACTCCCCATGACGTGCAGTGGCCCTAGAGGAAATCCCTTAACAAAATTAATTAAAAGAAGGCTCATCCAGGAAACACATATAAAAGAGCTGTTTACTCAGTGTTTTATGCCCTCTTGGAGATAATAGACCGCTGAAGAGAGACACGTAAGGGGGCAGAAATAACTCAATGGTGAAATGCTATGGAGTCCTGACCACAATCGGCACACTCTGTTCTGACACACTAAACCCTAGGGCACAGTTTGTTCTTCCTTTTTAAGAAAAATGGGAAATAAATCCTCTAAAAAGGAGGAAAAGCAAGGAGAGTGGCCCCCTTTGGGCATCTCAGTTGGCTTTATGTTTGGTAATTATGGCACTACTACTTGCAAGTATTTATATAAATGGGAAGATCTTACTAAGGATGACCTAGGTCTAAGGTTTCCAAAACGGTTGATATTTCCAAATTGGTTTTCTTGCATACCAAATTAAAGAAATTAGGCTCCCAAATCAAGGAAAATGAATGATAGCTGTATTTTAGCTGGTACTTAGAATCATCCAAAAGAGAGAATGATAAGCCTCCCTCCAGGAAGTTAATAAGAAAATATTTGAGACTGTCTTGGAATTAAAGAAATTAGCAGAAACCGGCCTGCGACCCTTTAGTTTCTTGCTACTGGGAACCCACGTGCATGTCACAAAAGATCAATAAACTTTTAAAGGTGAATGTTGTCCAGATTGCATGACCGTCCCCATACCAGTCCCGAGAGGAGGCACTTAGGCCCACTGCAATGTTCCTGAAGGAGGAAGTGACTTGGCCAAGGTCGCACAGCTCTTCTGAAGTCCTGGGACTTATCAGATCTCTTTCCAGAGGCTGCATGGCAACAGCTTGGGAACCCGCCACAAGTGAGATTTCTCGAACGTGCTGCGTGGGCTGCCAGGAGATTGGCCTTCTGGACCAAGACCCCAGACGGAGAGGACTTGAATATCATGTTCCCCTCAGCCGCTGGCATGTCTGCCTTCGAGGTGCCCAGACCCGCTCTGCTTGGTGAATTGTGAATTATTACAAGTAAGCACTGTACCAACTATGTCAGAAAAAAAGATCACTGTGTGTGCTCCAGTACTCCAGTAGTTAAAACCAGCCTTGTGCTCCAGATTCCCACCCATCAGGAGGGTCCACTGATGAGCAAACCTAGAATATGTGGAACGCTTTTTAGGGGATGGAGACAAGCTAATTCACTGAGCACCTGCTTTGTGCCCAGTCCGACACCATGACTGGAGTGAGATGTGGAGCCAAGCTAGGCTGAAGGGTGCTTATCATCTGGCTGGAGGCATCTACAAAGGAGAATAGTAAAGAATATTTTCCTGGGAAGTAATGCACACATTCTGAAATCTACCCCTGGGGTTTTATGGTTCTAAATGTCTCCTTTTTGCTACATCCAGAAAAGACCTTGCAGATCATTGATTCTAACTCTTGAATTTATAAAGAAGAAAAAACTGGTGCCCAACTAAGGGAAGGATCTTGCCAAAAGTCACACAGTAGGTAAGTGGCAAAGCTCATACTGCCTCACCTACTGAGAAGGTTCGGCCTTTAGGACAGAGCTACTGTGCACCCAATGAGAGAAAATTGTATCCAGTGGTCCAGGGTGGGTACGTTTGAGGCTGTGGGTTAAAAGGAACATTCCAGAGCCCCAGATATTTTCTTCCTAAGAAATGTGATGAGAGGGGCTCAAAAATGTCCACTGGAAAGATTTTTATTTTATTTTTTTCAATAATAACTTTCATATTAGAAAAGCTGCCAGACATGCCTGTAATCTCAGTGTTCTGGGAGGCTGAGGCGGGAGGATTGCTTGAGCTCAGGAGTTCCAGATGAGCCTGGGCAACCTAGTGGGACCTCATCTCTACAAAAGATTTTAAAAATTAGCCAAGCATGGTGACACGTACCTGTGGTCCCAACTACTTGGGGGGCTGAGGTGGGAAGATAGCTTGAGCTTGGGTGGTTGAAACTGCAGTGAGGCGGGATGGCACCACTGCACCCCAGCTGAGGTGACAGAGCAAGATCCTGTCTTAAAAAAAAAGCAATAAGTATTTGTTGCTAGACTGGGCAAAGGTACAATAATGTAAAGTATGCCCAACTCAAACTGTACTTGATTTTTACATCATGTTTGAAAAAACATTCAAATATTTAGGGACCCTTCTGAAAACTTTGAGCATGGTGGAAGTGATGCGTTACTAAATTCTAGATTTGCACAAGGCTTAGATGATGAGTTAGTGACTTCAATAAAGTGAAATAATGTGGCTGGGGCTTCTTTGCCCACTAGTCATCAAGTCCCCACAGCTGACCAGTTGTCACAAATGATCACCGAGAAGGAAAAGGAAGCATCCTTTAAGGTCATGAGTTCACAGCAAAAACAACTTAGTAACAAAGTAGGAAAGTTGTAAGTGTTCCGTTTTCTATTCCTCACAGAGATCACAAAAAGACAAAAAAAGCAATGTGCCACTATTGCAAGAAGAAAGGACATCTTAGAAAGGATTGCATGAAACACAAACAGGTGCTTGCACAACGGGAGAAGACTCCAGAGTAAGGCACCAAAATAACTGAAAAATTAGAATGAAGATGCTCTGAGGGAATAGAGAGGGTTTTCCCTCTACTTTTAACAAACAAGGAGAAGTAGAAATATCCACAAATAGGGAGAATACTAGAGCCCTTATAGACAACGGCAGCTACACTGTCAGTCCTCAACCCTATCTTGTTTAAAAACCCTCTCCCTTGGGGTCACATAAAAGTGCAAATGGCAGAGATTTTGAACTCCCAGGTTATAGCTTTTCCATCTAATCTTCTTCTATTTCAACTAGAACTAATGGGGCATCTTTTTTTGTAGTAGAGAGTGTGCCCATATACCTGCTGGCACAGGATTTCCCAGATACCCAAAATGCCCACATGTCATTTTCGCAGAAGGGACATATGATTCTCAACTTGGAAAACACAGAAGACTTACAAAAGCTCATGTGTGATATTATGCTTGCCAAAGTCAATAAAGAATTTGAACAGGGGTAATTAGAGTCTTACCCAATTTACCAGATTCTTTATGGGCAATTTCTTCCATGGATATCAGGAGAATTAAGTCAGCAGTACCCATAGAGATAACCACAGATAAACTTAAACCTCTGCCAAACATTAAGCAATATCCCCTTAGACCTGAAGCCTTACTGGGAATCAAACCATTCATGTAGGACTATTTAGACAAAGGACTTGAAGCAGTCCTGGCAGTACACCAATCCTCCCAGTTAAAAAGCCAAATGGAAAAAGCTGGAGATTCATTCAGGAGTTAAGAGCTATACACTAATAATACACTAATAATTCCTAGAAATCCTGTTGTTCCTAACCCCCACACCTTGCGGTCTAATGTTCCTATCACTGCCAGCCACTTCTCTGCCACTGGCATATGTGATGCTTTCTCCAGCTTACCTGTAGAGCAGAACAGCCAATATCTTTTTGCCTTTGCTTGAGAAAATCACCAGTACACATGGACAATCTTGCTTCAGGATATTCCAAGTGTCCTACTTACTTTTCTCAAATATTAAAAAGACATTTACATGATATCAAATTTTCTAGCAGAACTATCCTGGTCAATATGTGGATGATTTGTCACTTTCATCCTCCTTGACAACAGGCAGAGAAGACATTGTCCACTTGTCACAACAGCTTGCTTTAAGGGACAAAGATTGTCCAGAGATAAATTGCAATTTTCTCTCTCTCAAGTTAAATATTTGGGACATGTGATTTCCAGTAGTGGGCTACCAGTAAGCCCTGATGGAGCCTCTGTTGTTATGACATTTCCTGTGCCCAAAACAAAAAGACAATCAAGAGGGTTCTTAGAGTTAACAACCCATTATGGAAGCTGGATTTGGGATTACTCATTCATGACTCAGCCCTTTCATAAAAAATGAAAACAGACCCACTGGACCAAATCTGCTGGGAAGAAAGGGGAACACAACACATAGAGGATCTAAGGAAGGCTCCCACCTGAGTGCCAGCATTAAGCTTCCCAGGCTTCTGTTTTCTATTTCTATTTCTGTACACACAATTAATAGAAATGTATTTCTATTTCTGTACACACAATTAATGGAAATGCTCTAGGAGTATTTTTTTTATTATTATTATACTTTAAGTTTTAGGGTACATGTGCACAATGTGCAGGTTAGTTACATATGTATACATGTGCCATGCTGGTGCGTTGCACCCACTAACTCATCATCTAGCATTAGGTATATTTTCCAATGCTATCCCTCCCCCCTCCCCCGACCCCACAACAGTCCCCAGAGTGTGATGTTCCCCTTCCTGTGTCCATGTGTTCTCATTGTTCAGTTCCCACCTATGAGTGAGAATATGTGGTGTTTGGTTTTTTGTTCTTGCGATAGTTTACTGAGAATGATGATTTCCAATTTCATCCATGTCCCTACAAAGGACATGAACTCATCATTTTTTATGGCTGCATAGTATTCCATGGTGTATATGTGCCACGTTTTCTTAATCCAGTCTATCATTGTTGGACATTTGGGTTGGTTCCAAGTCTTTGCTATTGTGAATAATGCCGCAATAAACATACGTGTGCATGTGTCTTTATAGCAGCATGATTTATAGTCCTTTGGGTATATACCCAGTAATGGGATGGCTGGGTCAAATGGTATTTCTAGTTCTAGATCCCTGAGGAATCGCCACACTGACTTCCACAATGGTTGAACTAGTTTACAGTCCCACCAACAGTGTCAAAGTGTTCCTATTTCTCCACATCCTCTCCAGCACCTGTTGTTTCCTGACTTTTTAATGATTGCCATTCTAACTGGTGTGAGATGATATCTCATTGTGGTTTTGATTTGCATTTCTCTGATGGCCAGTGATGATGAGCATTTTTTCATGTGTTTTTTGGCTGCATAAATGTCTTCTTTTGAGAAGTGTCTGTTCATGTCCTTCACCCACTTTTTGATGGGGTTTTTTGTTTTTTTCTTGTAAATTTGTTTGAGTTCATTGTAGATTCTGGATATTAGCCCTTAGTCAGATGAGTAGGTTGTGAAAATTTTCTCCCATTTTGTGGGTTGCCTGTTCACTCTGATGGTAGTTTCTTTTGCTGTGCAGAAGCTCTTTAGTTTAATTAGATCCCATTTGTCAATTTTGGCTTTTGTTGCCATTGCTTTTGATGTTTTAGACATGAAGTCCTTGCCCATGCTTATGTCCTGAATGGTAATGCTTAGGTTTTCTTCTAGGGTTTTTATGGTTTTAGGTCTAACGTTTAAGTCTTTAATCCATCTTGAATTAATTTTTGTATAAGGTGTAAGGAAGGGATCCAGTTTCAGCTTTCTACATATGGCTAGCCAGTTTTCCCAGCACCATTTATTAAATAGGGAATCCTTTCCCCATTGCTTGTTTTTCTCAGGTTTGTCAAAGATCAGATAGTTGTAGATATGTGGCGTTATTTCTGAGGGCTCTGTTCTGTTCCATTGATCTATATCTCTGTTTTGGTACCAGTACCATGGTGTTTTGGTTACTGTAGCCTTGTAGTATAGTTTGAAGTCAGGTAGTGTGATGCCTTCAGCTTTGTTCTTTTGGCTTAGGATTGACTTGGTGATGCAGGCTCTTTTTTGGTTCCATATGAACTTTAAAGTATTTTTTTCCAATTCTGTGAAGAAAGTCATTGGTAGCTTGATGGGGATGGCATTGAATCTATAAATTACCTTGGGCAGTATGGCCATTTTCACGATATTGATTCTTCCTACCCATGAGCATGGAATGTTCTTCCTTTTGTTTGTATCCTCTTTTATTTCCTTGAGCAGTGGTTTGTAGTTCTCCTTGAAGAGGTCCTTCACATCCCTTGTAAGTTGGATTCCTAGGTATTTTATTCTCTTTGAAGCAATTGTGAATGGGAGTTCACTCATGATTTGGCTCTCTGTTTGTCTATTGTTGGTGTATAAGAATGCTTGTGATTTTTGTACATTGATTTTGTATCCTGAGACTTTGCTGAAGTTGCTTATCAGCTTAAGGAGATTTTGGGCTGAGACAATGGGGTTTTCTAGATGTACAATCATGTCGTCTGCAAACAGGGACAATTTGACTTCCTCTTTTCCTAATTGAATACCCTTTATTTCCTTCTCCTGCCTGATTGCCCTGGCCAGAACTTCCAACACTCTGTTGAATAGGAGTGGTGAGAGAGGGCATCCCTCTCTTGTGCCAGCTTTCAAAGGGAATGCTTCCAGTTTTTGCCCATTCGGTATGATATTGGCTGTAGGTTTGTCATAGATAGCTCTTATTATTTTGAAATAAGTCCCATCAATACCTAATTTATTGAGTTTTTAGCATGAAGGGTTGTTGAATTTTGTCAAAGGCTTTTTCTGCATCTATTGAGATAATCATGTGGTTTTTGTCTTTGGTTCTGTTTATATGCTGGATTACATTTATTGATTTGCGTATATTGAACCAGCCTTGCATCCCAGGGATGAAGTCCACTTGATCATGGTGGATAAGCTTTTTGATGTGCTGCTGGATTTGTTTTGCCAGTATTTTATTGAGGATTTTTGCATTAATGTTCATCAAGGATATTGGTCTAAAATTCTCTTTTTTCTTGTGTTTCTGCCCGGCTTTGGTATCAGGATGACACTGGCATCATAAAATGAGTTACGGAGGATTCCCTCTTTTTCTATTGATTGGAATAGTTTCACAAGGAATGGTACCAGTTCCTCCTTGTACCTCTGGTAGAATTTGGCTGTGAATCCATCTGGTCCTGGACTCTTTTTGGTTGGTAAGCTATTGATTATTGCCACAATTTCAGAGCCTGTTATTGGTCTATTCAGAGTTTCAACTTCTTCCTGCTTTAGTCTTGGGAGGGTGTATGTGTCAAGGAATTTATCCATTTCTTCTAGATTTTCTAGTTTATTTGTGTAGAGGTGTTTGTAGTATTCTCTGATGGTAGTTTGTATTTCTGTGGGATTGGTGGTGATATCCCCTGGCCAGGTACTCCTCTGAGACAAAACTTCCAGAGGAACGATCAGACAGCAGCTTTTGTGGTTCATGAAAATCTGCTGTTCTACAGCCAACGCTGCTGGCACCCAGGCAAACAGGGTCTGGAGTGGACCTCTAGCAAACTCCAACAGACCTGCAGCTGAGGGTCTTGTCTGTTAGAAGGAAAACAAACAAACAGAAAGGACATCCACACCAAAAACCAATCTGTACATCACCATCATCAAAGACCAAAAGCAGATAAAACCACAAAGATGGGGAAAAAAAAGAGCAGAAAAACTGGAAACTCTAAAAAGTGAGCGACTCTCCTCCTCCAAAAGAACTCAGCTCCTCACCAGCAACAGAACAAAGCTGGATGGAGAATGACTTTGATGAGTTGAGAGAAGAAGGCTTCAGACGATCAAACTACTCCGAGCTACAGGAAGAAATTAAAACCAAAGGCAAAGAAGTTGAAAACTTTGAAAAAAAGTTAGATGAATGTATAACTAGAATAACCAATACAGAGAAATGCTTAAAGGAGCTGATGGAGCTGAAAGCCAAGGCTCGAGAACTACGGGAAGAATGCAGAAGCCTCAAGAGCTGATGTGATCAACTGGAAGAAAGGGTATCAGTGATGGAAGATGAAATGAATGAAATGAATGAGAGGGGAAGTCTAGAGAAAAAAGAATAAAAAGAAATGAACAAAGCCTCCAAGAAATATGGGACTATGTGAAAAGACCAAATCTACATCTGATTGGTGTGCCTGAAAGTGATGGAGAATGGAACCAAGTTGGAAAACACTCTGCAGTATATTATCCAGGAGAACTTCCCCAATCTAGCAAGGCAGGCCAACTTTCAGATTCAGGAAATACAGAGAACGCCACAAAGATACTCCTCGAGAAGAGCAACTCCAAGACACATAATTGTCAGATTCACCAAAGTTGAAATGAAGGAAAAAATGTTAAGGGCAGCCAGAGAGAAAGGTCAGGTTACTCACAAAGGGAAGCCCATCAGACTAACAGCGGATCTCTTGGCAGAAACTCTACAAGCTAGAAGAGAGTGGGGGCCAATATTCAACATTCTTAAAGAAAAGAATTTTCAACCCAGAATTTCACGTCCAGCCAAACTAAGCTTCATAAGTGAAGGAGAAATAAAATACTTTACAGACAAGCAAATGCTGAGAGATTTTGTCACCACCAGGCCTGCCCTAAAAGAGCTCCTGAAGGAAGCACTAAACATGGAAAGGAACAACCGGTAGCAGCCACTGCAAAACCATGCCAAATTGTAAAGACCATCAAGGCTAGGAAGAAACTGCATCAACTAATGAGCAAAATAACCAGCTAACATCATAATGACAGGATCAAATTCACACATAACAATATCAACTTTAAATGTAAA